>NC_000017.11:15642626-15945656 GCF_000001405.40 Homo sapiens | reverse complement strand
CCCGGCCTGGAGAAGACGACCCATTTCGGAGCTCCGACGGGGCCCCGAGTTCGGGCGACGCCGAGCGCCTCACCTGAGCGGGACACAGATGGCCAGGTATCTGTCGACTGCCACGGCCAGAAGGCTGAAGATGGAGCTCTGCGTGAGCACCAGCACGAAGCAGGCGAGGAAGAGGCAGCCGTAGAAGTCAGTGCAGAAGCCCAGGCTGATGGTGATGGCAAAGGGGATGGCGAAGAGCCCCACGGCCACGTCGGCCGCAGCCAGGGACACCAGGAAGTAGTTGGTGGGCGTCTGCAGAGTGTTCGCCGTGCCCACCGCGGCGCACACCAGCACGTTGCCCGCCACCGAAAGCGCGGCGATGACCAGCTCCAGCGCCACGTACAGCGCGTCCTGTGTCTCCAGCAGCATGGCCGGGCCAGCTGGGCCCCGGGCGCCCCCTACCGAAGGCGCGCCGGGCGAGGGGCAGCCGCGTGAGACCCGCCGGGCATGGCCATAGCGCCCGGACCGCGCCTCCGCCTGCCGCTTCTGAGCCTCGGGGCTGGGGCGCTGGTGGCCGGGACCCACGGGTCGGGGCCCCCCGCGGCCAAGAGGCGGCACCCATTGGCCCGCGCGCCCGCCCGTCTCGGGCTGGGCGGAGCACCACCCACTCGCCCGAGCCCAAAGTTCGCGCCCGCGCGGGGCCCCTCCGGTCCAGGCGCCGTGCCGCGTCTTGGTGGCGGCGGATAACTAACAAATTGCCCCAACTTCCCGTCACGCTCGAGCTCGGAGGCTGTGTCCCAGTGCTCGCACTGCCTTCCAGTCCGGGCGACTCCTGGGATGGGGCCGGGCTCTGCCCGGGGCGCCAGCAGGTCCCAGGAGCCGCCGCGAGAGGACCCCCCAGGGCCGCGCAACCCCGGGCGGGGCGAGCTCACTCCAGGCTAACCCTGCGCACCCCGGGCAGGCCGACTGGATGGGGGGCTGCCGGGCAGGCAGGGAGCCGAGGCCGCAGTCCCCGCTCGTGCAGCAGTCTCGGGCAGCGCAGCACCACCGGAGCTGTCTCCAGGCTGCGGGGCCGGACTGCAAGGAGCCCTCGGGGGCTGCAGCCCCCTCCGGCCGCCTCCCAGCGAGGCTCAGCGCTGTTCTCCACCCTCGCCCGCGCCACTGCCCCTACGGCCCCGCTCTGCCTTCTACCTTAAGACAAGCTCGTGGCCGTCCCATCCTCGTCCACCGCCCGAAAATACCAGTGTTCCCCGGGCCCTCTTTTTTCTTTCCTTCACACTCACCCTGGATCGGCACAGGCTCCCGAGGCCTCCCACGTGGCCCTCACACCCTTAACTCCCAAATCTCTTGCTTCAGCCCTAACAGCCTCCTGAGGGCCAGATCCTAACACCCCACTGCCGACTCTCGCCAGGAGAGAGACTGGTGCCCCCAAATCCAACAAGACCAAAACCAAGCTCATCTCTAATTCTCCCCAAACCTGTGCTGCCGCCTTTTCCTGGGACCCTGTTCGTTATTGACCTGGCAACCCTCACCCACCCTAGGAAGTTTGCTGACACCCTGAGCCTTCGCCTTTCTCCACGTCCCAATGATCAGCAGTGCTGCTGGTTCTGCTTCCAGAGACTTGCTTCCTTTTACCCCCAAAGTCCTGCCCCGAGTCCCTCCTCACCACCTGCTTCTACCATCCCTCCCTCTCTGCCTGTGGGTCCTCAGCTTCTGCAGCCCTCACCAACACCATTGTTCTAGAGCACTCCTGGCCACGCTATTTCACCACCCGAAAGCCTTTGCTGACAGTCACCAAAGAGGATGGGTAAGGAGATTTTCCAGCAACAGGAAAAGATGCTTGTAAAATCATGTAAAGCAAAAATCAAAACATGGGGTGACTGCTAAAGGGTAAAGGATTTTGTAAAGGATTTTTTAGGGTGATAAAAATTTTCTCAATGTGGTGATGGTTGTACGGTTCTGTGGATATACCTCAATGCCACTGAACTGTACACTTGAAAGGCATGCATTGTGTGGCACATAAATTATATCTCAATGTAGCTGTAATGACGACAACATGGCTCACGCCTATAATCCCAAAACTTTGGGAGGCCAAGACAGGAGGAACATTTGAGGCCAGGAGTTCAAGACCAGCCTGGCCAATGTAGGGAGACCCCATCTCTAAACAAACAAATAAAAAATAAATCAGCCAGGCACGGTGGCAGGTGCCTGTAGTCCCAGCTACTTGGGAGGCTGAGGCAGGAGGATCCTTTGAGGCCAGGGGTTCGAGGCTGCAGTGAGCTGGGATCATGCCACTGCATTCCATCCAGGCTGGGCAAAAGAGGGAGACCCTGTCTCTAAAAAAAGACAAGAAGAAGAAAAACCCCTCTGCCCTCCACAGGCATAAACAGTCACATCTGCCCTTGCACCAACGAGGACAGCAAAATGTCAAAAACACACACAGTAGACCTCCTAGCTGGGTGGGATGATTACAGGGAATTTTTTTTTCTATTTCCCTTGAGGTTTTGTTACTTCCATAATGAAAACAGTTGATTTATATATCAAAATATTGGCAAGCCCACACATTCCGTGTCCTGGTCACGTGAGTTCTGGAATCACCTGCTCCACCAATCACGTTCCCACAGCAGTTGACACAAACTTCTGCTGCCACACAGAAGGCCAGAGAGATCAGGCAGCTCCTCCAATAGCACTTCCTTGGAGTGGCAGAGGGCAAAGGGTTAGAGGAGGCTTCCTGGGGTACTGGCTTTTACAGAGTGAGGGAGGCTTCACAGTGGGGTGGTTCCAGCTATACCAGGCAGAGGTGGTAGTTAGGAGTTTGCCCAGGGGTGCCATGCCCAGGAGAGTGAAGAGAAAAAGGCCTAGTGGAGAAGGCTCTGGCTGCCAGGCTGGAGAGCTGGGCCATCCTGCTGGGATGCCAGTCCGCAGAGGTCACAGGACGGGGCGGGGATGGTCAGAGCAATATCCAAAGGAGTGAGTGGAGATTTTGCAGAGGGAGAGGAGGCGAACGGTGTCTGGCTGGTTGCTATGAGTGGTTCCTGCACGCCCTGCAGCTGCTGGGCCTGGGCTCTGCTCTAGCATTTCCTGTGCCCAGAATCACCATTTCCCCTTTTCAGAGCCCAACCTCCATCAGGAAACCTTCCCTGAATCACCCAATGTATTAGGCCATTCTTACATTGCTATAGGGAAATATCTGAGACTGGGTAATTTACAAAGAAAAGAGGTTTATTTGGCTCACAGTTCTGCAGCCTGTAAACCATAGTGCCAGCATCTGCTTGGCTTCCAAGGGGCCTCAGGGAGCTTTACTAGTGGCAGAGGGTGAAGTGGGAGCAGGCATGTCACATGGGGAAAGCAGGAGCAAGAGGTGGGGGGAGGTGCCACACCTTTTTTAACAACCGGATCTAGTGAGAACTCACTCACTATCATGAGGACAGCACTAAAAAGGATGGCACTAAACCATTCATCAGAAACTGCTCCACTGCTTCCACTAGGCCCCACCTCCAACACTGGGGATTACATTTCAGCATGAGATTTGGGAGGACAGATTTCCAAACGATAGCACCCAAGTAGGAAGTCTCCAGCACAGGGCTGTGCCCTGTTCCCGTCTGTGTTGCAGTCCACTGAGTTTCAGGTCCCCGGTGTCCCTCACCAGCAAAGCTTTCCCTTCTCCGTCCTCTCCCCACCCCAGCCCCACCTGGTACCCTCTGACTCACACAACAACCCGCCCCTCTTCACAAAGTCTTTGTGAAATGAATCATACATTTTCCTGACTCCTTCAACCCCTGATCCACGCTAGGATTTGAGCTGGACTCACTGGGTCCATGGGGGTGCCAATTATTATTATTAAATATTATAATAATTATTATTAACAGGTTATTATTCAGGAAACACGAGGAGGAAGGGTGGAATCCGAAGAGAGTCATGGCATTTAGTCTTTTTTTTTTTTTTTTTTGAAACAAGAGTCTCACTCTGTCACTGAAGCTGTAGCACCATGGTGGGATCATAGCTTACTGCAGCCTCAACCTCCTGGGCTCAGGTGATCCTCCCACCCCAGCCTCCCAAGTGGCTAGGACTACAGGTGCACACCACCATGCCTGGTTAATTTGTAATGTTTTTGTAGAGACAGTGTCCCACTATGTTGCCCAGGCTGGTCTTGAACCCCTGGGCTCAAGCGATCCTCCCATCTCAGCCTCCCAAAGTGCCGGGATTACAAGTGTGAGCCACTACACCCAGCTGGTTTAGTCTTGAAAGCAATTGGTGTGCAGGGAGCAGAGCCCAGGTCTTAGCAACAGAGACTCCAGGTTTGATTCCCAGCTCTGCTGTTGATGTTGGACAAGTCAATTAATCTTTCTAAGCCCCTATTTCTTATGTATAAGATGGGATAACAATATCTACTTCACAGGGTCAGGCTAAAAAGGGGCAGGAGGAGCCATCTGCCATCTGACTACCTCTAGATCCTGACTCCTGGAAAACAACTGCAGTGATGAAAGCATCTGGTTAGGTTAGGACTAGAGCCCTAGAAACTCAAGTGGGACTTTCACTGGTGAAAGTGGAAGGGTATGCTTCCTGAACAAACTGACCCTCCGTGGACCTCTTCCAGACTGCTAGTACACATCGTCTCATCTCTCACCCCTCTCATCCTGCCTCAACTGCCAGAGCAGAATCCAGGTGACATACAGATGGTCCCAGAAATATCATGACAGGCCCAGGTTCTCTCTTTCTGCTCTGCCATCTTCAGTAGCTTTCCTCTTAGGCTTGTTGCCACATGGTTACAAAAAGGCTGCCACAGCTGCAAGCATTGCTTGCTCATGCAACCTCATTCAATGCAGAAGAGGGCTAGCCTCCCTACCGTTTATCATGAGGTGAAGTCGTGGATCACTTGCTACCCTACACCAACCATGAGCACAGGGAAATGGAATGATCATGCCTGGCTTTGACCAAATATGGTTTATTCCATGGGGAAGAGGAAGGGGCATACCTTTCCCAAATATGTTACCCTCCGAATAAACTTGGGGCTCTATAAAATAAAGAGGAAAAGAGTACAGTGCACATTGCCCCTCAGTGTCTGTGTGAGTGTCAGAGGGAAATTTTAAGTCTAACCTGAGAGCTCTAGGCCTCACTGGCTTGTACATAAAGATGGCACACATCAGGAGTCACAGCCTACATTTCAGAACAGCTGACTCTCTCCAGGCCTCAGCTCCCCACAAAATCCCTCAAGCACTTCTGGAAGTCAACAAGGGTTTCTTACTGTACCTCAACGTTCTACTTCTCTCCGACATCCAAGGACTTGTCACTGGTTCAAGCTTGGGACTGGCTCCGCTTTTCCTGAGGATGAGCCCAATCCCAGGAGGCTCCTCAGTCTCTGCTCAGTGAACGACTGTTGGGTAGGTCTTGCCAAGTCTTCAGAGGCAGCTCTGCACCCCAGAGATGGACACGACCAGACTCCTGCACCATTGCACACACAAATCGCATGTTCCCAACACTGACGGGCTTTAAGTTCTTGGACAAAAAGACTTTGCTTTCTATTTATTCTGTACTGTCTTTCCTAGGGTTCTTGAACAATGTTTGCAAAATAGTGAGCACTTAATACTGTTACCACATGTATTGTTTCAGAAGTAAAGTGGGTGCCAGGCAGTGCACTTCAATTTCCTCAAATCTGAAATGAGAAAGTTAAAATAAGGACCAAATTATATGATAAATATAGAAGCACATTAAAGAGTATTCATTCCATATATGTATGAAGTAATGTTACACATACATTCACTCTGCCCTCAGACATTCAGAGAAAATGTAACTTCTTTTTTTTTTTTTTTTTTTTTTTGAGACAGAGTCTCGCTCTGTTACCCAGGCTGGAGTGCAGTGGTGTGATCTTGGCTCACGCAAGCTCCGCCTCCTGGGTTCATGCCATTCTCCTGCCTCAGCCTCCCAAGTAGCTGGGACTACAGGCACCCGCCACCACACCCGGCTAATTTTTTTTTGTATTTTTAGTAGAGACAGGGTTTCATGTGTTAGCCAGGATGGTCTCAATCTCCTGACCTCATGATCTGCCCGCCTCAGCCTCCCAAAGTGCTGGGATTACAGGCGTGAGCCAGCACACCTGGCCATGTAACTTCTTTATGCTCTGCATTATCCTGAACTTCTTCAGCCTCCCCCAGTCAAACAGGCAGTGGAGACAACTTGGATTTTCCAATTCACATTTTTTGAGTCCAATTACCAGGATGGTGGTGAAGAGAAGCCCCAGAATGTCTGCTGTGCAGCAGTCCTGGTTAATCAGTTCAGAGTTGTGTGAAAAGACAGAAGGCTCCAGGAGGACTGTTTCCAAGAAGGAGTAGAAAGAAGCAGCCGGGCGCTGTGGCTCATGCCTGTGATCCCAGTACTTTGGGAGGCAGAGGAGGGAGGATCACAAGGTCAGGAGTTCAAGACCAGCCTGGCCTGTCAGAGTGAAACCCTGTCTCTACTAAAAATACAAAAAAATAGCTGGGCGTGGTGGCGGGCACCTGTAATCCCAGCTACTCAGGAGGCTGAGGCAGGAGGATCGCTTGAACTCGGGAGCTGGAGGTTGCAGTGAACCAAGATCCCACCGCTGCACTCCGGCCTGGGCAACGGTGAGAGACTCTGCCTCAAAAAAATAAATAATATAAATAAAGTAAGAGTAGAAAGAAGCAATTACTTGCTATGTTTGATGTTATGGAGAGATATTTGATATACATTCGGAGATCTTAGCAAATAGTGATCGTTACTAAGAAACTAAACAAATAAGGGAGGTAATTAGTAACTATACAAAAAAAAGAAAGTTGAAGACAGAAAATGCAATAACAGTACATATGTTTCAGTGTAAACCTAATTATACAGTCGAAATACTGTGAAGCAGATTGTTAACCAAGTGATACTGCCTGCTAAGCTCAAGAGCATGTTTAGAAATATGTAGGCATGTTTTTGGTTCCCACTGTTATATAACCATTACTGGCAATTAGTGGACAGAGACCAGAGATGCTAAATATCCTTTACAATGAAGAACTGTCCCACCAAAACGCCAATATTGCTCCTACTGGGAAACTCTGATATAAACACTGAATATGAGCCAGGTATGGTGGCTCATGCCTGTAATCCCAGCACTTTGGGAGGCCAAGGTGGGTGGATCCTGAAGTCAGGAGATAGAGACCATCCTGGCTAACATGATGAAACCTCGTCTCTACTACACATACAAAACATTAGCCGGGCGTGGTGGCGGGCGCCTGTAGTCCCAGCTACTCAGGAGGCTGAGGCAGCAGAATCACTTGAACTCGAGAGGCAGAGGTTGCAGTGAGCCGAGATTGCACCACTGCACTCCAGCCCAGGCGACAGAGTGGGACTCCATCTCAAAAACAAAAACAAAAACAAACAAAAAGAACACTGAATATTGATTTAATGAAAAAATTTGATAAATCTCTTTTCCTTCCTTCCTTCCTTTCCTTTCCTTCCTTCCTTTCTAACTTCCTTCCTTCCTTCCTTCTTTTTTTTCTCTCTCTTTTGACAAAGTCTCCCTCTGTTGCCAGGCAGAACTCCAGGGCTCATGTGATCCACTCACCTTGGCCTCCCAAAATTCTGGGACTACAGATATGATCCACTACAACCAGCATGATAAAACTGTCTTGAGGAAATGGAGGCGTGGAAAAGTGTGTGTGCTTAGGGGTGGATGAGGGAAAAGTTTAAACCGCAGTTGCCTGAAATGTCAATACCAGGCAGGACTAACAAGAAGCTGGTAAAAAATTAAAAAGAAAAACTAAAAAATGACATGTCCATAGGAGGCTTTGAAAAGCTCTTATTCAGGCCAGGCATGGTCGCTCACGCCTGTAATCCCAGCAATTTGGGAGCCCGAGGTGAGTGGATCACCTGAGATCAGGAGTTCGAGACCAGCCTGACCAACATGGTGAAACCCTGTCTCTACTAAAAATACAAAAATTAGCCAGGTGTGGTGGCACACGCCTGTAGTCCCAACTACTTGGGAGGCTGAGGCAGAATAATCGCTTGAACCTGGGAGGTAGAGGTTGCAGTGAGCCAAGATGGCGCCATTGCACTCCAGCCTGGGTAACAAGAGCGAAACTCCATTAAAAAAAAAAAGAAAAGAAAAGGAAAAAAGAAAAGCTCTTATTCCTGGGAATATGTAAGGCCTTGTGCATGTGCATAGGCCCAGGAAAGACATGAAAATGCCATAATCTGTCACCTTTGGCTGACTTTGGGGCTGTGCATAAGCAGGAAATAAAGGCTAAAGTAGAGTTGTCAATGGTGAAAGTGTACCCCAACACACACACTAAGTCCTTTTGCAAAGGCTGGGAGACTATAGATTCAAGGCATTTAAGGAAATTGCTATCCAATTATCAGCTGACCACTAAGCTAACTAGCCAGAGACTTTAGCTGCTGCATGTGACAAAAAATACAGACATCACAGAATTTGTCCAGGAAATTCACTAAACAAATGAACAGCAACAACAGCAACAAACAGTATCAACCACAAACCCTGGGGTGGCAGGATCCAATTTTCAGAGTTGCCACATTGTATTATTTTAAATGTTGTGCTTTCAACAAAATATTATAAGACATGCATATAAGAAGGAAAATATGGCCCACATACAGGAGAAAAAAGAAACAACAGAAACTGCTCCTAAGAAAGTCAGGATGTTAGGTTTACTAGGCAAAGATTTTATGTATGTATGTTTTATTTATTTTTATTTAATTAATTTTTTTAGAGATAGAGTCTCACTCTGTTGTCCAGGCTGGAGTGCAGTGGCACAATCATGATTCACTGCAGTCTCGAACTCCTGGGCTCCAGTGATCCTTTTGTCTTAGCCTCCTGAGTAGCTGGAACTACAGGCATGTGCCACCATGCTGGACAATTTTTTAATTTTTTTGTAGAGATGGGGTCTCATTTTGTTTTCCGGCCTGGTCTCAAACTCTTGGCTGCAAGCGATCCTTCTGCCTCCGGTGCCCAAAGTGCTGAAATTACAGGCATGAGCCACTGCGCCTGAGGCCTAGACAAAGATTTTAAATCAGCTATTTTAAACATGTTCAAAAAATTAAAAGGGGCCAGGTGCAGTGGCTCATGCCTGTAATCCCAGCACTCTGGGAGGCTGAGGTGGGTGGATCACCTGAGGTCAGGAGTTTGAGACCAGCCTAACCAACATGGTGAAATCCTGTCTTTACTAAAAAAATACAAAATTAGCTGAGGGTGGTGGCTCAGGCCTATAATCCCAGCTACTTGGGAGGCTGAGGCATGAGAAGTGCCTGAACCCAGGAGGCAGAGGTTGCAGTGAGACAAGATTGCACCACTGCACTCCAGCCTGGGTGACAAGAGAAAGACTCCATCAAAAAAAATAAAAATAAAAATAAATAAATAAATAAACAGGAATCTGTCTAAACAATTGAAAGAAAGATGTCTCACCAAATAGAGAATCTCAAAAAAAGAGATGGAAATGATGAAGAATCAAATAGATATTCTGGAGTTGAAAAGTACAATAACAGGCCAGGTGTGGTGGCTCATGCCTGTAATCCCATCACTTTGGTAAGCCAAGGGGCAAGAAGGGCAGGTCACTCAAGGTCAGGAGTTCGAGACCAGCCTGACCAACATGTTGAAACCCCGTCTCTACTAAAAACAAAACAAAACAAAACAATTAGCTGAGCATGGTGGCACGCTCCTGTAATTCCAGCTACTCAGGAGGCTGAGGTGGGAGGATCGCCTGAACCTGGGAGGTAGAGGTTGCAGTGAGCCAAAATGACGACACCACCCTCCAGCCTGGGCGACAGAGCGAGACTCGATCTCAAAAAAAAAAAAAAAAAAGTACAATAACAAATGAAAAATTTAATAGAAGGGCACAACAGCGAATTTGGACTTGCAAAAGTAAAAATTAGTGAACTTGAATGCACTGGTCAATTGAGATAATCCAATTTGAGGAACAGAAAGAAAAAAGATAAAAGAAAAATCAACAGTTTCAGAGACCTTGGAGATATCATTAAGTGTACCAATATACGCAAAATCAGAGTACTAGAAAGAGAGTGAGAGAGAAACAGAAAAATTTAAACATAATGGTCAAAAACTTCCCAAATTTGATGAAAAAAATAAGCATGTACATCGAAGAAACTCAGTGAACTCTAAGTGGAATAAAATCAAAGATATCTACACCTAGACACACTGCAGTCAAATTGTCAAAAGCTAAAGTCAAAGAGAATCTTCAGGGCATCAGGAGAAAGGTGACTTATTATGTACAAGGAACCCTCAATAAGATTAACATCTGACTTCTAATCAGAAGTCATGGAGACCATAAGAGCCATCTACTATGACATAGTAAAAGCTCTGAAAGAAAAAAACTGCCAACCAAAAATTCTCTATCTAGTAAAAATGTCCTTCAAAAAGGAAGCAGATATTAAGAGAGTAGATAAACAAAAATTCACTAAGAGATCTACAATAAATACTAAAGCTATTTATTCAGGCTGAAATGAAAGCACACTAGACAATAACTCAATATGCATGAAGAAATAAAGTACACCAGAAAAAGCTACTACAAAGACAACTATAAAAGAGAGTATGAAATGTAAATACAGGCCAGGCGCGGTGGCTCACACATGTAATCCCAACACTTTGGGAGGCCAGAGTGTGCGGATCGTTTGGGGTCAGGAGTTTGAGACCAGCCTGGCCAACATAGTGAAACTCTGTCTCTACCAAAAAATACAAAAATTAGGTGGCATGGTGGCATGCGCTTGTGGTCCCAGCTTATCAGGAGGCTGAGGCAGGAGAATCACTTGAACCCAGGAGGCAGAGGTTGCAGTGAGCCAAGACTGCACCACTGCACTCCACTTTGGGCAACAGGGCGAGACTCTGTCTCAAAATAGATAGATAAATAAATAAATTAATTAATACAAAAGACAGCATAAAACAATAATTAGAAATATGTGCTGATGGGCACACAGTGTATAAAGACATTACTTGTATGATGTTAATAGCCAAAAGGAGAGGAGGAAATGGAACAATATAGGAAGAAAGCTTTTTTATATCATTATATATTCTGACATTTTAACAAATAATTGACAAGAGAATTAAAAAGGTACACTAGATAATACCTATTTAACAAAAAAGAAGTCAACAATGGAGAAATAGAGGAACAAAAAGGATATAAGATATATAGAGGTCGGGCGCGGTGGCTCACGCCTGTAATCCCAACAGTTTGGGAGGCCAAGGTGGGCAGATCACAAGGTCAGGAGTTTGAGACCAGCCTGGCCAATATGGTGAAACTCTGTCTCTACTAAAAATACAAAAATTAGCCAGGCATAGTGGCATGCACCTGTAGTCCCAGCTACTTGGGAGGCTGAGGCAGAATTGCTTGAACTCAGGAGGCAGAGGCTGCAGTGAGCTGAGATTGTGCCACTGAACTGCAACCTGGGTGACAGAGCCAGACTCCATCTCAAAAAAATAAAAAAATAAATAAAATATATACTATGATCAGGTGGGATTTATCTCAGGAATGCTAAGTTGGTTTAATGAATAAGATTTAATTATGTAATACATGTTATTAATAGAATAAAGGAAAAATAACATGATCATCTCAATACACATAGAAAAAGTATTTGGCAAAATCTAACATCCTTTCATGATTTGAAAAAAATCAACAAAATAGAAATGGAAAGAAATATCTTCAACCTGATAAAGGACATCTATGAAAAACTCAAAGCTAATATAGCGTATTCAATGATAAAAGACTGCAAGCATTCCCTCTAAGATCAAGAATAAGACAAGGATTTTGCTCTCACTTCTATTCAGAATTGTATTGGGGGTTCTAGCCAGGGAAATAAAGCCAAAAGAAAAAATTAAAAAACAAATAAGAGGCATCCAGATTAGAAAGGAGAACTAAAACTCTCTCTCTATATATATATATATACACACACATATATGTATATTGCAAATGCCATAATCTTGTATATAGAAAACCCTAAGAGATCCACAAAACAAAAACAAAACCTTTTAGAACAAATAAATGCCCTTCAGCAGGGTTGCAGAATACAAGATCAGTATCTTGGACAAAATATAAAATTAATTGTATCTTTACTCAATAGCAATGAATAATCTTAAAATTAAGAAAACAACTTCATTTACATTAGCATCAAAAACAAAATTCTTAGGAATAAATTTAACCAAAGAAGCACAAGACTTTTACAAATAAAACTACAAAACATAATTGAAATAAATTTAAAAATACCCAAATAACTGGAAAGACAGTCCATAGTCCATATTCATGGATTGGAAGACAATATTATTAAGATGGCAATGCTACCGAAATTGATCTACATATTCAATGCAATCTCTCAAAATTTTGCAAAAATTGACAAGCTGATCCTAAAAATTATATGGAAATGCAGAGGACACAGAATAGCAAAAACAATCTTGAAAAAGAAAAACAAGGCCAGGCGCAGTGGCTCACGCCTGTAATCCCAACACTTTGGGAGGCTGAGGCGGGCGGATCACAAGGTCAGGAGATTGGGACCATCCCAGCTAACACGGTGAAACCCCATCTCCACTAAAGATATAAAAAATTAGTCGGGCGTGGTAGCGGGCGCTTGTAGTCCCAGCTACTCGGGATGCTGAGGCAGGAGAATGGTGTGAACCCGGGAGGCAGAGCTTGCAGTGAGCCGAGATGGTGCCACTGCACTCCAGCCTGGGTGAGAGTGCAAGACTCCGTCTCAAAAAAAAAAAAAAAAAAAAAATTGAAGGACTAACACCTCCTTTTTTTCCCTTTATTTTTATTTGTTATTTTTAGGTTTTTACCTTTAAATGAACGTTTCTTGATTTCAAAACTTATTACAAAACTATAGTAATCAACACAATGTGGTGCTGGCATAAGGGCAGACATATAGATTGATGAATTAGAACTGAGAATCCAGAAATAAATGCTTACATTTATGGTCAATTGATATTTGACAGGGATTCCATGACAATTTAATGGGAGAAAGAATAGCCTTTTTAACAAATGCTCCTGGGACAGCTGGGTATCCACATGCAAAAGAATTAAGTTGAACTACTACCTCAAGTCATATACAAAAATCAACTCAAAATGGATCAAACACCTAAATGTAAGAGCTAAAACTACAAAAATCTTAGAAGAAAACATAGGTGTAAATCTTCATTACCTTGGGCAACAATTTCTTTCTTTTTTTTTTTTTTTTTTGAGAGAGTCTTGCTCTGTCGCCCAGGCTGGAGTGCAGTGGCATGATCTTAGCTCACTGTAACCTCTGCCTCCCGGGTTCAAGGGATTCTCCTGCCTCAGCCTCCCCAGTAGCTGGGAATATAGGCATATGCCACCATACCCAGCTAATTTTTGTATTTTTAGTAGAGACGGGGTTTCACCATGTTGGCCAGGCTGGTCTCGAACTCCTGACTTAGTGATCCTCCCACCTCGGCCTCCCAAAGTGCTGCGATTACAGGCATGAGCCACCATGCCCGGCCAACAATTTCTTAACTATGACACCAAAAACCCAAGCAATCAGATAAAAAATTAGATACACTGAACTTCATCCAAGTTAAAAACTTTTGTACATCAAAGGGCACTATCAAGAGAATAAAAAGATAGTTCACAAAATGGGAGAAAATATTTGCAAATCATATATCTAATAAAAGTCTAGTGTCCAGGCCAGGTATGGTGGTTCACACCTGTAATCCCAGCACTTGGGAGGCTGAGGCGGGCGGATCACCTGAGGTCAGGAGTTTGAGAATAGCCTGACCAACATGGTTAAACCCCATCTCTACTAAAAATACAAAAATTAGTAGGGCATGGTAGCGAGTGCCTGTAATCCCAGCTACTCGGGAGGCTGAGGCACGAGAATGGCTTGAACCCGGGAGGCAGCAGTTGCAGTGAGCTGAGATCATGCCACTGCACTCCAGCCTGGGTAACAGTGAGACCCTATCTCAAAAAAAAAGAGAAAAAGACAAATAATCCAATTTTTAAAATGGGCAAAGGACTTGAACAGACACTTCTCCAAAGAAGATATACAAAAGCAAGTCACATAGCTTGTAACTTGATCCTGTGTAGAGAGGTGAAGTGGCTGAGGCTGCAGATGACTGGATGACCTTCCCAGAGCCACCACACATAGCTGGTTAAGTAGCAGAGCTGGATCTTAAGCCAGGTCTGTTTGCATTCCTGCTGCCCCTCTGGTGATGCCCACACCATGCCCATCCCAGGGCCAGATCTGCATGTGGATCCTTGCTAAGGAAAAGGACATGGAAGTCTTTCTTAGGCTATTTCTACCCAATGTTGATGTCCTTCAAAGATATCAGATCTCACTTCACACATGAGTGGGTGCTGGGGAGGACTGAAGGTTTCCAGCCTTCTGGAGTAAGATGAAGAGTTGCCTCAGGGTGACCTTGGATTTAGGCTCTTGGTAGAGGCCAGCATTGAAGCGCTAAGCTCCAAGGGGAAATTTCCAGGTGGAATAACATAGACATTACATCTGGACACCCTGCGTTTCTCTTTTCTTTCCTATCTGTGTGGCTCCTTTTAAATTTTTTGTAGAGATGGGGCCTTGCTGTGTTGCCCAGGCTGGTCTCAAACTCCTGGGCTCAAGCGATCCTCCTGTCTCAGCCTCCCAAAACACTGGGACTACAGGCATGAGCCACAGTGCCTGGCCAGCACTGCACCTCTATGGTGTGTTTTGATATGTGCAAGGTGCATCCGCCTTCGTTCTTATTCCAAATTTTCTTAGCTTCATCCTTCCCAGTGAATTTAGGCTTACTTGTCAAGTTCCAAACAAGTGCTGTCAGGCCAGCTGTGCTGAACAAACACTCAGGTGGATATTATGGATTTTAGCAGACACTGTTTTCTCTAAATGAAAAAATATGGACATTTTAATGATAGTTTTGAGATTTGGCACTTGAGACTGAGGTCAGGAAAATAACCATAATGCCCAGGGCCTGCTGTTTGTGAGCATTTCAGCTTTTTGCTGAGCCTGGGCTAAGCTAAGTGCCCATGGTGCTCTGCTCCACCCGATGCAAATCATCACCCTTGGAAATTCAAATGTCTCTGGGTAAGATCTGAATGTGGCAAATGAGTCAGTGAACGTTCTTCCTGGCCAGGCACGGTGGCTCACGTCTGTAATCCCAGAACTTTGTGAGGCCAAGGCACACAGATCGCTTGAGCTCAGGAGTTCAAGACCAGCTTGGCCAATACAGCGAAACCCTGTATCTAGGAAAAATACAAAAATTAGCCAGGTGAGGTGGTGCACACCTGTTGTCCCAGCTCCTCTGGAGACTAGGTAGGAGGATTGCTTGAGCCTGGGAGGCGGAGGCTGCAGTGAGCTGAGATCACGCCACTGCACTCCAGCCTGGGTGACAGAGTGAGACCCTGTCTCAAAATTAAAAAAGAAAAAAAAAAAAAAAGGAGACACATAAACCAATTGTAGTGTCTCACATTCAAATAAACCAACTCCAAAAAATATATAAAAATTTAAAAAGTTCTTCCTAAGAGGCTCAACAGGGTCGCCCCAGGATGCTCACTGTTTCTAATCACCACAGCCCCGATTCTTCCTCTGCCTTGCAGAGCCCCTGCAGGGTGTGGGGTCAGAGACACATTCTGGTCCAATGCTGCAGCCGTCTGTCAACTGTGTGGCCTCGAGGCAATAGGATAGCTTCAGTTTCCCCAATCTGACATTTTTTAACATCCTCTTAAACATTTTGGTGGCATTAACCAAAATGTACATTCACATTATTGTGCAGCCATCACCTCCATTCACCTCACCTTTCTCATCTTGCAAAACTTAAACTCTGTCCCCATTAAACACTAACTCCCCATTTTCCCCTTCCCCCAGCCCCTGGCAACCACCATTCTACTTTCTGTCTCTATGAATCTGACTACTCTACTACCTCATGTAGGTGCAATCACACAGGATTTGTCTTTCTGTGTCTGGCTTACTTCACTCAGCATAACGTCCTCAAGGTTCATCCAGGTTGTAGCACTGTTGTCAGAATTTCTTTCCTTTTTAAAGTTGAATAAGATCCCATTATATAAATGAATCATGTTTTGTTTATCCAGTTATCTGTAGATGGATGCTTGGGTTGCTTCCACCTTTCTGCTATTGTTCAGAGTGCTGCTGTGAATGCGGGTGGGCAGCAGGTTGACTTTTGATACCTGGTGGAGGGAGGAGAGCACAGTGCTCCTTGGCCACCTCCACAGGAAAGCCCTCCTGCCAGGGCAGCCCCTCATGAACTGGGCTGAGAAAAGCATGGTCAGTGAGTTTCTTCCTTGATGGTTCTACTGTAGCCTCAGCACATCTTGGAGTCCACCCCATGGCTCCTGGGCTCACCTGGTCATTCCATTCACCTGACTCCAGAAAGTGCTCCTGGCTCTTTCCTGTTTTAGTCTGGATTCCACTTCATATTCCACACCACTGTCATCTCCAGAGGGTTCAAACATTCTTTAAACTGACCTAAATGTCTACCTCTTAGTGACCCCCAAATTGTCAGTAGGCCACTGGGAACTCTCAGTGTCAACTCACGGTGTCATCATAAAACCTCTACATCCTCCTCAGCCTCTTCTCGGATGTCCCTCCACTCTCTCACTCTGCTAGAAGTCGGGGTCTCCCCTGAAGATGCTGTTTCTCCTGCAGCTCTCTCAAGGGGTGTCTGTTTTTGTCTCCCACACCCTGCCTTCTCTGAGGACCTGCAGCTGACAGAGCTCTTCTCCCTACTTTTCCAGAATATTCCTCCCCTCTCCTTCCGTAACAACCCAGCCTCTCCAAGAGCATGCTTAGGGACTACATCACCCTCGAGCCCTGCTTGCCACAGTCACCTCCAGACCTCCAGCCACTCTGACCACTCAGGGAAGGTTTCTCATCCTCCTCACACTGTCCTTCTGTCGCCAGACACTCCTATGCTCATTTCTGGCAGCTTCAACAATGTTGTCCATGAATCCTCCTGCCTCTGCTTCCCAATCTCTTCCTCCACAACGCTCTTTCCCTCCAACACACCTGACCCACCTTCACGGAGTCCTGGCCAAGGCTGAGACTTGTCACTCTCAGTAACTGCATGTTCTCCAGAGTTTCTGCTTCAGGTGTCCCCTCTTGGACAACTGCCTCCACCTTGCCAGCCTATTTCCTCTACCTGTCCCCCAGCCTTGTCTGGCTGACATCCAGTCCCATGCCCTTGTACAGCTGCACCGGCTGTAGGAAGCAACGACACGCCTCAGCCGCCAGCCTCCCCATGCTCAGCCTCCCTGCTCCATGTGTGCCTGGAATCTGGCTCCTTCCCCGTCTCCCTGGCATCCGCACAGGCAAGAGAATGCACTGTTATCTTTCCATACTTTCAGAAAAAAAAAAAAGAGGAAAGAAAACACCCTCCCTAATCCCACATCCCTTTCCGATGATCTCCCCATTTCTCTGTTCCCCTTTACAGCAAAACTCCTCCCAAGCGAGATCTGCCCTCGGTCCCCACTCCTGACACCCCCTTGTAAAGCCACCAGCAACATACGTCTTGCCAAACCCAATAGCCGCCCCTCAGGCCTTGCTCAACTGCTCAGCAGTTTGTCACCCATCACTTCCTCTTTCTTGAAACCCATGGCCTCGGCCGGGCGTGGTGGCTCACGCCTATAATCCCAGCACTTTGGGAGGCTGAGGCGGGCGGATCACGAGGTCAGGAGATCAAGACCACCGTGAAACCCCATCTCTACTAAAAATACAAAAAGTAGCCGGGTGTGGTGGCGGGCGCTGTAGTCCCAGTTACTCGGGAGGCTGAGGCAGGGGGCTTGGTCTTTTTTCTTCTGGGCTTTAGGCTTCTATATTTCCCTGTCTACTCACCTTCTCCACTTGGATGTTGAAAGCCACCTTGCGCCTGACTCTTGATCCGAGTCTTCTCCATGTCAGCAGCAGCAGGCACTGAGGGGCGTCCCGGATTCCTCTCCTTCCTGCATTCTCCACAGCCGCTCCATCTGCTCTGCCCTTGCTGGGCTGAGTCCCCTCATCTCTCACCTGAACTACTGCAATGGCATGCTAGCCAGGCCTTACTTTTATTTTATTTTATTTTTTGAGACGGAGTCTTGCTCTTGTTGCTCAGGCTGGAGTGCAGTGGTGCAATCTTGGCTCACTGCAACCTCCGCCTCCTGAGTTCAAGCGATTCTCCTGCCTCAGCCTTGCAAGTAGCTGGGATTACAGGCACCCGCCACCACACCCAGCAAATTTTTTTTTTTTTCCTGAGACAGGGTCTCACTCTGTTGCCAGACTGGAGTGCAGTGGCTCAAACTCGGCTCACTGCAGCCTCTGCCTCCTGGGTTCAAGGGATTCTCCTGCCTCAGCCTCCTGAGTAGCTGGGACTACAGGCGCGTGCCACCATGCCCGGCTAATTTTTTACATTTTTAGTAGAGACAGGGTTTCACCATGTTAGCCAGAATGGTCTCCATCTCCTGACCTCGTGATCTGCCTCCCTTGGCCTCCCAAAGTGCTGGGATTACAGGCGTGAGCCACCGCACCCAGCCTAATTTTTTGTATTTTTAGTAGAGATGGGGTTTCACAATGTTGGCCAGGCTGGTTTCGAACTCCTGACCTCAGGTGATCTGCCTGCCTCGGCCTCCCAAAGTGCTGGGATTACAGGCGTGAGTCACCGTGCCCAGCCTATTATTTTATTTTTAACTCTTGTGCCTCTACAATCACTTCTCTGCATGGCTACCAAAGAGATTGCTTATTTTTAAATTTTTATTTTATTTTTTGAGACAGGGTCTTGCTCTGCTGCCGAGGCTGGAATGCAGAGATGCAATCATGGCTCACTGTAGCTTCGAACTCCTAGGCTCAAGTAGTCCTCCTGCCTTGGCCTCCTGAGTAGCTGAGACCACAGGTAGACACTACCACGCTGAGCTGATTTTTAAAATTTTTTTGTAAAGATGGAGTTTCACTATCTTGCCTAGGCTGGTCTCAGTCTTGAGCTCAAGCGATCCTCCCACCTCGGCCTCCCAACAAAAAAACTGTTTAGAAATGTTAATTAGGTCCTGCTCAGAACTTTGCCATTCCTCAGATAGGGCCTGGGAGGTTCTGCCCTACCCATCTCTCATGAGCCATTCCCTAGCAGCTGCCTTGCCCATTCTGCTGCTCACATTGGCCTTCTGCTGCCCCCCATACCCTGACCCTCCCCAGTGAACCAGTATGTCCCTGCCACAGGGCCTTTGGACATACTGTGCCCACCCATCAAGCTCTCCCCCGATTGTCACATGGTTCCCCCCGCATACCTTTCAGGTATCTGCTCATATCGTGTCACCCACTCAGGGACTTCCTCTGACCATCCTCCCTAGAATAGCACCCCTCTCTCTGGCTCTTCTTTCCTTGCCTTGCTCTGCTTGTCTTCCTAGTGCTTATCAACACCTGTCATCTTGTGTATTGGGCTGTTTCTTGTCTGCGTCCCCTGCCAGAGTGTGAGCTCCAAAAGGGCACAACCCCGTTTGTCTCACTTACTGTTCTATCTCCAGCAACTGGCAGGGTGCCTGGCACATAGGAGCCTGTAGAGCATCTGCAGAGGAATCTTGGGGCTGCTCAGAAATGCGAGGCTGAAAGCGTGCAAGTAAATAAAACCGATGCTGGGTTATTGCTTATTCAGAGGCAAATGCAACCAGCTATTTTAAACAATAAGTTTGTATAAGCAGAAAAAAATTGCTTTGGAGAAAAAAATAAGGAATTCCTCTCATCCCATTCGCCTTAACCCTAAATCTGTTTTTTTTTTAAGACGGAGTCTTGCTCTGTTGCCCAGGCTGGAGTGCAGTAGAGAGATCTCGGCTCATTGCAACCTCTGCCTCCTGGGTTTATGCAATTCTCTGCCTCCACCTCCTGAGTAGGTGGGATTATAGGCACACACCACCACACCTGGCTAATTTTTTTGGTTTTTTTAGTAGAGACAGGGTTTCACCATCTGGGCCAGGCTGGCCTTGAACTCCTGACCTCGTGATCCACCCGCCTCGGCCTCCCAAAGTGCTGTCTGGTTTTTACACTTTTGAAAAGGAGGTCACAATTACCAACTCAGGTTAATTATTCAAATACGCAGAAAGAGAACAGTCAAATCCTAGTACTAACTGCACAGAAATCCTGACACAGAGTTCACTAACATTTATTACTTCACCTCTATTTGAAGGGAAGACCTCTCATGCAACCTAACAATGAAGCATGCTTAAAATTAATGAAGTTAACATACAACAGTGTTAGATTACTATTTATAAATAGGGAGATACATATAAAAATAAACTTTCAGGCTAGACTCGGTGGCTCCTGCCTGTAATCCCAGTACTTTGGGAGGCTGAGGTAGCAGGATCGCTTGAGGCCAGGAGTTTGAGACCCCCATTTCTATATGTATTTTAAAAGTAGGCTGGGCACGGTGGCTCACGCCTGTAATTCCAGCACTCTGGGAGGCTGAGGCAGGCAGATCACCTGAGGTCAGGAGTTCAAGACCAGCCTGGCTAACATGGTAAAACCCCGTCTCTACTAAAAATACAAAAATTAGCCAGGCATGGTGGCAGGCGCCTATAATCTCAGCTACTCGGGAGGCTGAGGCAGGAGAATCACCTGAACCCGGGAGGTGGAGGTTGCTGTGAGCCAAGATCGTGCCACTGCACTCCAGCCTGGGTGACAGAGTCAGACTCCATCTCAAAATAAAATAAAATAACCAGGTGTGGTGGCATATGCCTGTGGTGCCAGCTACTCAGAGGCTGAGGCAGGAGGATTGCTTGAGCTCAGGAAGTTAAGGGTACAGTGAACTATGATCACGCTACTGCACTGCACACTTCAGCCTGGGTGACAGAGCAAGACTCTGTCTCTTTAAAAAAAAAAAGAAAGAAAGAAAGAAAGAAAAAAACATTTGAAAGACTGGAGGGGCTAAGGGGGGTAAACAGGGAAAGGATAGTAACAGGAGACTGCTGTCTTTTGATATATACCATAAATACTACTTAACTTTTTTTTTTTTGAGATGGAGTCTCGCTCTGTCGCCCAGCCTTAAGTGCAGTGGCACAATCTCAGCTGACTGCAAGCTCCACCTCCTGGGTTCACGCCATTCTCCTGCCTCAGCCTCCTGAGTAGCTGGGACTACAGGCATCCACCACCACACCAGACTAATTTTTTTTTGTGTGTGTATTTTTAGTAGAGACAGGGTTTCACCATGTTAGCGAGGATGGTCTCGATCTCCTGACCTCGTGATTTGCCCGACTCGGCCTCCCAAAGAATACTGCCTAACTTTTTAACAATAAGCTTGCATTACTATGGGAAAAGTTATAATATACTTATTTAAAATGTATATAAATTCATACCCCACCATGTACTTCAAGATAAATCCCAAATGCATCAAAGATTTAAGACAAAACAATGAAAGTTCTAAAAGAAAACAATGAAAGTTCTAGAAGAATGAAAGTTGTAGAAGGTTATAAAGGAGCACACCTTTATAACCTTGGAATGGGGAAGGGCTTTCTAGCTTTGACTTATCCAAAGCCTCAAAAGGGCTGGGTGCAGTAGCTCATGCCTGTCATCCCAGCACTTTGGGAGGCCAAGGCGGGTGGATCACCTGAGGTCAGGAGATCGAGACCAGCCTGGCCAACATGGCGAAAACTTGTCTCTACTGAAAATATAAACATTAGCTGGGTATGGTGGTGGGTGCCTGTAATCCCAGCTACTCTGGAGGCGAAGGCAGGAGAATGGCTTGTTCCCGGGAGGCAAAGGTTGCAGTGAGCCAAGATCACGCCATTGCGCTCCAGCCTGGGCAACAAAAGCAAAACTCTGTCTTAAAACAAAACAAAACAATAACAACAACAAAAAAAACAAAGCTGCAAAAGAAGAGACAAAAATTAAAAAAATTTTCTCCATGGCAAAAACAAATCATCATAAGCAGAAACAAAGACAATCACTGGGGAAGCTATTTGCATCTCAAATCACATACATCATCTCTCCAATGTACTAAAAGCTCCAAGATGAGGTTTCCAAACACTCACTAAGAAATATGGGCAATGGGACCGGGCGCGGTGGCTCACGCTTGTAATCCCAGCACTTTGGGAGGCCGAAGCGCGTGGATCACGAGGTCAGGAGATTGAGACCATCCTGGCTAACACGGTGAAAGCCTGTCTCTACTAAAAATACAAAAAAAATTAGTCGGGCGTGGTGGTGGGCGCCTGTAGTCTCTGCTACTCGGGAGGTTGAGGCAGGAGAATAGTGTGAACCCAGCAGGCGGAGGTTGCAGTGAGCCGAGATCGCGCCACTGCACTCCAGCCTGGGTGACAGAGCGAGACTCCATCTCAAAAGAAAAAAAAAATATATATATATATATATACACACACACATAGAGAGAGAGACAGAGAGAGAGAGGCAATGGCAGGGTGTGGTGGCTCACGCCTGTAATCCTAGCACTTTGGGAGGCTGAGGTGGGTGGATCACCTGAGGTCAGGAGTTTGAGACCAGCCTGGCCAACATGGTGAAACCCCATCTCTACTAAAAATACAAAAAAAAAAAAAAATTAAAAAAAGAAAGAAATTAGCCAGGCGTGGTGGCAGGTGCCTGCAATCCCAGCTACTCGAGAGGCTGAGGCACGAGAACCACTTGAACCTGGGAGGCAGAGGTTGCAGTGAGCCGAGATCACACCACTGCACTCCAGCCTGGGTGACAGAGCCAGACCCCATCTCAAAAAAAAGAAAAAAAGAAAAGAAAAAGAAAAAGAAATATGGGCAATGAATATGAAAAAGCAGTTCACAGAAAAAGGAACACAAACAGAATTTTAAAACATATTCAGTCTCATTTATAACAAAATGCAAATGAAAACTAAATTCAGACACCACTTCTCACCTATTAGACCAGCAAAAATCCAAATGTCTGATAGCACACTCTGTGGGCCAAGCTGTGGTTAAAGAGACACTCTCCTATGATGCTCATGGGAGAACAAGTTAATCCAGCTCCCACAGGAGCAATTTGGCATGTTCCGTCAGAAGCATAAACTCTTTGACCCAGCAAGTATATGTTTGAAACTTACACACATGAACATATACATATGCACATTAATAATGATAGCATTGTCATAAGAGCAAAAGACTGGAAACAGTCCCTATGTTCATCATCTATGGGGTGACCCTACATCCCAGTTTGCTTGGGACAGCCCTGGTTTACACCTTTGCCCCAGTATAATTAATAATACAGCCCTGTTCACTCTTGAAAATGTCCCAATCTGGATGGTTGGTTTTATGGCTACCCTAATCATAGGGGACTAGATAATTGATGCTACACCCATATAATAGAATACCATGCAGCAGAAAAAAAGAATGTGGATGCTTTCTATGTATTGATAGCAATGTGTCTTGGAGACATTTGCCTAAGTGAAAAGAAAAAAACCCAAACAAAAACAAAAAGCCAGGTGCAGAATAAAATGCATAGCATGCTAACTTTGGGGTTAAAAATAAGAGGATATGATGCTACTCACATTTGCCTGTATGTGCCTAAGAAACTCTGGAAGGGTACACAAAATACTGATAACAGTAGTTACCAGTGTGTACGCATCTGGGAAGGGAAGGGAAGACTGAGTGGCACGGTCTTTCACTGTATATTTTTTCATAATTTTTTGAGTCAAGTAAAAATAAATGTTTGAATCTATTCAGAGTTAAACTTTAAGATGAAAAAGTATATAAACTGTCACAGACTTCTAATTCCCTACACAAGTCATCCTTCCTTTTTGTAACAGAACCCCAGACTAGATTTCCCACCCTTCCTTGAAGCTAGGTGTAGCCATGGGACTAATGAAATATAACAGAAAGTGTCACATGAGTCTTCTAGGAAGACATAAACTTTATTCTGTCTCCTGGGATATAGTTGTGATGACTGGAACTCTGGCAGCCATTTTCATTTATGAGGATAAATGCCACTCCCTTAAGGATGTGAGAGCTAAAAGGTGCCTGGATCCCTAATAATTTTGTGAATTCAGCATGCTAGCTTTGGAAGTTTTACCTCTGGACTTCTTTTTTTAATGAGAAGGGAGGAAGTTTCTTACCTTAAAGCACTGTTTTTCAGGACTCTATCCCTTGCCACTTAACCTAATTCTAACTGATACTGACGTGTGCTGATAAAACTACCAAAAAATATGTTAATTTTCATTACCCATTTTTGGTGTGATGATAGGACATTTTTATTTTCTTTGCGCCTTTGGTATTTTCTGTACTGAACATGTATTTTAGCATCAACTGTCACTTTAAAACAACATTTACACGATTACAGAAAATGGATCTTCTAGTTTCTGATTTTGTGTCAGGTAAATTTCACTTTCAAAGGAGATAATGACAGCAACCATCAAGAGGGATAATATCTCCAGAAGCCATTTGCAGTGGTGCTTTGTTAGCAGCAGAGATCTCATAGCATCACTGCTGCTGCAGAAGAACAGGCTGAGACCTTCCAGTTGAGTAAAAGCCGCCTGTTGCTTTAAATTGTAAGTGAGACCTAGAAGATGCTTGGAGCCAGTTCTGATTGAGATTTGCCAAATCCCCAGGCTCAGCTTGTCTGCTTTCTGGAAACAGGTTTCCATTGTCTATGACTGTCTGAAGCAGGGGAGAAATCCTCCATGGCCTGGGGAGATGGATGATAAAACTCACACGGGTGCCCCACTGGCTCACTGACTCATCCTGGAATGATCGGAAGGCCGGAAGCCTGGCACATGTTCTTGGACTCAAACATTGGTTTCCCACATTGCCATATACAAACAATTCCAGAGCGAGAGAATTTTTATAGAAGACCTGTTGAAAGTCTGAGAAGACCATCAGCAGGGAGCTCCCAGATGCCTACAGTTGTGCAATCTGTGAGTCATCCCGTTGGCCCCCTGCTGTGCTTCTCCAGCTGGGCTCGCAGCCTCCAAGGGATGAGGCCTGTCACAAATACCTGCGCGGTGCTGTGATGCACCTTTCTGGCGTGTCATTTTTATGTGAAAATTTGTGGTGGGGAAAGTCAACATTTTTTTTTTTTTTTTTTTGAGACGGAGTCTCCCTCTATCACCAGGCTGGAGTGCAGTGGCACGATCTTGGCTCACTGCAACCTCCACCTCCCAGATTCAAGTGATTCTCCTGCCTCAGCCTCCTGAATAGCTGGGACTAATGGCACGTGCCACCACACCCAGCTAATTTTTGTATTTTTAGTAGAGACGGGGTTTCACCATGTTGGCCAGGATGGTCTCAATCTCTTGACCTTGTGATCTACCCGCCTCAGCCTCCCAAAGTGCTGGGATTACAGGCGTGAGCCACTGTGGCTGGCCTGAAAGTAGTCACTTTTATATGAAACAATCATTGCTATGTCATAAGGGGAACAGAAACTTTTATTTATTTTGTATAAATTTAGGGGATACGACTGCAGTTTTGTTCCATGGGTATACTGAACAGTGGTGAAGTCTGGGCTTTTGGTATAGCCATCACCTGAATAGTGTACATTGCACCCATTAAGTAACTTCTCATGCCTCACTCTCCCTTCCGCCTTCGCACCCTTCTGTGTCTCCCGTGTCTATTATTCCACTCTGCATGTCCATGTGTACATATTATTTAGCTCCCATTTATAATGAGAACATTCAGTATTTGAGTTTCTGAAAACTCTGAAGCATTTATAAGGCTTCAAAATAAAAGATTTCAAAAAAAAATTACTGTAGTACACAGCTTCAAACTGTGTTCTGAGACCCCCTGGGGGCCACTGGGGTACTTTGGTCTAGGGAAAAGGTTTAAAACTCTGGCTTACAGGATTTCACGCTGACGCTAATTGAAACTGTCTTTGGGTCTGTATTACAATCAATCTTGTCTAGACACATTCACCCAATTTCTTCATGAACAAAGGTTTTCTTTAAAAAAATTATTTTTATTTTTTATAAAAAGTGGCTGGAGAAAGTGGGTCTTTTCCATCCTGTACACCCAGCTGGCCACTGGAGCCTCCTCTGCCCCCACCTGGCATCCCACCTGGCCTCCCTTCCCTTCCCTTCCCACCCACTGGGCACATCCACTGCTGTACCTGGTGGCTGTCTCCTGACCTCAGGAGGCTCAACCCTTGCAACATGCCTACCACTGGGCTTCAAGGCACCCATTTCCTGCTGAGGAGGTGGTGCCAGGACACACTAGGTGACCAAAGACACAGGTACCTGCCCTGGCACAGCTTGTAGTCCCTGGTTGAGGGTGGGAAACAGACATTCACCCCAAAATGACACCCATAGCTGGAGAGTTAAACATCTGATGATGGCCCTGAAGGAAAAATTAAGGCCACATTTTTTCAGGGAGCCCAGTTTAATTGGGGTGGGGGAATGGAGAGGTGTTTCTCTAAGGCAGTCTTGCTTTAGGTAGTCCTGAAAGGTGAGTAGAAGCTGGCAGGTAGAGGACAGATGCAGGAATGACTCAACGGGTTGCAGTGGGATTGGATGGGCACCTCCTGAAGGCTTTGGCTGGAAAATTCAGGTCAAATAATCCAAATTGGTTCCTACCAGGGCCTGGAATAGGCCACTGGGCTTTAGAACAAGACACCTCCAGTGGGTGCCATGGTTGTAGGATGGCAGGGAGCCCATCACAGTTTCCTTCCCCAAGAGGTGGCAACGAGGAGGTCACACTGCATCTGGAGTGTATCTGCTTAGGGCTGCCAGCAGTCAGGCTGGGCACTGGACAGCTGCCCAGGAAGCAGAGGAGAAAATAAACCTCCTCCTGGAGACTGAGAAGAGCCATAAACCGGATGTTGGTGGTGGGGGCTCAGGACCTGCCTGGGTGGTTCACTCAGGCTTCACTATTTGCTCCTCCTGCCTGGGCCTCTGGCTGTCCCCTGTCACACAGAGTGACCTGCCTGTCCCAAGGCTCTTACACGGCTGCCAGCAAAATCTGAAATTCAGATAAACAACCAATAATTCCTGAGTCTGTCCCAAATATTGCAGGAGGTGTACTTACGCTAAGAAATTATTCACTGTTGGCCAGGCGCGGTGGCTTACACCTGAATCCCAGCACTTTGGGAGGCCGAGGCGGGTAGATCACGAGGTCAGGAGTTTGAGACCAGCCTGGCCAACATGGTGAAACCCCATATCTACTAAAAATACAAAAATCAAACGGGCGTGGTGGCACTCGCCTGTAATCCCAGCTACTCGACAGGCTGAGGCAGGAGAATCGCTTGAATCCGGAAGGCGGAGGTTGCAGTGAGCCGACCTCAAGCTACTGCACTCCAGCCTGAGTGGCAGAGCAAGGCTGTCTCAAAAAAACAAACAAAAAGAAATTATTCATTGTTTATCTGAAATCCAAATTTAATTGGGCATCCTGTGTTGTATGTGGTGACTGTACTCAGCCTACAAACTAGGCCCCTACCGGAGGAAAGGTTTAAGACTCCGACTTTTAAGGGGCCAGAAGACGCAAAAGAAGATATAAGCCCACAGCAATGCACTGAATGTTTGTGTGCCCCTCTCCAAATTCCTCTGCTGAAACCTGAACCAAGGTGAAGGTATAAGGAGCTGGGGCCTTGGGGAGGTGACCAGGTCATGAGGATGGAAGGATTCCTGCCCCTGTAAGAGGCCAGGAGCAGCTCCCTCTGTCCAAGTGAGGACACAGCAAGAAGGTGGTCTTGGGCAACCGGGAAGAAGGCCTTTTCCAGAGCCCGACCACGCTGCCACCCCGAGCGCAGACTCCCAGGACCACGAGATAGCAATGTTGTTTCTAAGCTGCCCAGTCTAAGGTGCCTCGCGACGGCCACCTGGACGTACAATCACCCACAAGGATACGGAGGAGGACAGCCCGGGCCCAGTGCAGGCTCGAGAGGGAGGGAGGGACAGCGGCAGGAGGCGGGGCTGGGACCGAGCCCGAGCACTCGCCTGGACAGGCGAAGTTTGGGGTGGCCTCCTGTGGCAGGGGGTTGGGGAGCCTAAGCCAAGGAGCCGAGTAGGCGGTGACTGCGCGCCCCTGCCCGCGCCAGGCCCGGAGCGGTCGTCTGTTGAATGGAGCCCCTGATGCGACCAGCATGGGCCAGGCTAGGCAGGGGCAGGAGCCCTTCGGCAGAGCCCCCGTCACCGGCGCGGAGCCGCAGCCTGGGGAGGCCCCTGCCGCTGGAGTCCGGCCCCGGGAGCGCGAGATTGCTGGGCATCCCTGTTCCCTAGCCCGGAGCCCCGCCTAGGGGAGCCCTCCAGTGCCTGCGGGGGCAGGGCTGGGCAGGGGGAAGGGGTCCTCGGGCGTCAGACCCCAGCCCAGCCTGCACCGTCCACATGGTGCAGGGGCGCGGTCCCAGGATGGGCGGCCGCAGCCCTGAGGAGATTTGGCTGCGCCGGCTCAGCCTGGCGCCTTGTGGGCGCCCCTTGGGAGCCCTGAGGGAACGTGCCCCTCGAGACTCCGAGACTCCGTGGGTACCGCTGTCCCCGCCTAGCCCCCTCTTCAAGAGGACACCAGCGTACCGTGGCAGGCACGGTCTGGCTCTGTTGCCCAGGAGGGAATGCAGTGGCACAATCAGATCTCACTGCAGCCTCTATCTCTCGGGTTCAAGCGATTCTCCCGCCTCTGACTCCCAAGTAGCTGGGACCACAGGCGCCACCACGCCCAGCTCATTTTTAGTTTTTTGTGGAGATGCAGTCTCGTTTTTGTTGCCCAGGCTGGTCTTGAACTCCTGCTCAAGCCATCCTCCCATGTTGTCCTCCCAAAGAGCTGGGAAGCCACTGTGCCCGGCCTTGTTTTTCAATTAAGAGATCACAGCAAGTGCTCCTCCTTCTCCAGGACAGGTGGCCGATGGTGGAGCATTGAGCAGTGGCTAGGAGTGCAGGCTTTGGTGCCAGATCACTTAGGTTTAAATCCTTGCTTTGCCTTCTCCAAGCTGAGCTGCTTTAGGCAAATTATTGAGCCTTTCTGTGCCTCAGTTTCCTGGTCTATAAAATGGTCTGGCAATGACCTAATTCACTGGTGCCACAACCCCTTCTAAGGGAGGAGACCACCCCTCATACTGTCTTATGCCCAATTTCTGCCTCCAAAGAAAGAATTAAAAACTAAAAGGCAGAAATGAAATCCACAGGCAGACAGCCTGGCACCACTCCCTGGGCCTGGTAATTAAAGATTGACCCCTGATGTAATTGGTTATGTTATCTATAGATTACAGACACTGTATAGAAAAGCACTGTGAAAATCCCTGTCCTGTTCTGTTCTAATTACCGACGCAGGAGCTTGCAGACCCCAGTCATGTACCCCCCCTCCTTGCTCAGTTGATCACGACCCTCTCACGCGGACCCCCCTTAGAGTTGTGAGCCCCTAAAAGGGACAGGAGTTGTTCACTCAGGAGCTCAGTTGTTGGAGATGTGAGTCTTGTCGAAGCTCCTGGTCGAATAAAGCCCTTCCTTCTTTAACTCGGTGTCTGAGGGGTTTTGTCTGTGACTTGTCCTCCTACACTTCAACTCAGGGGCTGGCTCAGACCCACAGTCCTGCTGGGCTTCCAGCTGCAGTAGCACAAAGCTGCAGTCCCCAGGAAGGTTGACTTGTTTGGGAGAAGCCTGATTCCCATCCCAGGACACATAACAGCCTGCAGCTCATCCCGCTTACCACTGCCTTTGGAGGGAGACAGCTCTGGGCTGCAAGAGTCTTCGCCTGTTCGTAAGCAGGCAGCCATAGTGAGTGCCATGTGACCCCCCCACCCCAGCTGACAGCCAGGGCAGCCGACTGCTGACTGGTTAGTGACCCGTGAGGTGATCCCATGTGAAAATCAGTGCCTGCTCAGGCAGAATGGGGAGACCTATCGCAGGCCAATCTGATTCTTCAGCTTGTGTGACGGTTAACTTTATGTGTCAACTTCACTGGGCCAAGGGATGTCCACATAGCTGGTTGGACATTGTTTCTGGGGTGGCTGTGAGGGCGTTTCTGGAAGAGATTAGTATTTGGGTTGGTGAACTAAATCAAGCAGATACCCTCCCCAATATCAGTGGGCATCACCCAATCCACTGAGGGCTTAAATATAACCAAAAGGTAGAGGAATATTTAATTCTTTAGGCCTTTGAACATCACCACTGGCCTTCCTGGGTCTCCACTTGGACACGGCAGACTGTGGGACTTCTCAGCCTCCATAGTCACATGGGGCAGTTCTGTATAATTAATCTCATTCCCTTTCTGTCCACCTGTCTATCTATCACCTATCTATCTCCTATTGGGGCTGTTTCTCTGGAGAACCTTGACTAACACAGCTTGGTAACTATAACTAGAAAATACAGAAAGATTCCATGGATTGTTAATGGGTGGAGAAAGAAAGAAGAGATGACTATGGCAGGCAGAATAATGGTCCCCAGAGATGTCCACTCCTGAGTCCCTGGAACCTGTAAATGTGTTAGCTTACATGGCAGAAGGGACTCTGCAGATGTGATTAAGGTTAGAGACCTTGCAATAGAGAGAATAGCCTGGATTCTCCAGATAGGCCCAATCTACTTAACATGAGTCCTTAAAATCAGAGCGCCTTTCGCAGCAGCAGAGAACCAGGGGAGATGTGACTGGAAGAACAGCCACAGAGGCAACGCTGCTGGCTTTGAAGATGCAGGAAGGGGCCACAAGCTAAGGAATGCAGGAGGCCCCTGGAGGCTGGGAATGGCAAGAAGGCGGATTCTCTTCTAGAGCCTCCAGGAAGGAAGCTGCACTGTGACACCTTGATTTTAACACAGTGAGGCTATGCTGCACTTCTGAACCCCAGGACTGTGAGATACCAAGTTCCTGTTGTTTTAAGCCACTGAGTTTGTGATAATTTGTTACAACAGCCACAGAAAGCGAATACAATGACAGTGAGCAGTCATGACTCAGCCCGAGGTAGTCACGAAATGAGGGTTGCCCCAAAAGACCTGAACTTTGAGGAGAGTTGCCTAAGAAGTTAGGATCTAAAGTCAGTGCACAAGTTGGAAATTCTCCTGTGTCAGTTGCCATCAAGCTACCATCTGGAACATCTAAAAATCCTCTCAAATGGCCCCAACACAGCCAAGTTTTCCTCCAGGGATGCGCTGAGCATTAGATGAAACAGTTAGCTTGCAGTTAAGGTCCATACTGTATCCAAACAAACAAGCAAGCAAAGAAAGCTTTAAATACTGAAACTGCACTCAATGTCATGGGACACTTACACAATGGGTGACCCACAGGAGCTGAGGCTGTAGACAGACCAGCTATATGGTTCATGCTTGCTCTGGGGCACATGATTATTGGCTGCAATGGCAGGTGACAATAGACACATCCTGTTTTTTTTAACAGCTGGGCACAGTGGCTCACACTTGTAATCTCAGCACTTTGGGAGACTCGGATGGGAGGATCACTTGGGGCCAGAGGTTTGAGGCTAGCCTGGGCAACAAAGCAAGAGCCCTCTCTCTACAAAAAGTAAAAATATAAAAAGTCAGCTGGGTGTGATGGCATGCATCTGTAGTCCTAGCTACTTAGGAGGCTGAGGTGGAAGGATCCCTTGATCCCAGGAGTTCAAGGTTCTAGTGTGCTAGGATCATGCCACCACACTCCAGCATGGGCAAGAGAGTGAGATTGTCTCAAAGAATTTTTTTTTGAATTAACCTTATTTTTTCTTCCAACTATAGGTGGTCAAATGTGTGGGAGTAAAATGTGTGTTTGAAATGCCTTCCCAGGACTCAGTATGGCTCATTTTCCTCCTTGCCATGAGCTGCATGTCCCCATGATTCGGGGCAGCCCGCCTAGGTGCCTGTTCCTGGCTATCAGAAGAGCACAGTGAAGTCCTCCTGCCCCTGAGAAGATCGAAGACTCTGCTGTGGTCAAGGTTCCTTCTCCAGCCATATGTGTTGTCTAGGATTAGACTTTTCAAACAGTGGCCAGGCCTTCTGAGGTCACATGTAGCAGTAAAAGCAAGCTGTGGCTAACTTTTCCCATGTTCCATTTTCTGTTTTGCTATTTTTCTGATATGAGGGTAATGATCTGGTTTAAAGGGTGATATAAATAGTAACCCAGATGGACATATGGGAGGGGTGACGGGACCGGCCCTTTGGCCAACACTGCAAGATGTCCAGGCCAAATTTTTTTATAGCATATTTTTCATAATCTAGAAAAATGTTGGTAAGGTTTTAATAAGGCAGGTGAGTCAAGTTACAATGTATGAATTTAATGAGTTTGGAAGGTTCAGAGATTCTGCTTGGAAATGTATTGTGTCCATTCATGATACCATAAGTGATAGTAGCAGAGAAAGAAGGAAAAATGACAAAGGTCTTAGAATGGCCAGGTTTTGAGTTTCCCTCCAGGGGTCCTTCTTGTTTGCAATTCTGGGATTTTCACCATCAAGCTGGAAAAGCTGGAAACAACTGTTGACAAGACTGACTGCAGCTCTGAAACCAGGCTGGATGCGGAGGTGTTTATTCCTTGAGTTCAGTGAAGAATTCCAAGTCAGAATGACCATCAGTGGGAGCTGGATATTTCCACTAATTAATCAAAAATTATCTATTTAGCAACTGTTACACATTAGGCTGTAGCATTTTGAGTCAGTAAATACACAGCTCTGCTTCCAAGGAGCTCAGAGTGCAGGGTGTAAATGCACAGCCTAAGAATCCAAGCCCTTCTGGCTCAGGGAAGGAAGAGCCAGCTGTGGGCCAAGGGACACAGGGTGGGCAAGTGCCATGGGCTTCTGGGCAGCAGAGACCATTGCCACAGACAGTGCAACAACAGATGCCTCAGGGGGCACGTTGGGAGCCTCTCACCTGACACCTCATTTAATACGACCACTTTCTAGGGTGAGTGTTTTCTCTCCATCACCATCTGACGAATCTAGGCTACAGAGGCGCAGGAATAAGCCCTGGGGCTTCAGTGCAACTAAGTGGCCTGAAGCCAGGTACCTGTAAAGTGTGTGTGCTCAGACAGCCCAGGCTCGAAATGTCCACAGATGATGCTTCATTCTTGTAGCAGTCTAGGCCACAGGATGGGAACCTCCCTAATGGGGCCCAAACAGTGGCAAATACGGAAGAGATCGTCCCAAGTGCTAAGTCATTGGCCCTCCATAAAATGCCCATGTGTGCGTGCGTGTTTGTGTGCATGTGTTCACATATGCCTGCATATGCATGTGTGAACCACTGAGCAGCTGAAGACAGCTGCAGGTGATCAGATGTTGGGCAAACGAGACGTGGTATCTCCTGGACACAGCTTCTCTTGTCACCTGACAGCCCAAGAGGGAAGTGAGCCGTGGCTGCTATCCTGGCTAGGTGATAAGTGATGATCCCTTATCCGAGCCTGTGCTGTCTGAGAAGATGCAGAGGCCCTAGGGAGAAAAAGGCTGGGATAGTGTGGCTTCCCTGGGAGGAAAAAGTGAACACTTCAGGACAGGCAGCCTCATTGCCCTGAAACACCACCTGCATTTTTTTTTTTAATTTGATACAGGGTCTCCCTCTGTCACCCAAGTGGGAGTGCAGTGGTGCAATCATAGCTCACTGCAGCCTCAACCTCCTGGGTTCCAGCAATCCTCCCATCTCAGCCTCCCAAGTAGCTAGGACTACAAGCATGTGCCACCAGGGCCTGGCTTTTTTTTTTTTTTTTTTGAGACAGAGTCTTATTCTGTCACCCAGGCTGGAGTGCAATGGTGCAATCTCGGCTCACTGCAACCTCCACCTCCCAGGTTCAAGCGATTCTCCCTGCCTCAGCCTCCTGAGTAGCTGGGAATCACAGGCCCCTGCCACCACACCCAGCTAATTTTTGTACTTTTAGTAGAGATGGGGTTTTGCCATGTTGGCCTGGCTGGTCTCAAACTTCTGACCTCAGGTGATCCACCCGCGTTGGCCTCCCAAAGTGCTGAGATTATAGGTGTGAGCCATCACACTCAGCTGGCCTGGCTAATTTTTAAAAAAATTTTCTTGCAGAGATAGGGTCTTGCCATGTTGCCCAGGCTGATCTTGAACTCCTGGGCTGAAGCAGTCCTCCTGCCTCGGCCTCCCAAAATGCTGCCATTACAGGCATGAACCACCATGCCCACCCACCACGTGTTATTTCTATGGACAGGACATGCCATTTCTCTTCTACGTGCATGTCTATTGGCAAGTAAAATGGCAGTCAGGGAACCTCCTTGAGTTATAAAAATAAGTTGCACATGGCCCTTCTTTCATGTGATGTTTCTTTCCTTCTTGTTAGCCTAAAGGGATCAGGATAGAGACCAGAATGGCTGAGTTTGGCTAAAGTAATCAGCAACTTGGGCTCCCACTGGAGAGGGGCTGGTATGGCTCCAGTGTGGAAGGAGGGAAACCACAACACCATCCAGCATAGAAACTGCTTTGAGCAGAGCTGGTTCTAGATCATTTACATGTAATCACTCAGAGCCAATCACAGTAAACACTGACTCCGGGTATCCCAAGACCACAACTGCCTCCCCACATAAACCCCTGGAGTAATTTCAGCTTAAACCCAACAACCAACAACTCAACCACTTGGGATATTACTTTCCCCCACTTTAATAGCAGGCAAAGTAGAAGCACAAGGAGAAAGAAAAATGCATCGATTATGTCAACAAAAGACAGTTGCGTGAAGCAGCACAAGTAATAACTCTCGGGTTGAATTGGTTCTGACGGTGCCTCAAGTTTCACTTAAAAACAAAGGCGCGGGTGATATAATGACCATCGCCAAGCAGTTGCTCAGGAGCTCCCACAGGCTGCCTGCCCTGGGGCCACCAGGGAGATCCCTGCCCCACTTAGTGGTTCTCCATGCAGCTGTGCATTGGAGTCGTCTAGAGAACTTTCAAAACATGTAGACTGCATCTCTGGTCCCATTCCAGACATTCTGAGTCAACCAACTGGGGTAACCAGTTTTCAAAACGGTGCCCTGAAGATTCTGATACAGAGCTGCAGCTGGGATCCACTAGCAGAGCCAGGGCAGAGTCTCTTGTCCCCAGGTTAGTGGTGGCTTGAGACTCAGGGATCCACTGACCTGCAGAGCCCAGATGCCACCTCTGCAAAGGTCTGGCTTGGAGGAGGGGACCGAGCTCCTGCCCTTTCCAGGTATGGGAAGGGGCTGAACCTGCAGCCCCTGGGGTGTCCAATCTTTTGGCTTCCCTGGGCCACACTGGAAGAACTGTCTTGGGCCACACATAAAATACACTAACACTAATGATAGCTGATGTGCTAAAGGAAATCGCAAAAAAATCTCACAAAAAGATTACATATTTGTAGGCCGGGCACGGTGGCTCATGCCTGTAATCCCAGCACTTTGGGAGGCCGAGGCGGGTGAATCACCTAAGGTCAGGAGTTTGAGACGAGCCTGGCTAACATGGTGAAACCCCGTTTCTACTAAAAATACAAAAAATTATCCAGGAGTGGTGGCACACGCCTGTAATTCTAGCTACTTAGGAGGCTGAGGCAGGAGACTCACTTGAACCGAGGAGATGGAGGTTGCAGGGAGCTGAGATCACGCCACTGCACTCCAGCCTGGGTGAAACAGCAAAACTCAGTCTAAAAAAAAAAAAAAGTTTACGTATTTGTGTTGGGCCGCATTCAAAGCCACCCTGGGCTGCATGTGGCCTGCAAGTCATGGGTTGGACAAGCTTGCTCTAGAACCTGGCTCTGAAGTGGCTCAGATCAGCAATCAGAGATGTACTTTGAGTAGTAATGGCAGTCACTGTCATTCTCAGTGACTCACTGGAAGAATGATCCTTTGTCAGAGGAGCGCTAACAGGCTGTTTTACACTTAGAACAGCAAGGGATGGGCATTACCCATTTCCCTCAACCACCTGTGTGAGCCATGCCCTCACTTGCTGTGTAGTGCACACAGATCTGCCCAGAAGAACACGGCAGAGCCACCAGATGGGCACCCGGGCCAGATCCAGCACTTCTGAGGGACTGGGGCGGCTCTGGGGAGGGCTCTGCTGCCACTCAGGGTAACCAGTAGGGTGCCAGGGGCAGCTGCATTCCTTTTTGTTAATTAACAACAGGACTTCACTGCCCATCCCTAAGGGCTTCTTTTTCCCATGCTGATGTAAGAGGCCTGGGAAAGCACTGAAGGCCAAGTCAGTCCAGAGCCGAAATACTGTTGGGATTTGCTGTCAGCCCAGGGTCCCCAGAGGCACACACCCTCAGCCTGCTGAACCCTGCAAAGCAGACACAGGCCATTCCCACAAACATGACCTCCTGTCAAGTTCTGTGGAGGACAAGCCTGTGTGGGTGTGAATGGGAGTGTTAAAGAACCGGAGGTCAAAGACGAGGACCGTGAGTTCCTTAGCATGAAAGAGGCCGGCCGCTCCAGAGCACACAGACTATGGTGGCAGAGGTGTGGGGCACCTCCCAGGGACTCCAGCAAAGCAGCCAGGGCCTCCCTTGCATTATCACAGGCTTTCCTTTCGCTACAATGAATCAAATAAAGGACTATGAGAGCTAAAAATGTTATCAAGTTCTAGGTGTTAACATTGTTACCTAGAATTCTCATATTTCCTGAAAGGCAGGGCCCATGTGTTTCCAGATTGCCCTGAAGCAAATGTTTGTTTCTGTGTGTGTTTTTTTGTGTGTTTTTTGGATAAGAGAAAGCACAAGCTTCCCAAGAGCAAAGTTTTGTTGTTGTTGTTGTTGTTGCTGTTTTTTTTAGAGACGTAGTCTCGCTCTGTTGCTGTCACCCAGGCTGGAGTGCAGTGGCTTGATCATACTTGACCGTGCCTCCAACTCCCGGATACAAGCAGTCCTGCCTTGGCTTCCTAAAGTGCTGAGACTATAGGTGTGAGCGCTACCACACTCAGCCAAGGGCAAAGTTTTTATAAAGGCAAAAGCCAGGGTATTTTTTAGCAAAAAAAGAGACTAATTTGGAGAGGCTGTTTGTTTGAAGCTCTGTGCAGATGATGTGTTCATTCACCCAATGTAATTAGCAAAACAAGCCTGTGGGTGGGGTCTTGGTCTGGAAGAAGGGAGGCTGCCCTCTTTAGAAGTGTCCCACGGAAGAGCAAAGCGTCCCCAATTTACACTCTAGCTGTGTTTGCATTTGAAACAGGTACACTCTGTTTCTTATTTGGGTGTTGGTCCACTAGGATTGAGCCTGCCTTTGAAGTCCATCTAGCTGGGTGATGGGCAGAGCAGGGTCAGTGGGCAGTAATCAGGTGCTTCCAGGACAAATTGCAGTGGGTGGCAGTGGTGGCTGCTGCAGGCCCTCATGGGTTACGTCCGAAAGTACTTGTAGATTTGGGCCACATACTGCATCATGCTCTACCAGTCAGGCCGGTCTGTGTTCAGGACCTTGCTGTGAGCTCCTGCAGGGGAAGTGCATGGGGGACAGAGCACAAGGCAGGACATTACAGACCCTTCCCCTCAGGGACTTCAATCCAGGTTAGGTCTTACGCTGCCTGGAAACCCTCCACCTACACAGATGGAATGTGAAGACCAGCACAGGTGGAGCTGAATGTGATGAGTTAAAAGAAAAGACTTTTTCTCCCACTTACTCAGGAGATACTACCCCTTTCCAAAAACGGAAGACCTGCCCTCCTGCCACTTTCATCTTTTAACCGTATGACAGCATTTTAAAAAGTTTTAAAAAGAAAACTCAGGCATGGTGGCACACACCTGTAGTTCCAGCTACTTGTGAGGCTCAGGTGGGAGGACTGGTTGAGCCCGGGAGGTTGAGGCTGCAGTGAGCCATGATTCTGTTACTGCACACTAGCCTGGGTGCTCTGGGTGGACAGAGCAAGTCTCAAAAACAAGAAAAAAAAAGTCACCCATAATTTAACGATTAAGATGATTTCCAAGTTTTTAAATTACATTTTGATCCACATTTCTAATTCCCCAGGCTCCCAGCACAGTGCATGTGCTATTATGTGGGCTGAGCATTTCACACCCGGGTCCCCGTGCTGCTGTGCCATTGTGCGGGCTGCCATTCTAGTGGATGTGCACTGACCAGGAAAACTGCTGTCCACAAGGGACATAGTGTGCAGCGTACGCTCACCTCGTCACCACCACAGACTTTGCGATCAGCATCTTTGTGCAGTATTTTCTTCTGTCGAACTAGTCCCTCAAGATAAATTACTAAGAGTGGGATTATCATGAAAGTCTTGAACCAATTTCGAATGCAACCATTTATTTTACCAGCATTAAGTGTTACCATTTAATGTGTTTTTTGTTGTTGTTGTTGTCAGTTTGGTGATTTTTTGCTAATTTGCTGGTTTTTACTGATTGATTTATTTTTGTTCATTTTGCAAGTAAGCTTGTATTGAGCACGCATAAGGTCCAGCCCAGAAAGGGAGGGGCAAGGGCATCCTGTCAGGCACTCATCCAAGCTTTTCTGAAATTTGTGTCACTGGACATATTTAATAATGAACTTTGGGATTGAATTTGGATTCCTCTGTGGTTACAAGAGAATAGTAGGAAAGGATCCTGACGTAAAGCCAGAAGCAGAGATACCATGGAAAAGTAAGGCTGAACTTAGCACAATGGTCCCCTGATTCAACATCTGAACAGACTTCATCTATTCTGCTTCCTGGTGATGCTAAAAAATTATCAGCATATCATTAGTCATGAGAAAGGTGTGGGAAAGGAGTGAAACATTCCACGCAGGTACACCTAGAACAATTAAAAAAAAAAACACTTTCACAGTATACAAGGATAGAAAGTCTCCTTCTACCCACACTGCTCTAGCCATGACTACACACAGACTGAAGCCTGGCAAGCTAAAATCCTTACCATGAAGGTTTGATAACATGACTTACAGAAAGCAAGTGATGAAGAACTGGGCATGCTATTTGGGGGATAGATGAGCTCTGGGCAAAGAAGGGATGCCTACAAACCCAAGAGAGATGGCAAGCTTTCCTCTGTATGATGGGAAAGGGTGTCTTTAAACTCAGAGAGGACTCAGAAGTCCAATCAATATTCACAGTTATACACAGACTATCTTACATGCTTGAACTTCATAATAGTTGAACTAAAAATATTTGATACATTGTTAACATCACATTTGAGAATTTGTGAAGAAATATTTTGCACATGTCAGAAGAGAGTATGCTGTATTAGGAATAATCTTATAATGCATGACATTTGTTTGAAATAGTAATTAAAACCTTCCAAAAAACCACCAGACCTATATGACTGCACTTGTGAATTCTATCTAATACTTAAGGAAGAAATTATACCAATTCTACAAAATCTCTTCAAAAAATGGAAGAGGATGGAATACTTCCCAACTCATTCTATGATGCCAGCATTACCCTAATACCAAAACTAGACAGAGACATTACAAGAAAACTATAGGCCAATTTCTCACATGAATACAGACACAAAAACCCTTAACAAATATAGCAAATTGAATCCATTAATCTATAAAAGTATAATATATCATGATCAAGTGGGGTTCATCTCAGGAATGCAAGGGTGGTTCAACATTTGTAAATCAATGTAATTCATCATATTAATCAATTAAATGAGAAAAACCATATGATTATATCAACAGATGAAGAAAAAGCATTACATAAAATTCAACAACTACGACAGTTATTTGTGCTAACTCTCAGCAAACTAGGAACAGAACTTCTTTTGCCTAATAAAGGATATGTGCAGAAAACAACAACTAACATCATACTTAATAATGAAAGACTTGAACACTTCCCTCATAAAATCAGGAACAAGGCCAGGATGGCTTTTCTCATCTGTCCTATTTAACATTGTACTGGAAGTTCTAGCTAGTGCAAAAAGGCATGAAAAAGAAATAAATGGCATACGAATTGGAAAGGTAGAAATAAAACTGCCTTTGTTTGAAGATGACATGATTGTCTATGTAGAAAACCCCAAAGGGTTTACATGCAGGTTTAGCAAAGTCTTAGAATACAAAGTCGGTATACAAAATTCAATTGTGGCCGGGCACAGTGGCTCACGCCTGTAATCCTAGCACTTTGGGAGGCTGAGGTGGGCAGATCACGAGGTCAGGAGTTCGCGACCAGCCTGGCCAACATAGTGAAACCTCGTCTCTACTAAAAATACAAAAATTAGCTGGGCATGGGGGCACGTCCCTATAGTCTCAGCTACTCAGGAGGCTGAGGCAGGAGAATTGCTTGAACCCAGGAGGTGGAGGTTGTGGTGAGCTGAGATCGCACAACTGCACTCCAACCTGGGCAACAGATCAAGACTCCCTCTTAAAAAAGAAACCAGCTGGGTGCAGTAGCTCATTTAGGAGGCTGAGGTGGGCAGATCATGAGGTCAGGAGATCGAGACTATCCTAGCTAACATGGTGAAAACCCGTCTCTACTAAAAATACAAAAAAAAAAGCTGGGTTTGGTGGCGTGCACCTATAGTCCTAGCTACTTGGAGGCTGAGGCAGGAGAATCACTTGAACCCGGGAGGTGGAGGTTGCAGTGAGTCAGGATTGCGCCACTGCACTCCAGTCTGGTGACAGAGCGAGACTCCGTTTCAAAAGAACAAAACAAACAACAACAACAAGTCAACTGTTATCCTATATGCCAGAAATGAACAATTGGATTTTGTGATAAGAAAAAAGAAAGCCATTTACAATCGCAACCCCCCCCCAACAACAACAAAACAACTAAGGTCTAAATCTAACAAAATATGTGCAGGATCTATATGCAGAAAACTACAAGACACAGATAAAAGAAATCAAATATCTAAATATAAGAAGATATATTCTGTGTTCCTGGACTGGAAGACTGAACACTGTTCAGGTGTCAGTTCTTCCCAGTTTGATTTACAGATACAATGCAATCCTAATCAAAATTCTAGCAAACCTTTTTTTTTGGTAGATAATGACAGAGTCTAAAATTAAAAAGGCAAAGGTACTAGAATAGCTAAAACATTCTGAAAAGAACAAAGAAGACTAGATTTCAAGATTTTTAATAATGCTATATTAATCAAGACAGTGTAGTATTGGTAAGGAACAGATTATAAATCAATAGAACAAAAGAGAGCTCAGAAATAAAACCACACAAATATAGTCAACTAATTTTTGACAAAGGTGTACAGAAAGTCAATAGCTAAAGGACGCTCTAACAAATGGTGTTGAAATAACTGGATGCCCATATGCAACAACAAAAAAAACCCAAAACCGATACTTTATTGTTTACACAAAAATAAATTAATTCAAAATGGATGACAGACCTCAATGTAAAAAGCAAAAGTACAGGCCGGGCGCGGTGGCTCACGCCTGTAATCCCAGCACTTTGGGAGGCCGAGGTGGGCAGATCATGACGTCAGAAGATCCTGGCTAACAAGGTGAAACCCCATCTCTACTAAAAATACAAAAATTAGCTGGCGTGGTGGCGGGTGCCTGTAGTCCCAGTTACCCGGGAGGCTGAGGCAGGAGAATGGCATGAACCCGGGAGGTGGAGCTTGCAGTGAGCTGCACCACTGCACTCCAGCCTGGGCAACAGGGAGAGACTCCGTCTCAAAAAAAAAAAAAAAAAAAAGCAGAAGTACAAAAGTTCTAGGAAAAAGTACAGGTGAAAATCTGTGTGATCTTGGTTTTGGTGATGAGTTTTTACAGACAACAGTAAAATATCATCAAGAAAGAAAAAAATTGGCTGGGTGCAGTGGCTCATGCCTGTAATACCCACACTTTGGGAGACCGAGGTGGGAGAATCACTTGACCCCAAGAGTTCGAGACCAGTCTAGGCCACATAGCAAGACCCTGTCTCTATTTTTAACTTAAATAATAAATAATTTTTTAAAAGTTAAAACTTTGTGCTAAGAGAGATTCTGCTGAGAGAATGAAAAGACCAGCCACAGACTAGAAGAAAATATCTAAAAATTATATATAAGATAAATGACTTGTATCCAGAATACACAAAAAAAATTCTTAAAATTCAACAGGAAAATAATCAGATCAAAAAATGAATAAAAGTTCTGAATAGTGACTTGACCAAAGAAGATGGGCTGGGAAATAAACCTATGAAAAGAGGTTCTACGTAATTTGAAGTAGGGAAATACCAATGAAAGCCACGAGATACTATGCTACACATATTAGAGTGGCTAAAATCTAAAAAATGATAATACCAAATGCTGATGTGGGGGTGGGGGCAACAGGAACTCTCTTACTTTTGAACTCTTACTTTTCACAACTAAAACCACCACCAAAAAATCAAATCATTTATGGAATAACTTTTGTAATGTGGACACAAATTCTTCCAAAAGATATTAATTCACCCAATAATTTTCCAAACAAGAAACTGAAAACCCACAGGGAGATAGCAAGTGAGATGCTAGGGTGGGGATGGGCTGGGAGGCTTGACAGTGGGTGCTGGAGGCAATTTTGAAGCATAGGTGCTTGGGGGGAGGGTCTCTGGGTAGCATTCAGCCTAGAAGGTGCTTTCTTCCCCCTACATAGTGCTAAAGTAGGCCTTTCTAAGTAAAATTTCCAATTTACATAAAAGGTGAATTTAGCAGAGTTCCCACTGTATCTAGACAAAAATACAGCCTAAAGTGGGTAACCACAGAAAATAATATATATTTTCCATTTCAATCTTATATTTTTCATTTTAACCTGAAATATACAACTATACATACTCATTTGCCCATCCAATGATTTGAACCTAGGCCTTTTATTTGAGCATGGTCCAAGGTTGAGGGCTTGATGCCATGTTTCTTGCAAAAGCCAGACCCAAAATAGACAGTCCAGAAAGCCCTAATTTACTTTTTAAAAATTTTCAAGTGGAGCAAAAATTTAAAGACAGTTATGAAGCAAACTGCAGAATCCATCTAGATGTTTATAATTACTTCCAATCTTTTAATAACTACTCATTGTGAAACACAAGATACATTTGAAAAATATATAAAATATAAATTCATAATTTAATGAGTTATTATAAAGCAAATATATATAATCACCTCCCAGATCACAAAGTAGCACACTATCTGCATCCCAGAAGCCCCCATGGGCCCCTTCCCATCACAACCTGCCATGACAGGTTGCCAGTGAGCCCTCCAGAATCTTCTGCACTGTTCATCTGACAAGGAGAATGCTTCTACTGTGCATCTGAAGCTGATTCTGAACTTCAAGGCTACTGAGGAAGTGTAGATCCAGAAGCCGAGTAGCCTTTGTAATGGTATGTCAGCTCTGATACAGGGAAATCATCCTCCCATGTGGTTTGGTGTGGACAGCCATGGGATGGATTAGCATGGAGTAAGTATCCAATTCGTGGGATGCTGAAGACAGAACAAATCAGATGGAAGAGAAAAAGGCTCCAGCCAGGATGAAAATGAACTTGGTTTGGAAAATATTGGCTGATGATAAATGGATGAGCAAAATGTGGTTTATCCGTACAATGGGATATTTGGGATATTATTCAGCCTTAAAAAGGAAGCGACCCAGCGCAGTGGCTCATGCCTGTAATCCCAGCACTTTGGGAGCCTGAGGCAGGTGGATTACCTGAGGTCAGGAGTTTGGGGCCAGCCTGGCCAACATGGAGAAATATTTGTAAAAATACAAAAATTAGCCAGGCATGATGGCGCAGGCCTGTAATCCCAGGAGGCTGAGGCAGGAGAATCGCTTGAACCTGGAAGGTGGAGGTTGCAGTGAGCCAAGATCGTGCCACTGCACTCCAGCCTGGAATGACAGAGCGAGACTGTCTCAAAAAAAAAAAAAGGAAGGGAATCCTGGTACATGCTAATGCTAAACCTGGATGAACTTTGAAAACATTATGCTGAGTGAAATAACCCACTCACAAAAAGACAAATCCCATATGAATCCACTCAAATGAGGTACTAGAGTAGTCAGATTCACAGAGACAGAAAGTGGAATGGTGGTTGCCAGGGGCTGAGGGGAGGGAGAATGGGGAGTTAATGTTTAATGGGCGCAGAGTGCCGGTTTGAGAAGATGAAGAGTGCTGGAGAGGAAGGTGTGACAGCTGCACCCACAACATGAATGGACTCAATACCACTGAACTGTAAACTAAAAATTAAGACAGTGACTCTTATGTGTATTTTACCACAATAAAAAACAAGATAAAACTTCTTGCTCTTGGGAGCTCGTGGTCTTGCGGAGGTGGTGGGGGGAGATTTGCCATATGATCAGATAAATTACAATATAATAGGGCATGTGCTCGATTATACCATGAATAAATTGTGTTTTAGGAGCCAGAGGGTGGACACAACTGTCACCATGGTTGAGGGCATGGGCTCTGGAGCTGCCTGCCTGGACTTGCCTCTTGCCTAGGAGCTGTGTGCCTCAGTTTCCCCCTGTACAGTGTATTCATTTTGCAGAACCTCCATGAGGGTTCAATAAATCCATGCATGGAAAATGCCTAGAATGGGTAAATAGTAAGTAGACATAGTAAATATGAAAAAAAGTGCTTTTCATGTAATCAGCTCAAATTAGCTTTTTTTTTTTTTCTCTTTTGAGATGGAGTTTCGCTCTTGTTGCCCAGGCTGGAGTGCAATGGTGTGATCTTGGCTCACCACAACCTCCACCTCCTGGGTTCAAGGATTCTCCTGCCTCAGCCTCCTGAGTAGCTGGGATTACAGGCATGCACCACCACACCCGGCTAATTTTGTATTTTTAGTAGAGACAGGGCTTCTCCATGTTGGTCAGGCTGGTCTCAAACTCCTGACCTAAGGTGATCTGCCCACCTCAGCCTCTCAAAGTGCTGGGATTACAGGTGTGAGCCACTGTGCCCAGCCTCAAATTAGCTATTTCAGTATAGCTCATCAAGTTCAGACTGCAGAGTAGGTGTGGTCACGCCTCAGGAATCGCTTTGTGGTGACCTCCCTAGAGGGAGCCTGCAGCACCCAGTCTGTGTGTGCAGCTGCTGTCCCGGTGGGCATGCTGGCACTCAGTGAGCAACAACCTTCATGGACTAAACGGCCCGGTACAGACATGGCAGTCCTGGGGACACACGTTCTGACTGTTTTTACAACAGCGATGTCACATATTCTCCCTCACCAAATTCTTTCTGTGGGGAATTGCTCACACTTGCAATTGGGCTGGCTAAGACGCTTTCCTTACATGGTGGCCGAGGAGGAACACTTTCTAAGATCTGGGAAACGCTGCAGAACTTCACTTTTAAAGATTGCATCCTCTCACACCAGTCAGAATGGCTACTGATAAAAAGTCAGGCTGGGCACGGTGGCTCACACCTGTAATCTCAGTACTTTAAGGGGCTGAGGTGGGAGGATTGCTTGATCCCAGGAGTTCAAGACCAGCCTAGGCAACATGTTGAGAATGCATCACTACAAAAAAAATTTTTTTAATTAGCTGGGCATGGTGGCACATGCATGTAGTCCTAGCTACTTGGGAGGCTGAGGTGGGAGGATCACTTTAGCCTGGGAGTTCAAAGCTGCATGACCTATCATCATATCACTGTGCTTCAGCCTGGGCGACAGGGCAAGACCCTATGTCAAAAAAATAAAAAATAAAAAATAAAAATAAAAAGTCAAAATATAACAGATGCTGGTGAGGTTGAGGAGAAAAGGGAATGCTTATACCCTGTTGGTGGGAATGTAAATTAGTACAGCCACTGTGGAAAGCGATTCGGAGATTTCTCAAAAAACTTAAAACAAAACTACCATTCAACCCAGTAATCCCATTACTGGGTATATATCCAACAGAAAATAAATCATTCTACCAAAAAGACAAATGCACATGTATGTTCACTGCATCACTACTCACAATAGCAAAGACATGGAATCAACTTAGGTGTCCATCAGTGGTGGACCGGATAAAGAAAATGTGTTTGGCTGGGTGCAGTGGCTCATGCCTGTAGTCCCAGCACTTTGGGAGGCCGAGGCAAGCGGATCACGAGGTCAAGAGATCGAGACCACCCTGGCCAACATGGTGAAAGCCTGTCTCAACTAAAAATATAAAAATTAGCTGGGCATGGTGGCACGTGCCTGTAATCCCAGCTACTCAGGAGGCTGAGGCAGAAGAATCACTTGAACCAGGGAGTCAGAGGTTGCAGTGAGCTAGAATCACGCCACTGCACCCCAGCCTGCCGACAGAGAGAGACTCTGTCTCAAAAAAAAAAAAGAAAAAAAGAAAATGTGGTACATATAAACACCATGGAATACTACACAGCCATAAAAAAGAATGAACTGATGTCCTTTGCAGCAACATGGATGCAGCTGGAGGCCATAATCCTAAGCTAACCCACATAGAAACAGAAAACCAAATATTGCATGTTTTCACTTACAAGAGGACGCTAAACACTGGGTAGTCATGGGCATAAAGATGGGACAATAGACACTGGGGACTACAAGAGAGGGAATGGAAGAAGAGAGGCAAGGGCTGAAAAACAACTGGGTGCTATACTCACTACCTGGGTAAGAAGATCAATCATACCCCAAACCTCAGCAGCATGCCATATACCCATGTAACAAACCTGCACATGTACTCCCGGAATCTCAAGTAAAAGTTGAAATTATAAAAATAAATTAATTAAAGTTCTCATGCTTGCTAATATGTTACACCCAGAAACTGCTATTTACTTGAATATATACATATAAGAAAATTTTCCCTGCATAATCTAACTACAGAACTTGATGGAAGATTTATGGATTACTACTGCTGTCAGTTCTGACTGGGTGTAGTTTAAAAGTGTCATGTATAATTCAATATATTATTTTTCTTTTTTTTTTTGAGACAGAGTCTCGCTCTGTCACCCAGGCTGGAGTGCAGTGGTGCTATCTTGGCACACTGCAACCTCCGCCTCCCAGGTTCAAGTGATTCTCCTGCCTCAGCCTCCCAAGTAGCTGGGATTACAGGTGTGCGCCACCATGCTCAGCTAATTTTTGTATTTTTAGTAGAGACACAGTTTCACCATGTTGGCCAGGCTGGTCTAGGACTCCTGGACTCAAGTGATCTGCCCACCTCAGCCTCCCAAAATGCTGGGATTATGGGCGTGAGCTACTGTGCCCGGCCTATATTATTTTTCAATCCACATCACGGTATTGAAAAACAAATGTTTAAGAATGTAGGAAATTTCTATTTCGTTGTTGGAATAAGCTGGTTAAAATGTTCACAAACACTCCTAAGTGACTTTAAGATTACTTATCATGTGTGTCAGCAGCTCCTCACAGACCATCCATCCAAATAAAATCCTTGACTCTGACAATTAAGAACATGATCTCATTCTCTTCCCAGCTAACTTCTGTAGTGCTTTAGACAAAACTTAAGACAAAGACAATAAATTTAAAAAGCAAGGCCGGGCGCAGTGGCTCACGCCTGTAATCCCAGAACTTTGGGAGGCTGAGGCGGGTGGATCACGAAGTCAGGAGTTCGAGACCAGCCTGGCCAACATGGTGAAACCCCATCTCCACTAAAAATACAAAAATTAGCCATGTGTGGTAGTGGGTGCCTGAAATCCCAGCTACTCGGGATTTTGAGACTCTGTCTCAAAAAAAAAAAAAAAAAAAGTGGGAGATTAAGAAAGTGTAAAACCCAGCTACTCGGGAGGCTGATGCAGGAGAATCGCTTGAAACCGGAAAGCAGAGGTTACAGTGAGCCGAGATCGCGCCATTGCACTCCAGTCTGGGCAGAAAAGCAAAACGCCATCTTAAAATAAATAAATAAATAAAAATAAAAAATAAAAAGCAAATATTACAACACTCCAAAGAAAAATGTCTTCTGCATAGAATATAATCTTCCAACAAGGTCTCATTGTATCTTTATCCTTACTGATCTCTCTGTTGGTACTGGTTAGTTTTGTTGTTTCTGAAAGGAGATCCCTGCTACTCCACCCTGGTCAGATGTGTAAGTTTCCTCACTCCTTTTTAAATTCCCTGGACTTGTAAATACACAATAGGATATGTTTCTTAAAGATTTGTTGGGACATTTTTTGCTTGTGTGACTATGTTTTAAAGTATGAATTCAACCCCTTTAATGGTTAAAGTTTTACTTCTTTTTGAGTAAGTTTTGGAGAAATATTTACATTCAATATTTGAAGAAATATATATTTTTCTAGAAAACTGTCTATTGTTTCAGAAATATACTGGCATAGCACTGTTCATGGTGTTGAACTTTCTACAATAGCGAAATAGTGAAATAGTGAAAGAGAAGTACTTTCACTTTCTCATTTCTTAGATTCCCCACATCCTCTCAGGGTTATCAAATTATATCTCACTGTTATTTCTGCTTAGATTTTCCTGATCACTAATGAGATTGAACGTCTTTTAAAATGTCTATTGGACACTTGTGATCCTCTTCTGTGACTTGTCTATTGTAGCCTTTGATAATTTCCTGCTAGGTTGTCTTATTATTACTGGTTAGCAGAAAGTTGTGGGGGGGTTTTGTTTTGTTTTTGAGACAGAGTCTCACTCTGTCACCCAGGCTGGAGTGCAGTGGGGTGATCTTGGCTCACTGCAGCCTCAACCTCCTGGGCTCAACCAATCCTCCCACCTCAGAGTCCCAGTTAGCTGGGATCACAGACATGCAACATCACACTTGGATAATTTTTAAATGTTTTGTAGAGACAACGTCTTGCTATGTTGCCCAGACTGGACTCCAACTCTGGGGCTCAAGTGATCCTCCTGCCTCAGCCTCCCTTAGTACTGGGATTACAGGTGTGAGCCACCACGCCTGGCTAGAAATTTTTAATAGATTACCTATCTTGTCTTTGCTTTTTCTGCAGTTTCATTATAATGGGTCTAGATGAGTATTTTCTTGTATCCATCCTGCTTGAGATAAATGAACAATCTGTGAACTCTTGTCTTTCATCATTCTGGAAAAATTTCAGGTGTCTTATCTTCAAATATTGTTTCCACTCCATTGTTTCTATCCTTTTCATCTGGAATTCCCTCTGGGCATGGGGCACGGCCATCGTCTGATTTTTGTCTATGTCTCTTAAGCTCTGAGACAGACAGTATTAGATAGACCAACAGTCATTCCCAAGCTCTCTCTCCCTTGCAGGTTTCCCACTAAAGAAGCTGAAAAATGTTACATGCTCCCTTCCTCAAATGCCCTTGCGGCCTGGGACCATGTAACAGAGTACTGCCAATGAGCCAGAGGAACCTGGGGAGCCTTTTACTTTTATTCTTTAAAGGGAAAAAATAGGAGGGACTTGTCCTATCTCTTCTTCTTCTTCCTGCCCTGCAGGTGGAAGTGATGTCTAAAGTTTGGCAGCTAAAAGGAACCAGCCACACAGGAACAAGTATGGGGACAAAAGCCAACAGATTAAAGATGGTGAGCATGGAGAGGAGACACTCTGGGGCCCTGATTAAAACACTGAGTGGTGAACCAATCCTGAAACTACTAATGGTTTAAGCAACTGCTGGTTTCTTGAAGGTGAACACATACTAACTCAACCCCTCTATTATATTTTCTATTTTTTTAACATCTCTTTTATATTCTGGGTAATTTCCCTATATTTATTTCCCAATTCATTAGTTCTCTCTTCTCCTGCATCTGATCAGTTTGGCGACACATCTCATTGTGGTTTTAATTCCACATTTTCATTTCTAGAAGTGTTATTTGATTCTCTTTCCAAATTTCTTTTTTAAATAGAATCATTCCTTCCTTGTGGTTTCTATTGCTCCCTTTATCTCTTTAATATGTTTAAACACAGTTTTTTTGTAGTCTCTTATTATTTATCATCTCAAGTTCTGGTAGATAATCCTTTCATTTGCTGTATTTGCTGACTAGCTCGAGTAGATAATTTCTCAAGTGTTTTGTCATTTTTAAAGCAGCTATTGTGTACTATAAGCCCAGGGGCTTCCTGTATCTGAGAACATAATCTAAGGTCTCTATGCAGCATAGATATTATAAATCTGGACTCCAAACCTCTTCTGGCCTGGTTTTCTTTCCTCATAAGAGACTTTCTCTCTTTTTCTCTCTGCCCATACCCAAAAAATACCAGGTGGAGACCAGCTTCCTTATAACCTCCCTGGACTGGCAGGTGGAGTTGCAAACATTTCTGCTTTTACTAAAAAGAGCAGCATGTTGTGAGCCTTGGTTTACACAGGGGTCTTGGTACTAACACTGTGTTTATGGGAGTGCAGGGCCTTGTCTCTTGTTCCTGTGTGGGCAAACACTGGGGTCCCCAGGTGTGTTCCTCAGTCCTCCCTCTCTTTGCTTCCCTAAGACCAAGGGCCCGAATGCTCTCCTCCACTCTGACAGCTTTAAATACCATCACTGTGCCCGCCCTCTCCAACACAGCAGCCACACGATGTGGCTATTTTAATTAAAATTAAAATTGGAATTAAAAATTCAGTCTTCAGACACACTAGCCGTATTTCAGGGACTCAAGACCCCATGTGGTTGGTGGCTGCCATGAAGGCAGCGCAGATACAGAACATTTCCATCATCTCAGGAACCTCCATTAGATGGCATGGATCATGGACGACCCCCAGATTTGTGTTTCAAGCTCTGCTCTCCGATCCCGGCTCCGGATTTGCTGTGCAACCGCCTGCCTGCCATCATCACCTGCATATTTCACAGCACCTCAGACTCCACATGATTTAAATAAATACAACCTTTCCCCCAGAATGTTTAATAATCCTGTCCAGCCTGCTTCACCAACAAAGCACCCCACAGAAAAGTAATTTAAAGATTTTAATACATTCTGTGATGGTTAATTGTATGTGTCAAATTCGATAGGCATGGTACCCAGATATTTGGCCAAACATTATTTTAGATGTTTCCGTGAAGGTGTTTTTTAAAATGAGCTTAACATTTAAATGTTAACATTTAAATTAGTAGACTTATTAAGTCTACTTAGATGAGGACCATCTAATCATGTGGATGGTCCTCATCTAATCAGTTGAAGGCCTTCATAGAAAAATACTGACCTCGCCCAAGAAGAGGAATTTTGTCAGCAGACGGCCTTCACACTCAAAGCATCAACTCTTTCCTGATTCTAGCCTGCTGGCTTACCCTGAAGATTTTGGAGTCGCTAGCTTCTATACTCTTGAGCTAACTGCTTAGAATAAATCTCTCTCCCCTCCCCACTATCCCCAGTATCCTACTGATTCTGCTTCTCTAGAGAACTGTAACACCTTAAAAAATTAAATTACTTTGCTCAGTTATTGTCATTACCATGACCATTCTTTGGACTTTATTTAAATCCTGATGTGGAGTAATCAAAACAGAGCTTTTAAACATATCTATGCCCTCCCCATCTCAGAAAATGGCCCTGTCCAACCAGACACCATGGTGTTGTGTTTGACTTCTTCCTCTCCTCCTCCCCTACAACCAATCTGTCACTAAGTCCAGCTGATTCTGTCTAAGACATATTTCTAATCTTTCTATGTCTTTCCATCTGCGTTGCTACCACTCTCGTGGTTACTGGGTGAGGCCAAACCTGAGCCATGGAAGCTCTGCAGGCCCTGCCCCCTTGGACTCCCTGGATCAGCACAGCCTCCCTGGCCCCACTAACTGCATCCAGCCAACCAGCTTTCTTCCATGTCCTTGACCACACCAAGGTGTTTCCTGGCTGCAGCTACTCCTTCGCCCTGGCTCTGCACTGCTGCCTCCTCCACCTTCTGACACCGATTTTGACATCACTGCCACTGTCTCCCCTCATCTAAATGTGATCCCTGTCACTGACTCTCACAGCACTGAGTTTCTCTCTGGGCTCTTTGACGACTTATCCTTGTTCATTAATAACTTTACTTGTTATAAAGTCTACCGCTTGCTTGTCTGTGTAGTTCAGGAGGGCATGACAGTTCAGAGTTCATGAGTTCAGAGAACATGTCTCTTGTTGACTGCTGTCTTATTATGGTGCCCAGTCCTTGGCAAGAAATTCTTGAGTGACCGAGTGTAGGGCCCAGCACAGCATTTTCCAAAGTATGTTCTGTGGGACATATTGTAGGATGTTCTAGGTCAGGGGTTGACAAACTGCTGCCCATGGGCCAAATCTGGCTTATAGCCTGTTTTCATATAATAAACTTTTGTTGGGACACAGCCATGCCCATTCATTTACAAAGTGTTGAAGGCCTCTTTAGCCCAATGGTAGAGTTGAATAGTTGTGACTGAGACCAACTGACCCCTGATCCTATTACGTGGCCCTTAACAGGGAAAATCTGCCAACACTTGTTATGGTGATTGTAGTAAAATAAACAAACCTAAGTAAAGAGGTTATGTGGATCTGCGCTATGTTGGGTTAAACAGTCACACAGATTTCTTAATGTAGGACTTCTTGAAGTCTTTAATGTGTTAATAGACACTGTGCTGTCTACAAATGTCATGTAATATACAGTGCTCCAGCAGGGAATGTTTTGTTGGTGCTTGCTGGTTCTTTGGAATAGGCTTTGAAAAATGCTGGCCAAGGTCTTGAAACACGAAGGTGAGATTCCAGCAGGGCTTTCTCTGGAAAGCAGTGAAAGGAACTTATCAGTAGCTACAGCAGGGAGGAAGAAAGGGAGGAGGGAGGGAGGGAGGGAGGGAAGGAAGGAAGGAAGGAAGGGCTGATTATCTTAAGGGTCTGGAGTGTGGTGTCCACTCTGAATGATAACATTTAGAATTTATGTACAAGATTTATTGGGAGGAAAAAGCAAAAACAGAAAGAAACTTAACATTATTTTTCCCCAGGGAAATGGTAGTTACTCATTGCAAATTATCTCTAACTTTCCCTAGGATATAAATACCTTAGAGATATTTCTCAGTAGGATATGGGACTTTTTGATAGAAGGAAGTCTCAGATATAAAAAAGGTTAACATTCCAAGCATCTCCAAAACCGGTTAGGTCTCTAGGAGAGCTTAAACAAATATTGTGTAATACACAGAATTTTATTTCCCTCAATGCAGCAAAAGTCATTTGAGAAAAATGAAGATATTGAATTGCACATGGGAAGGTAAAATCCTAATTTTAGTGCATATACAAGAATATCTTCCCAGAGTGTTGAGGTTGTATTAAAGTTCCAGACGGGGGAATGTAGAGACAGTACTCATGAATAATGCAGCAGGACGGGGTAAAGCAAAACCGCACAGCCCACGACATTTGCTTCTAGAAGATGCTTTCGCTTGCCTTGATTGCCTGGTTACTTGCCTTGCCTTGGTTACTAACATTTCATAAAGACATCAATCACTGTCGGGGAGAAGCTGCAGGGTACACACTGAATTGTGTACTGTGCTAAATTCCACTGAGGACACAGTTGGATTCATGGCTGCATTCCCAGTACTTCTTCACCTTTGCCGAGGTCCTCTAGGTGCCTCCATGAGGTGTCTATTAATGAATTGACTCTGTGTACACTAACTGCTAAAGTCAAAAAAAAAAAAAAGAAAGAAAGAAAAAAAGAAAAAAGCAAAGCTTCTTGGGAAAGAGGCAGGACACTAATTAGAAAATGCTGTATGGGCCAGGCGTCATGGCTCATGCCTATAATCCCAGCAGTTTGGGGGACCGAGTCAGTCGGATCACTTGAGGTCAGACGTTCAAGACCAGCCTGGCCAACATGATGAAAAAATTCGGCCGAGCACGGTGGCTAACACCTGTAATCCCAGCACTTTGGAAGGCCAAGGCGGGTGGATCACCTGAGGTCTGGAATCTGAGACCAGCCTGGTCAACAGGGCAAAAACCCTGTCTCTATTAAAAATACAAAAATTAGTCAGGCGTGGTGGTGCCTGTCTGTAATCCAGCTACTCAGAAGGCTGAGGCAGGAGAATCGCTTGACCCTGGGAGGCAGAGGTTGCAGTGAGCCTAGATCACGCCACTGCACTCCAGCCTGGGCGACAAGAGTGAAACTCTATCTCAAACTCTGTCTCAAAAAAAATATTTGGCCAGGCGCAGTGGCTCACGCCTGTAATACCAGCACTTTGGGAAGCAGGGGTGGACGGATCACCTGAGGTCAAGAGTTCAAGACCAGCCTGGCCAACATGGGGAAACCTCGTCTCTACTAAAAGTACAAAAAAAAAAAAAAAAATTAGCTGGGCATGGTGGTGCATGCCTGTAGTCCCAGCTACTGGGGAAGGCTGAGGCAGAAGAATTGCTTGAACCTAGCAGGTGGAGGTTGCAGTGAGCCAAGATCATACCACTGAACTCCAGCCTAGGCGACAGAGGGAGATTCCATCTCAAAAAAAAAAAAAAAAAAAAGCTGGGCATTGTGGCGCACGCCTGTAATCCCAGCTACTCAGGAGGCTGAGGCAGGACAGTCACTTGAACCCAAGAAGTGGAGGTTGCAGTGAGCCGAGATCACGCCACTGCACTCCACCCTGGGTGACAAAGCGAGACTCCATCTTGAAAAAAAAAAAGAGAGAAAGTGCTGTACATTCATTCTTGCAGGAACCAGCTGTCTCAGGCTGATGGCGATCTAAACAGCCTCATTCCCAGGATCTCTCTGAGGTTTTCCCAATAGGTCTTTATTATTACAGCTGTGGAATCAGTTTGAGTTTTTGGGAAAATGTAACAGTTTACAGATCACAGAGGATAAAAGCAGCTCATTCCTCCCTGAAGCTCAGCATGTGCAATAAGAGCCCAGGGAGGACTACACTTACATTAAAGGTCTGGTGAGAGAGAATACAAAGCAAACGCACACATAAGTGGGTTCATGTGAAATCTCAGCAAATGCAGCCTGTGCTCCTTCCCTGCTGTGCACTCAGTGTTCAGTCCTTGCCTGGGACAGGCATATACACATATCCAATTTTATTTATTTATTATTTATTTATCTATTTTGAGACAGAGTCTCACTCTGTCACCCAGGCTGGAGTGCAGGTGGTGCAATCTCAGCTCACTGAAACCTCTACCTCCCAGGTTCAAGCGATTCTCCTGCCTCAGCCTCCTGAGTAGCTGGGACTACAGGCACCCGCCACCACGCCCGGCTAATTTTTAATTTTTAGTAGAGATGGGGTTTCACCATGTTGGCCAGGCTGGTCTTGAACTCCTGACCTCAGGGGATCTGCCTGCCTTGGCCTCCCAAAGTGCTGGGATTACAGGCGTGAGCCACTGCATCCAGCCACAGATATCCAATTTTAGTACCTCTGTTCCAATCTCAGGCTATCTGGTAAACCTTGAGTGGCCTCGTGCTGCACATGGAGAGCACAGCCCTTGGGCATGGGCTTGTGGAGACCTGCACATAGGCTCCTGGGTCCCCTCTCTTCATAGCATCCTCCTTTCTGATGCCCCATTCCATAAAATGGGCTGCTTCGGCTACCCTCTCTCATCACCACCTTCTTAGCCAGTGGGGCTGCTGTGCTCTGCTCAGAGGCCAGCTCCGTGCACTGGGAGGCGGATATTGTTCCCAGACAGAGAACTGGTGAGCTGGCCATCACTGCAGGAGTTTCCCTTCTCTCAGGGATTAGTCCCATGCTGCTTGTTTCCTAGAGATGAGTTCCAGATGGCTAAGCTTAAAAACCAAAATTACAACATTATAAAAAGAAAATAAAGAAGAACTAAGATTATAATCCTGGGGAAAGAAAGCCATATAAGGCACAAAATACAAAAAATAAATAAATAAATAAATAAATAAATAAATAAATAAAAGAAAGGAATGAGAAATCTGACTACAAAAAATTAAGTTTCTGTATAACAAAATTAAAACCAGTATATACATAGCAAATGACTAATATCCAGAATATATTCCTATAATCACTAAGAGATAGATAACTCAAGTAAAAATTGGCAGGGAAATGAACCAGTAACATACTGAAGAGGAAACACAAATAGTCTGAAATGTACGAAAAGATGTTCAGTCTCATTGAAAATGAAAACGGTAAAGTATCATGTTCACTCACTAAACTGGCAAAAATTAAAAAGACTCTTTATCCATAGGATTAATGAAGATATGGGGAAATGGGTAGTCTTATATCGGTTGATGGGAACATAAAATGGTACAGGCTTTTAAGAAGGCAATTGGAAGTATTTTTTAGAAAATGAAAATACGATTTGACCCAGTAATATCACATCTAGGCGTCCAGTGTAGAGGAAATGGACACGACACACCCACAAGGACATTTACTGCAGCATTACTGTTCAAAATGGGGAACTGAAAATATCTGAATTATCAATTAGGCTAAGAAAATTTTTATTTATTTATTTATTTATTGAGACAGAGTCTTGCTCTGTTGCCCAGGCTGGAGTGCAGTGGCATGATCTTGGCTCACTGCATCCTCTACCTCCCAGGTTCAAGTGATTCTCTTGCCTCAGCCTCCAGAGTAGCTGGGATTACAGGCGCACGCTACCACACCCGGCTAATTTTTGTATTTTTAGTAAAGACGGGATTTTGCCATGTTGGCCAGGATGGTCTCGAACGTCTGAGCTCAGGTGATCTACCCGCCTTGGTCTTCTTTCTAAAGTGCTGGGATTACAGGCATGAGCCACTACGTCCGGCCTAGGCTGAGTAAACATCTAAAAAAAATTTTATAAAAAACAATCTATTACTCCATTTGCTAATCTTCAGACATTCCTGTAAAGCTCATGGCAAAACTGATGTTCTGATTTTTGATGGGTGTGCTATATGCAGCACCTTCTAGGTACTTATGTTTTTCACTAATTATTTGATACATGTCAACCTAAAAGGTTGGACCTGCGCATTTCTACATTTTCTAATGTGGTCAAAGAAGTCTGGGAAGGACAGAAAATAGCAAATTAATAGATTTAGTATCCAAAAAGATTTCGATATGCCAGAAATAGGAACCAAATTAAGTGAGCTGAAATTTAACTTGATTCTTCATCTTAATGTGTGAGTGTTTAAATTTTTTCACAATGACCAGCTATTACTTTTACAAATTACACATTTGTAAAAATAATACACATGATTAAAAATATTAGTGGTGGGCTGGGTGTAGTGGTTAATGCCTGTAATCCCAGCACTTTGGGAGGCCGAGGCAGGTGGATCACCTGAGGTCAGGAGTTCACGACCAGCCTAGCCTGGCCAACATGGTGAAAGCTTGTCTCTATTAAGAATACAAAAATCAACTAGGCGTGGTGGTGGGCACCTATAATCCCAACTACTGGAGAGGCTGAGGCAGGAGAATCGCTTGAACCTGGGAGGTGGAGGTTGCAGTGAGCCGAGATAGCGCCACTGCACTCCAGCCTGGGCAACAAAGTGAGACTCTGTCTCGAAAAAAAAAAAAAAAAAAAAAAAAAAAAATATATATATATATATATATATATATATATATATATGGCATCACATACAGATAAAACAGGCCAATGTGGATTCCAAAGTCATGAATAAATAAGAGTTCTAGTAATTATATGATTCTGTGTCAAACAGATTGTGAGGGAACGCCTTCTCCTTTTTATTCCAAAAATTTTGAAGAAGACTTGGCTGTAAATGACAGAAGCAAGATGCAATTAAATCCTTGCTAGAAAGGCAGACCTTAATGTTTTTACCTTATGTGATAGGTTAAAGATGTTACAGATTCTGGGAAATCCTCCACTTAAGAGACGGAGTCCAATTCTTTTCCCCTTGAATCTGGGCTGGCCTTAACAATTTGCTTGAATGAGGAGTAAGTGACTTGGGACTCAGAAGGCCAGTTCCTAAGAAGCTTGAACTGCCTACCCAGGATTCTTGGAATGCTCTCTTGTACCCCTGAGGCTCCTGGGGTGTGTGGAAATTCACACTGGCCAAGTATATAGGCTGCATGGAGAGAGATGGCGACCCCACAGTCCCAGCCGCAGCCATGAGGGCTGGTGACCAAGGAGCAGATGGCAGTCATGCCCAAACAAAATGAACACTGTTGTTAATTCTAATCCACTGTGTTTCAGGGTGGTCTGCTCTACAGCAATAGCAACCAGAACACCTGATCTGATTTCTTTCGTATCTGCTGCAAAGGAGTGAATCACATGTCTATGGTGGTTGAAAGCAACCTATTGTCCCCCAAGCAAATAACTCTGGGGTTCCTTGGAATTCTTTTCCAATTCTGATTCTGTTCATATTATTGTTTTAGTCACCTTATTTTATATGGCTCATTATCTCCCAAATCAAGTTTGGCAACTTCTGCTTATCTTTTTTTTTTTTTTTTTTTTTTTTTTTTTTTTTTTTTTGATGGAGTCTTGGCTCTCTGTCGCCCAGGCTGGAGTGCAGTGGCACGATTTCGGCTCATTGCAAGCTCCGCCTCCCGGGTTCATGCCATTCTCCTGCCTCAGCCTCCCGAGTAGCTGGGACCACAGGCGCCCGCCACCAAACCTGGCTAATTTTTTTTATTTTTTTTTAGTAGAGACGTGGTTTCACCGTGTTAGCCAGGATGGTCTCAATCTCCTGACCTCATGATCCGTCTGCCTCAACCTCCCAAAGTACTGGGATTACAGGCGTGAGCGACCACACCCAGCCTATCTTTTAAAATTTAAAAAAATGCAGACCTCCTAAACCCACTCAGTTCAATGTCATTACTACTCTGAAACACGAGCTGCAGGCGCCATGCTCATAGCTGTTTCCACTGTGTCTTCCCTTCCGCAATGCTAGGGTGGGCAGAATGACGTGTGAAGGGGGCCTTCATAGCACCTTTCCAATCAGGCAGGGCAACCTGCCTTCATCAGCACTCTTTCTTTAAACTTTCTTCTTGTTTATTCTTCCAGGTGAATTTTTAATTATTTTGTTAAGTTCAAGAATAAAGAAAGTCTGTTGGGATTTCAACTGGAGATTAATTTGGAATAATTTGCTTTTTAAATGGTTCCTCTCACTATCTGCACTGACGGCACTTGGGGTTTGAGACTGGGAAAGAGGAGACAGTGACCACGGTGAGCTGGTCCAGGAAGCAGTGCCCTTCCCTTTACTCCTCTGTGGGCAAGAGCCTTCCCATGGCAAGAGGACGGCTGCGTCCCAGAGATGTTCAGGCAGATGCTGCACAGCCTCTCCCTGGAGACAGAATCACAGGAGATTTACATCTCAGGAGTGGCTGGGCCCTATCTTTCTTACTTCCTCTGTTTTCATTTGACAGACACTCAGGAGGCCCCACCCGCAGCATTTCCTCCCTGAGGTTCCCTGGCTTTGGCATCGTGACACAGGGTCTGGTTGCCTTGCAAGCACGGGCCAACACCTCCTGCCCCCTGGCTGGGTCCACTTCCTCTGGCCCACCAGCAGCTCAGGCAGTGCTGGCCCTGCACAGCGCCTGAAGGCAGGCGAAACCCAGTGGCTCAGCAGGGGCCTCTGGTTCTTCTGTGGCATCCTGAGAGCAGGTCTTCTCTGTGCTCTCAGTTCAGGACCCACATGATTCCCTGCCATCTTCTGTCCCCAGGACCACACTCCAGGCCTCTGGACAAACACTTTCCTGGAATTTTCTTCCTCTCCTTTCTTCTGCCTTTCTGTTAAGTTTGCTACCTCATTTTCATAAATTCCACTCTTCTTCCTTGCTTGCTGCTTCTAAAAAAGGTCACAGCTATGCACAGCTCTGCTGGCTCCTCTCCTCGTGGAGTCACCCACGGTCAGTGGACTGGCAGTCCCCCTAAGCCCCACCCTGCTCCTTGCTGAGCATTTACCTGTGTCCAGAAGGTCCCCCAAGGAAACGCCGGAGACACCTTCTCATGAGCCACCTGCACGACTCACTAGTGGTTCAGCCCTCAAGGCTGGGAGTAGAGTCCACACAAACATTTCCAAAGCCCTCCATGCATGAGGGGCTGACAAGTACACCCACAGGGAAGTGTGGTTCTACTGCACGTGGTTCACCCATGCTGTGGCACAGGCAGGCAGGACAGCCTGAGGTTGGGGTGTACGGGAGGCAGGATGAATTCTGGGGCTTCAGGAAAGGGCGAGCCACTACAAGATTCCTCATGGAGTTCTGGGAGCCTGGGAGACAAAAGTCTGGTTCTTTCTTTCTAATAAGTCCTCACTTAATGGCACTGAGAGGTTCTTGGACACTGTGATGTTAAGTGAAATGGTGATGTGCTGTGTGACGAAACCAGTTTCACTGTAGGTTAACTGATATGAGCCACAGTTGAGTTCCCATGGCTTATGGTATATGGTTTCACCCAAAGCTGCAGTTTCCAGGAACCAACTGGCCACGCTAAGAACTGAGCTGACATCAAATTGAATGAAGCCCCTGGCTAACCTAAATGTCCACTGCTCTAAAGAGTAACAAACCAACCCAAACTGTGACCAGCTCCTCCTTCTCTCATTAAAGCAACTCAGTGTGACTTCAGGAAAATGACTCAACTTTTCTGCCTTTAGTTTTCTCATCTCTCAGATGAAGTGGCTAGATTAAGTTAGTGGTTCTGAAATAAACAGTTATGAAAACTGTTCTTCCAACTTCACATTTCTGCAGAGGTTTTTTTTTGTTTTTTTTTTTTGATACGGAGTCTTGCTCTGTTGTCCAGGCTGGAGTGCAGTGGCACAATCTCGGCTCACTGCAACCTCTGCCTCCCAGGTTCAAGCAATTCTCGTGCCTCAGCCTCCTGAGTAGCTGGGACTACAGGCACATGCCACCATGCATGGCTAATTTTTGTATTTTCAGTAGAGTCGGGGTTTCACCATGTTGGCCAGGCTGGTCTCGAACTCCTGACCTCAAGTGATCTGCCCACTTCGGCCTCCCAAAATGCTAAGGTTACAGGCGTGACGCACCACGCCTGGCCTGCAGAAGCTTTTTTAAAGGTAGGGTTTGCAAACCACAAAATCCAGTGATCCTTTATTTTACAACCTTCTGTCTATGTTTGACCTTGCATTGCCCCAAAGAACAGCCAGCAGCCACACGTGGCTATTTAAATGTTAAAATCTTAAACAAATTTACAAGAAGAAAACAACCCCTTTAAAAAGTGGGCAAAGTACATGAACAGACACTTCTGGAAAAGAAGACATTCACGTGGCGGAGAAACATATGAAAAAAAGCTCAACATCACTTATTAGAGAAATGCAAATAAAAACCAAAATGAGATACCATCTCACACCAGTCAGAATGGCGATTATTAAAAAGTCAAGAAACAATGGATGCTGGCAAGTTTGTGGAGTAAAAGGAATGCTTTTACACTGCTGGTCGGAGTGTAAATTTGTTCAATCATTGTGGAACACAGTGTGGCAATTCCTCAAAGACCTAGAAGCAGAAATACCATTTGACCCAGCAATCTCATTTCTGGGCATATACCCAAAAGAACATAAATCATTCTATCACAAAGATACAGGCATGCATATGTTCACTGCAGCACTAGTCATAAGAGCAAAGACACAGAATCAGCCCAAATGCCCATCAATGATAGACTGAATAAAGAGAATACGGTACATATACACCATGGAATTCTATGCAGCCATAAAAAGGAACGAGATCACATCCTTTGCAGAGACATGGATGAAGCTGGAAGCCATTATCCTCAGCAAACTAATACAGGAAGAGAAAACCAAACACTGCATTTTCTCACTTATAAGTGGGAGTTGAATGATGCGAACACATGGACACATGTGCGGGAACAACACATACTGGGGCCTGTATGGGGGCGTGGAGGGAGTGAGAGCACCAGGAAGAATAGCTAATGGATGCTGGGCTTATTCTTAATAAGAATTAAGATGGGTGATTTGTTGATCTGTGCAGCAAACCACCATGGCACATGTTTACCTATGTAACAAACCTACACATCCTGAACGTGTACCCCAGAAGTTAAAAGTTGAAGAAAAAAAAATTTAATAAATTTTAAAATTAAAATTCAATTTCTTAGTCACATTAGCCACCTTTTAAGTGCCCAGCAGCCACCTGTGGCTAAGGTTCAGCCAGCACAGATCTAGAACATTCCCATCATCACAGAAGGTTCTACAGGACAGCGCTGCCCTGCACTTATGCAAACATGCATGCATAGTTCCCCTCTTTTATGCAGATGACGGCAAGTTCTGCTCCCTTACCAAGATATACAGAGCTAGGTCCTTCATGACATCTGGAGGAACAGTTTCAGTGTGGAGGCCAAGGGACTGGATGCTGGGCCCAACAGCAGGAGTTCAGTCCCAGCTCTGACCCTTACTAGAGTGTGACTCTGAGCAGTCATGGAGCCTCTTGATGCTTTGGTTTCATATTCGTAAACTGGATATAAAATGCCTGACTCATGGGATTGTGGTCAAGACCAAATGCACTTAGACAATGTCGTTCACATGGTAAATATTTCATCACTGCTAGCTTTAATTCCGTCACCACTGCCTACTTCACTCTCTGATGACACATGCAGGTTCATCACATGGATGGAGACAGCAGGCATTTAGGGTGTTTCTAGTCTTGTTATCACAAACACTACTGCAATAATTATCCTCCTAAGCACGTCTCTACACACAGGTGGAATTCATTTTGACGGATTCTGCCAAATTGCCCTCAAAGAGGTTCTTCCACCTTAGACTCTGCCTCCCAACAACACACGTGTGACTGTGTCCCTCTACCATACGGCATGTGCCCTTTGATGACGGGCTTCTTTTTACTCAGCACAGGCCCATCCATGTTGTGGTGCATGTCAGCCATGATGCTTCTGCATCTACCCATCCACCTTCTTCTCTGAATACCCCAATCCCCATCATAATTCAGGAGTTGTGGGTTTCCTCCTCTCCTCCAGAACCACAGTTCTGGCTGAGAGACCACCTGCCACCATGGCTTGAAAACCCTTTGCAACTCTGTAGCCAGTGGAGTTAGACCCATATTCCTGGCCTATGTGGAGAGACATTAAGTCATAAGTTAATACACAGTTTTAGAAAACATGATTTTGTTCACATTATAATGTTCTAGCGCTCCAAAGAGAATATTTTTAGTAAGAGAAATTTTTTTTAAAGGAAACAGCACTTCTGTATTTTTGGATGTGCTTACTAAGAAAATAATATGTAATAATTAAAGAATTAGTTCTAAGGAATTTTGTTCCAAGATTAAGTTTAGTTTATACTAGAAAAGTAAACTTCAGCCCCCTGTTAACCTCTTATCCTTAGAAAGGCTGAATTCAGCCTCTAAAATCATAAGTGTCTTGTGGTGAAATTACTTCTCTTTCCCAAATGGACGATATTTCATGAGTAAGGGAATGGAAAAAATGCTCAGTGCAGATTCACTTGGGACTGTAATTATCTAAATAGGCTCACATGCTGTCCTGGGGGACGGAGAGGGAACAGCAGCAAATATCAAGGCCTCCTTTTTCTGAATGGTGACATGATGGCTTTGGTGTTGGGTGGTGTCATGCTGCAGCACCAGCTGCTGGCATATTTGACCTACTGAGTCAAACCTGAGACAAACGGCCCATGGGAGGAAAGACGACAAAGAAACTTAAATCACCCTCAGTCTCCAGAAGGAGGACACGTTCTGACAATATTTTATTTTGAAAATCCTGTTTTTCCTTCCTAAAGCTGGCATGACATCTAGTATTTCTATTTATATGGAAAAAAGTGTAAATGGGCAGTTTTGATATAGATACTTCCTTCAAATGACGCTGGAAAGCCAGAAAATGAGGCTAACTCATGGTAAGAACCTTTCTTTTGTTTTAGAGACAGGGTCTCACTCTGTCACCGAGGCAGTAGTGCAGTGGCATGATCATGACTCACTGCAGCCTTGAACTTCTGGGCTCAAGCAATCCTTCTGTCTCAACTTTCCAAAGCGTTGGGATTACAGACATGAGCCACTGTGCCCGGCCAAGAACCTTTAACTGGAGTCCAGTGCAGTCTCTAAAAGCCCACCTTGTGAGTCCCCTCACTTTCTCCCACATTTCACAGGAATTTGGCAGGTCAGAAGAGGCACAATGTGGGCCCTTAGCCTGCAGGGTGGCTGAGTTTCCGGTCTTCCTAGATGCTCCTCTCAGCCACCGGCCACCACCTCCAGGGGGCATGCTGGCCTCTGCTCTCCCTCCACAGCCCACTGGAGCCTCCGCTCTTATCCTCTGCCTCTGTTATCCTCTTGCCTCTAATTCTACAACCTTGATGAGTTGCCTTGATGATGGCCTGGAGCCCACATTGCTGGCAACCAAAACACTCTCCCCTTTTCCTTAAGGACACGAAGGACCTAATCTTCCCGTATTTCAGGTAGGTGGTAGTGAGGGCAGGGAGGGGAGCTGCGTTCCATGCCTCTGAGAAAAGGGAGGATAAATAAAACATCTAAGTACTCCTATTAGAAAAAGCCAGTCTTTCCACACAGGCCAGGATTATGGGTCTAACTCCGCTGGCTACAGAGTCAGTACAGGTTTTCAAGCCATAGTGGTAGGCGGTCTCCCAGCTGTGTTTCTGGAAGACACAAGGAAAACCACAACTCCTGAACTAGGATGGGGTAGGGGCTACGGAGAGAAGAAGGTGGACAGATGGATGCAGAAGCAGCGTGGCTGACACACGCCCCAACACAGATGGGCCTAAGGAAGCTGTGCTGAGTGAAATCAGCCCCTCATCAAAGGGCACATGCGGTGTGAGTCCACGTCTATGAGGTGCCCAGAATGGGTAAATTCAGAGACAAAGCAAAATGGTGGTTAGGGGTTGAAGACCGGGAATAGGAAGCTCCCTCCCCAGTGTTTAAAGCATACAGAGCTCAGTTTGGGATGATGAAAACATTTTGGAAATAGAAAGTAGTGATGACTGCACAACCATGTGAACGTGCTTCATGCCTCTGAACTGTACACTTAAAACAGTTAAAATGATAAATTCTTGTTATGTGTATTTTACAATAAAAAATAAATAAAGAGGCCGGGCGTGGTGGCTCATATCTGTAATCCCAGCACTTCGGGAGGCCGAGGCAGATGGATCACGAGGTCTGGAGGTCGAGACCATCCTGGCTAACACAGTGAAACCCCGTCTCTACTAAAAATATGAAAAATTAGCCAGGCGTGGTGGTGCACGCCCGTAGTCCCAGCTACTAGGGAGGCTGAGGCAGGAGAATCACTTGAACCCGGGAGGCAGAGGTTGCAGTGAGCCAAGATTGTGCCACTGTACTCCAGCCTGGGCGACAGAGAAAGACTCCGTCTCAAAATAAATAAAAATAAAAAAAGAAAAACCAGATCAAGAACAACAAGGCTAAAGGGACAGACCACGCCCCTCTTCATCAAAGCACCAATAAAAGGAGCTAAGTGAACTTCATTTGGCAAAAACGGATCCTCCCTGTGAAATTAGAAGTGTTTTCATTTAGCAGCATCATTTAAAAAAATGTTTAAAAAGTACTTTAAGCATATGCCCTACTTCGCAAGCTGGTAAGCAATCTTGCCCAATTAGGATGAAGGGTTTCCAGTTATCCCTTTAAATAGCTGCTAAGTAGTTCTGCTTGGCCATGTGGCTGTTTCTGTCCAGGGGAACCCTGGCGCTGCTAGGCTCAGTGTTGCAGAAGCGTCAGCTCACAAATCCAGGCAAGATCCCATGCGTGCTGGTGACTAGGCATCAGATGCCACAAAACGCTGGTGTGGATCCCTGAGCGGGCCACATCTGTCCTTCTCTGTTCACCCTGGTTTCTCACCGCCCTCACCCTTGTAGGCTGCTGTCCGACCCCAACTCCTCCAACTCACAGTGCTCCAGATCTGCTCTGGGTCTTTGGAGTCCCTCTTGCTCCCAGGCACAGCCCTGACTTTTGAGTGCTCCCCTGGCGACAGTGGCCAGTGGTCTTGGCCCTTGCCCAAGGCTCTTCCTCCATTCTACCCTAGAAAGCAGCCCTGGCAAGAGCACCTGGGCCCAGACCCTGCCTCCAACTCTGATTTCTAACCTCAAAACATAGATGGAAACAGTAATATTGGTATTGCAAAATGTATACTTCAAGATTAAAAGGACTAACTAAAATTAAAGGTAAAAGCCACCACCAAGAAGATAGGGCTAGAAACCTTTATGTATGGTTCGACATAATCTCTTAGAAATCAAAGCTTTTTACACAAACCACAGTTCAGAGGAAGAGACTTCAACACATCCGACTCAGAATTCAGCAGATCAAGCGGCCACAGGGGATGAGAGACACTGGATCTGCCACTGAGGCACCGGGGTCGATGGCGGGCCTCAGACCACTCACACCCTGAGCCCCGAGAACAGGAGGAGGCCTAGCCTTACTTCTGCACAACTAACAGGTCCTTTCAGAAGACTTTCACCAAAACAAGGGTATCAGTCCCAGGGAAAACTTCAGTCTTCACTGTTAGAGAACACAAAAATTGTCTGGAACTTTTAAATGAGAAGTTTCCCAACTTCCAAGCAATTTTTTTTTTTTTTAAAGTTTCAAGTTTTCGTTTGTCAGACTGGAGAGTCAGAGTCTTATAACCAGAGTATAAAACATCTTTGGCCGGGTGCGGTGGCTGATGCCTGTAAACCCAGCACCTTGGGAGGCCGAGGCAGGCGGATCACAAGGTCAGGAGATCAAGACCATCCTGGCTAACATGGTGAAACCCCGTCTCTACTAAAAATACAAAAAATTAGCCGGGCGTGGTGGTGGGCGCCTGTAGTCCCTGCTACTCGGGAGGCTGAGGCAGGAGAATGGCGTGAACCCAGGAGGCGGAGCTTGCAGTGAGGGGAGATCGTGCCACTGCGCTCCAGCCTGGGTGACAGAGCAAGACTCCGTCTCAAAAAAAAAAAAAAAGAAAATCCTTTGGCTGAGAATTAATTCTGTCACCAATACTACTAGAGAAGGCAGTAAAATAAATATTACTTTTTTTTTTTATTTTTTAAAGTCAGGGACTCACTCTGTTGCCCACACTGGAGTGCAGTGGCATGATCACAGCTCATTGCAACCTTGAACTCCTGGGCTCAAGCAATCCTCCCACCTCAGCCTCACAAGTACCTGAGACTACAGGCATGTGCCACTATGCCCAGCTATTTTTCTAAAACATTTTTGTAAGAGGAGGTCTTGCTATGTTGACCTGATTGGTCTCAAACTCCTGGCCTCAAGCGATTCTCCCACCTTGGCCTCCTAAAGCCCTGAGATTATAGGTGTGAGCTACTGCACTTGGCCCTTATTGCATTTTTGACTATATAAAAAGATGATACAGGATTTTAGAGCTCACTAACATCGTAACTAAAAAAATCAGGCCTTATTAACACAAAACTTTATTTATACTTAAAGCAAGCAACCACAAGCCAAATGTCTCTTCATCAATAAGAGTTATAAAAAATAATATGCTTCATATTAAATATTAACCATAATCAAGTAGAGATTTCCCACAACAGTAATACACCATAACCAAATTGGAATTTTGCCCCCAGATATGTAAGAATTTTTTCCTACTAGAAAATCTATTTATGCTATTAATTACATAAATAAGTTTAAAAAGAAACCATATGAATAGCTCATTAACTGCCAAAAAGGAATTTGCTATAATTCTTATCTATTTCTGGATTTAAAAAAACTCAGTAAATTCAAAACAGATGTAAGCTTCCCTTAATTGATAAACTATTCATCAGAAAACAATACAAAAATCTTAAAGATATTGCTATTAATGGAAAATAAAACAAGAATGTCCAGCATTAATAAGTATTAGTTGTTTCAGACTGTCATGAATGCAATAAACCCAAAAAAGTACAAGAGGTATAAATATTGGAAAGAAGAAATAAAATTATTTGTAGTAATTTATCTGGAACACCAACAAGTATAATGAAATAATGAAAAATGCCAGGGCATAAAAATCATGACGACAATGCATATCACAGCACTGGCTGACACTCACAGGGCCCTGGCTGGGACCCAGGATGTTGTGCCGCATTCAGATCATGCTCTCATTTCTCTGCTCAGCAGCAACCTGTGGCAGAGCACCAGACCCACAGAGCCACAGAAGGGAACAGCAAGTCCAGACACCACTCAGTTCCCATTCATACCTAGGACTATCAGGTAGTTCAAGAGAGATGATGAAATAAGTGATGCTGAAATAAATGGCCATCCAGAACAAAGGAGTATGTGTATTTATATAATGTGTGTGTGTGTGTGTGTGTGTGTGTGTGTATACACACACACACACACACAAAGGATATCTGGAACCTCTGTGACAGATATGATTAATATCCTTCAGGAGAAACGAATAAAGCGCTCTGAGGCCTCCAGGCAGATAGCAATGAAACGCATGCACTCACAGTCTCATTCCATTGTGAAGCCCCACGAAACCACAGAAAGGAATTTCTTTTTTTCCCCCAAAAGCATTAACTGACAACGAAAAAGAAAACAGGAAAGAAAATAAAACTTGGCAGCTGAAAAGTTGATGGACAAGAAATAACTAACATAACAGACCTAAGCAAACTAAATCCCAAGCCAGCAGTGGGGAAGGGCAAAGACCTGACTATGGTACAAAATCCCCCAAAGGCTCAGGAAATTTGTGGCAAGAGGTGCTTCAGGTCGGGGGATGAAGGTGGTTAAAAACAGGAGGACTGGGTTAGAGATGTGTTCACAGAGCAGCCAAAGCTCCAGACACTCTCTCTTCCCTGCACACCAGAGTATAAAATGAAGCCTCTGGACCAGGTGGATATTGAGCAGTTGAGGCACAAGTGATACACTGAAAACAAGGGAATTAAACGAATTTACAAGGTGAGGGCTGAGATAGTCATTCTCCACCCCCAGGCCTCTTCTCTGACTGATCCCATAATCCTGGCTGCCAAGTCTAAGCCCTCAAGCAGGAGACTGGAAGGCCCTTCTCTGGGGAATGGATGAGCCCAAGAGGAAGGACCTAAAGACACTGACATCAGGAGCTTGTCATGGACATGCCACAGGAACAGCTCTCTACTATGAAGACCATAGTTGCAGGCCGCATACACAGGCCCAGGCAGGGGTCAGCTTTGCAGAGCCTCCACCTAAACATGAGCAGTCAAACCTCAAGCATAAAGATAGAGAACTAAAGATACCAGTGGAACAAAGGAACTGTAGGAAACAACCCAGGTAGGGAGATTTGGTGATAGAATCAACCTACAATCTTCAGCGAAATTCGTATGTGACATTACATCTAGAAAACAAGAACAGGATGCTATAAAAAACTGAGGGAACAAAAAAATCCTAGAAGTTAAATATATGATAGCAAACATATATGATGGAATTTTATTCAGCCTTAAAAAGAAATGAAATTCTGACATGCTATAATGTGGATGAACCTTGAGGTCATTATGCTAAGCGAAATAAGCCAGACAAAAAGGACAAATACTATATGATTTCACTTACATGAGGTACCTAGAGTAGTCAAATTCATAGTGATACAAAGTAGAATGGTGGCTGGGGGACAAGGGGAATGGCAGGTCAGTATTTAATGGGTAACAGTTTCAGTTTTGCAAAATGAAAAAGTTCTGGAGATTGGTTACACAACAATGTGAATATACTCAACAATACTGAACTGTACACTTAAAAATGGTTCAGATGGTAAATTTTATGTTATACGTATTTTGCCACAATTAAAGTAAGAAAACTGAAGTGATGCAAAAACAAAAAAAAGATAGCAGAAATGAAGCATTTAATAGAATTTGGAAGATTAAACTTAGGGAAGCCTCAAGTTTAATCCCAGAAAACAAAACTATAAGGCAAAGAGACAGAAAAACAGGAGAAAAAAATATGATAATTAGGGGACCAGGGTAAAGGGAGTTCCAGAAAAAGAAAACAGAGTAGAAGAAATTACCAATGAAATAATTCCAGAAAATAAAGACATGAATTACTGTATTGAAAGGGTGCAGTGAGTGACTAGCATGACAAAAAAAAAAAAAAAGAAAAAAGAAAAGAAAGAAAGAAAGAAAAAAAAAAGACCTTAAGCTATACAGCAAGGCAAACCACACTGGAAGTTTAGAATCCTGGCAACAGCCTGAACCTCCTATGAGCTTTTGGAGAGAAAAAAGTCACAAAGGACTGGAATTATTTTCTTCTTGCTGCAACACTGGCAAATAGAAGACAATGGAACAATTCCCACAAAATTATAAAGGGAAATAGTTGCTGACCTAAAATGTTATACCCAAGGAAACCATCAAGCATTAGGGTAAAACAAAGATGCAAGGCCATAAAATTTTACCTTCTATGAACCCATTCTCAGGGAGATACTGGAGGAAAAAAAAAGAAAAAGAATAGGATGTAGGACACAGAAGATCAAAAAAGAGAGAGGCAAAGAACTAACAGGGAATCTGTGCACCAGGCACAGAGGGCAGCCATGATGGAGGAGGTCAGAGGCTCCAGAGAGATCTCAAGATGACACTGCTGTGATCCCTGACCCCTGTGATATGTGGGGATATCTCACAAAGAGTTGGGGTTGAATTAGTGACATTTACATAGAAAACTAAGTAAACAGGCTGGGTGTGGTGGCTCACGCCTGTAATTCCAGCACTTTGGGAGGCCGAGGCGGGTGGATTACCTGACGTCAGAAGTTCGAGACCATCCTGGCCAACATGGTGAAACTCCGTCTACTAAAAATACAAAAATTAGCTGGGTGTGGTGGCATGTGCCTGTAATCCCAGCTACTTGGGAGGCTGAGGCAGGAGAATCACTTGAACCCAGGAGTAGGAGGATGCAGTGAACCGAGATCGTGCCATAGCACTCCAGCCTGGCGACAGAGTGAGACTCCGTCTCAAAAAAAAGCAAAAGAAAACTAAGTAAACAGACAAAAATAATTTTAAGTGGAGGGTGAATAAAAGGTTGTGTAAAAGAAAAAGCAGCAGCAGTGTATACTACTACATGGCTAATCTATGAATGACACTCACAGCATCTTAATGTGAACTCCAGGTACACAAAACCACAATGAGAGAACGCAAAGACAGGAAGCACGGAGGCTGGGGGCTGAAAAGAAATCCTCATCTTTCACAGTAGGAGATCAAAATATAACATCTAAAATGAAAAACTAGAAACAGCAGTGATAAGCATGCTATTTAGCAATGTAGAGGTAAATGCCAAAAAAATCAGCAAGGTGACTTGAAAACGCTTGACTATGGGGAGCGGGAAGCAGAGCTCTCAGGCCAGGCTGACCGCTTTGCTCATCAGGATCTCTGCAGACTTGATTATGGGAACACAGAGCTTTCTTAGAAATAAAAAACAACACAAAACAAAAAACTGTTACAAATTTTGAGGAAAAAAGAAGAACATGCAAACAGAAAAGCAAGCAAAGCAACTGTACTAGTAATTCACAGAAGAAAGATGTAAATGACTAACAAACTGATAAAAAGTGCTTCACTTTCATCCACAATGAAGAATTAAAAGGAATGCCATTTTCTCCTCTTAGGCTGAACAAGATCAAATATGTATCCAGTATTGGGAATGTGTATAATCTTGCACATTGTGTAGAGAAGCGTAAACTAAATAGCCTTACAGGAGAGCAATTTGAGAATATATATTAAAATGGAAAGTATAACACAACCTTTTGCAAAGCAAATTCACTTCTAGGAACTTATTTTACAAAAATTTAGCAGTATTTCACAACTATTTAGCACAAGCATAAAAAGGCACGATAAGTGATATTCATCATTATGGCCATTTTTTATCCCCAGAGATGGTGTCTCTCTTTGTTGCTCAGACTGGAGTAGGGTAGCACGATCACAGTTCACTGCAGCCTTGAACTCTTGGGCTCAAGTCATTCTCCATCTTTAGCCTCTTAAGTAGCTGGTACTACAGGTTCATGCCACCACGCCTGCTTATTATTTATTTTTTTTTTTGGTAGACACAGGGTCTCATGATGTTGCCCAGGCTGGTTTCAAACTCCTGGCCTTAAATAATCTTCCCATCTTGGCCTCCTAATGTGCTGAGATTACAGGGGTGAGCCACTGTGCCCAGCCACGACACTTTTAAAAAATAAGGTAAAATACATATATTTTAATTTTATTTTATTAAAAAAAATTAATCCCCCTCCCTACCTTTCCCTTATGAGTCTCTAAAGTCTACCATACCACTCTGTATGCCTTTGCATACCCATAGCTTAGCTCCCACTCATGAGTGAGAACATATGATTTTTGATTTTCCACTCCTGTGTTACTTCATTTAGAATAATGGCCTCCAGCTCCATCCAAGTTGTTGCAAAAGACATTATTTCATTCATTCCATGGTGTGTGTGTGTGTGTGTGTGTATGTATATATGTGTGTGTGTGTATACATATATATACATATATATATATACACACACACATATATATATATATATACACATATATATACAGTCACATTTTCTTTATCCACTCATTAGTCAATGGGCACTTAGATTGGTTACACATCTTTGCAACTGTGAATGTGCTGCTATAAACATGCATGTGTGTCTTTTCCATATAATGACTTCTTTTCCTTTGGGTAGATACCCAGTAGTAGGATTGTTGAATTAAACGGTAGATCTATTTCTAGTTCTTTAAGGAATAGCCATACTATTTTCCAAAGAGGTTGTATTAATTTACATTACCACCAGTAGTGTATAAGCGTTCCCTTTTCCCCACATCCACGCCAACATTTATTGTTTCTTGACTTTTTAATAATGGCCATTCTTGCAGGAGTAACGTGGTCTCTCATTGTGGTTTTATTTTGCATTTCCCTAATGATTAGCGATGTTGAGTATTTTTTTCACATGTTTCTTGGCCATTTGTATATCTTCTTTTGAGAAATGTCTATTCATATCCTTTGCCCACTTTCTGATAGGATTACTTGTTTTTTACTTGCTGATTTGTTTGAGTTCCTTGTAGATTCTGGATACTAGTCCTTTGTTGGACTGTAGTTTGCAAATATTTTCTCCCATTCTGTGGGTTGTCTGTTTACTCTGATTATTATTTCTTTTGCTGTAAAGAGCTTTTTAGTTTAATTAGGTCCCATTTACTTATTTTTGTTTTTGTTGCATTTGCTTTTGGGGTCTTAGTCATGGATTCTTCGCCTAGGCTGAAGTCTAGAAGAGTTTTCCAAATTGTCTTCTGAAATTTTTATGGTTTCAAGTCTTATATTTAAGTCTTTGATACATCTTGAGTTGATTTTTTGTATAAGTTGATAGATACATAAATCAATAAATGTGACATCGCATAAACAGAATTAAAAACAAAAACCATATGATCATCTCAATAGATGCGGAAAGAGCATTCAACAAAGTTCAGCATCTCTTTATGATAAAAGCTCTTAACAACTAGGCATAAAAGAACTTGCCTCAAAATAATATATATGTGGATATATGACAAACCCACAACCAGCGTAATACTGAATGGGGAAAAGTTGAACACATTCCCCATGAGAACAGGAACAAGACAATGATGCCCACTTTCACCAATCCTATTCAACAGTTCTGAAACTCCTAGCCAGAGCAATTAGGCAAGAGAAATAAATAAAGGGTATCCGGATTGGAAAAGAGGAAGTCATACTATCTCTATTTGCAGATGATATGATCATATACCTAGAAAATCCTAAAGACTCTTCCATGAGACTCTTAGATTTCATAAACAAATACAGTCAAGTCTCAGGTTACAAAATCAATGTACACAAAGAAGTAGCACTGCTATACACCAACAACGACGAAGCTGAGAATCAATCAAGAACTCAATCCCTTTTACAGCAGCTGCAAAACAAAAACAAAAACAAAAACCTAGGAATATACTTAACCAAGGAGGTGAAAGATCTGTACAAGAAGAACCACAAAACACTGCTGAAATTATAGATGACACAAACAAATGGAAACACATCCCATGCTCATAGAATCAACATTGTGAAAATGATCATACTGCCCAAAGCAATCTACAATCTGCTGAATGAAATTCCCATCCAAATACCATCATTTTTCACAGAATTAGAAAAAACAATCCCAAAATTCATATGGAACCAAAAAAGAGCCTGAATAGCCAAAGCGATCCTAACCAAAAAGAACAAATCTGGAGGCATCATATTACTGGACTTCAAATTATACTAGTTACCAAAACGGCATGGTACTGGTATAAAAGACCAATGGAACCAAACTGTATATTTAAACCAGTTTAAAGTGTATAGTTCAGTGGCTTTTAGTACATTCCCAATGTTGTGCGACCATCACTAGTCCAGAACATTTTCATCACACAATAGAAAACTGTACCCACTAAGCAGCCACCCCACTCTCTATTCCCCTCTCCCCTCAGCCCCTGGCAAACACTCATCTGCTTTCTGTTTCTGTGGATTTGCCTATTCTGGATTTTTCTTATAAATGGACTCGAACAAGATGTAGCCTTTGCACCCAGCTCTTTCACCTGGCATCACGTCTTCAGCGAACATTCATACTGCAGCCTGTGTCAGTGCCTTACTCCTTTTTAAGGCTCAATAAAAAGCCCATGTTCAATGATCAGAGGGAGGACCTACAGGACGCAGCATGAAGTCATGGCCACAGCTATGCACAAATTTATTACAGTGAAAGGACACAAAGCCATATACGCAAAGGGAAAAGGCGCAGGGCGTTAAGTCCAGAGGCATGAGCTTCCAAGAGTCCTCTCCAGCAGTCACGGGCACGTTTAATTCCCCCAAGGAATTAATTAATTAATTAATGAGGGAAGCTCATTAGGGACTCTGCATCCAGCGTTTTTATCAGGGGCTGGTCACATGGGCCCCTTCTGCCCAGCATATACCACATTCCAGACTCCTCACAGATAAGCCGCTGTTCAGCACAAACCACGTGTTTGCACAAACAGTTTCAGAACCGTGAGCCCCTCTCATCAGTTCTGGGAATGGTGTGAACCCTCCTGTAATCCTAGTTCTCAGACTCCAGCCAAGGGCCAGCCTTGCAAGCAGCCTTGCTAAGGAGAGCCATCCCAGGCCTCCTGGGTTAACTATTTTCTGCACAGAGGCAAAAACATGCCTGCCAATAGCATCTGGGCTTTGTATTTTAAGGTGATCTTACTCAGTTTTATTTCCAAAATTCCCGAGGAAGAGGCTGATGGGCCCAGCTTAGACTTGTTGGGGCTACTTCTCTGGTGTTTGTGTACATTAAAGTGGGAGAACGCGTCCCTCCCCATCTGCTGTGCGAACAATCTGACAGGTCTCTACACTGTTTGATATTTTTGTTCAGAAAGCCATTTTTATTCCTCATAGTTTCATACCTCTGGGAGTGCACACACCACTAAGAGTGGGAGCGGGTGCCCCAAAGCACACTGGCTCATGACAGAAAACCAACTAGAAACATGGCCATCAGGAGAGGACTGTGTCTCCCACAACACGGGAGAGCCCTTCGTCTTTATTTTCAAACAAACTCCACTGTTAGGTTGTAGCACAATGCCTGTGCCACTTCAGAAGCCACTGTGTCAGAAACGGCACAGAAGCAGGGAGAGCAGGTAGAAAAGGCCTCAATAGAGTGGAAGCCCACAGTGCCGCGCATCTGCTATTGGGGCTCTATCTTCACAACGAAGTCAGGGAAAGGACCACTCTGACGGCAATAAATAAGTCAAAGGATTTATGTTTTTTGAATTGTGCATGTAGCCCTCAAGAGACCTCTCTCAAAAAAGACAAGAAACAGAGCCCCAGGTGGGCTGGTATTTCAGGGGTTGCTTGCTGTTGGCTAAGCAGATTTTAGTGCTTGTCTGTGAGAACTCAGAGACAGAAAAACAATTTGCCTGCAACGTGGGTGTTCTTTCCAGATTTAAAACAAGATTCAGTTTGGATAACACTCTTGTCATCCAGGATGGAGTGCAGTAGCGCGATCTTGGCTCACTGCAACCTCTGCCTCCTGGGCTCAAGCTATCCTCCTGCCTCAGCCTTCCAAGTAGCTGGGACTACAGGTATGTGCCACCACAATCAGCTAACTTTATTGGTATGCCCAGCCTGGTCTCGAGCTCCTGGGCTCAAGAGATCTGTCTGCCTTGGCCTCCCAAAGTGCTGGGATTACTGGTGTGAGCCACCCTGCCAGGCCCCAAATAGGATTTGAACTACAGGAGATACTTGCATGTATCTTCATCTAAGGAACATGTGTATTAGGTTGGTGCAAAAGTAATTGCAGTTAATGGGAAAAAACGCAATTACTTTACACCAACCTAATATATATCTTCATCTAAGTAAATTTTTTCTATAAAGGGTCAAATTGTAAATAATTTCAGTTTGGTAGGTCATCTAACTGAAAAATTTCTGTTGCAACTACTCAGCTCTGCAGTTGCAGCAAAAAACAGTTCTAGAGAATATGTAAATGAATGTGTGGAGCTGTGTGCTTACGAAACTTATTTACAAAAACATGTGGTGGGCTGGATTTGCCATTCATCTGACTCAAGACTTAAATCTAGTTTAACAGTATCACTCACATCATTACTATTTCAAATTGCAAAAGCTTTGATGATATAAAATGATCACTTTTATTATCTTTATAAAATAAGAAGGGACCATGTCAAAATGAGAAAATTCTGAGTTATAACACAGTATATGCAATTCAGGCTAAGGGCATTTTTAGGTAAGCCACTTGGAAAAATGCCATTTTTCTGAAAAATGTTTTTATCACTCTTTTATGTGTGTATTTTAATTCAAAAAGTAACAGTTTAGGAATAACTAACTGACTTGTGAATTGTCACAGGGCTGTGAAGTGGGATAGCAGCACTGTGGATTGTGCCCAGCTCAAGAGGCCCCTCAGGTCCATTCCTGACGCTGTCATCCCAGGAGAGCACCCTCCTCATGGGTTTTATTTCTCCCTTTTAAATCTTTTCTCAGAAAGCATCTGGTTTAATTATTAGCCACAATACTTCTTCATGGCCTTTCCTTCAGATTTTCCACCTCCAAATTATAGGTCATAATATAACCTTTGATACAAAGAATATGCTTGGATTATGAATGACGATAACAAAATAAATACTTGTGAATCCTGCCTCCCAAGTAAAAACTAGATTACTAATAACTTGCATCTATCTCTTCTACTTTATTGTTTTGCTTCAATAATAATAATAATTATTATTATTATTATTATTTGAGATGGAGTCTCGTTCTGTCACCCAGGCTACAGTGCAGTGGCATGATTCTGGCTCACTGCCACCACTGCCTCCTGAGTTTGAGCAATTCTAGTGCCTCAGCCTCCCGAGTAGCTGGGATTACAGTTGTGCGTCACCACGCCTGGCTAATTTTTATATTTTTAGTAGAGACGGGTTTTCACCATGTTGGCCAGGCTAGTCTCGAACTCCTGACCTGAGGGGATCCACCCACCTCGGGCTCCCAAAGTGCTGGGATTGCAGGCATGAGCCACTGTGCCTGGCCTTCAATTATTTTTTAATATACAAAGTAATACATGTAAATTTTTTAAATTATAGTTTGATAATATTTATAATTTAAATGGCAGCTCCTACTCCACCCGATGTACTCCCTCCCAACATCTTCCTCATCCCTCTACTTAAGCCCTTCAAACTATATTTATTATTTTTAAATAAATAACTTATTGGTACATAAATCACACACCACAAAACATACCCTTTAAAAACGTGCTATTTGGTGGGGTTTTTTTGTATTTTTTTTTTGGAGATGGAGTCTCACTCTGTCGCCCAGGCTGGAGTGCAGTGGCATGATCTCAGCTCACTGCAACCTCCACCTCCTGGGTTCATGCCATTCTCCTGCCTCAGCCTCCCAAGCAGCCGGGACTACAGGTGCCTGCCACTACGCCCAGCTATTTTTTTTTTTTTTGTATTTTTAGTAGAGAACGGGGTTTCACTGTGTTAGCCAGGATGGTCTCGATCTCCTGACCTTGTTATCCGCCCGCCTCGGCCTCCCAAAGTGCTGGGATTACAGGCGTGAGCCACCACACCCGGCCATGAATAAACAATTTCTTATACAGAATACAAAAAGCACTAACCATTAGAGGAAAGACTGATAAATTAGACTTAATTAAAATTAAGAACTTTGTTCATCAAAAGAAGACATTTTTTTTTTTTAATTGATCATTCTTGGGTGTTTCTCGCAGAGGGGGATTTGGCAGGGTCACAGGACAATAGTGGAGGGAAGGTCAACAGATAAACAAGTGAACAAAGGTCTCTGGTTTTCCTAGGCAGAGGACCCTGCAGCCTTCCGCAGTGTTTGTGTCCCTGGGTGCTTGAGATTAGGGAGTGGTGATGACTCTTAACGAGCATGCTGCCTTCAAGCATCTGTTTAACAAAGCACATCTTGCACCGCCCTTAATCCATTCAACCCTGAGTGGACACAGCACATGTTTCAGAGAGCACAGGATTGGGGGTAAGGTCACAGATCAACAGGATCCCAAGGCAGAAGAATTTTTCTTAGTACAGAACAAAATGAAAAGTCTCCCATGTCTACCTCTTTCTACACAGACACGGCAACCATCCGATTTCTCAATCTTTTCCCCACCTTTCCCCCCTTTCTATTCCACAAAACCGCCATTGTCATCATGACCCGTTCTCAATGAGCTGTTGAGTACACCTCCCAGACAGGGTGGTGGCCGGGCAGAGGGGCTCCTCACTTCCCAGTAGGGGCGGCCGGGCAGAGGCGCCCCTCACCTCCCGGACGGGGCGGCTGGCCGGGCAGAGGGGCTCCTCACTTCCCAGTAGGGGCGGCCGGGCAGAGGCGCCCCTCACCTCCCGGACGGGGCGGCTGGCCGGGCGGGGGGCTGACCTCCCCACCTCCCTCCCGGATGGGGCGGCTGGCTGGGCGGCGGGCTGACCCCCCCGCCTCCCTTCCCGACGGGGTGGCTGGCCGGGCGGGGGGCTGACCCCCGCCTCCCTCCCGGACGGGGTGGCTGCCGGGCGGAGACGCTCCTCACTTCCCAGACAGAGTGGCCGCCGGGCAGAGGGGCTCCTCACTTCTCAGACGGGGCGGTTGCCAGGCAGAGGGTCTCCTCACTTCTCAGATGGGGCGGCCGGGCAGAGACACTCCTCACATCCCAGATGGGGCGGCAGAGCAGAGGAGCTCCCCACATCTCAGACGATGGGCGGCCTGGCAGAGACGCTCCTCACTTCATAGATGGGATGGCGGCCGGGCAGAGATGCTCCTCACTTTCCAGACTGGGCAGCCAGGCAGAGAGGCTCCTCACATCCCAGACAATGGGCGGCCAGGCAGAGATGCTCCTCACTTCCCAGACGGGGTGGCGGCCGGGCAGAGGCTGCAATCTCGGCACTTTGGGGGGCCAAGGCAGGCAGCTGGGAGGTGGAGGTTGTAGCGAGCCGAGATCACGCCACTGCACTCCAGCCTGGGCACCATTGAGCACTGAGTGAACGCGACTCCGTCTGCCATCCCGGCACCTCGGGAGGCCGAGGCTGGCGGATCACTCGCAGTTAGGAGCTGGAGACCAGCCCGGCCAACACATCGAAACCCCGTCTCCACCAAAAAAATACGAAAACCAGTCAGGCGTGGCGGCGCGCGCCTGCAATCGCAGGCACTCGGCAGGCTGAGGCAGGAGAATCCGGCAGGGAGGTTGCAGTGAGCTGAGATGGCAGCAGTACAGTCCAGCTTTGGCTCGGCATCAGAGGGAGACTGTGGAAAGAGAGGCAGAGGGTCCAGCTTTGGCTCGGCATCAGAGGGAGACTGTGGAAAGAGAGGCAGCGGCAGAGGCAGAGGCAGCGGCAGCGGCAGAGGCAGCGGCAGCGGCAGAGGCAGAGGCAGAGGGAGAGCCAAAAGAAGAAAATTTAAGGCACACTGGAAGAAGGTATTTGCCATATATGTATTTGACAAAGGACTTACATGGAGAATATATAAAGAATTCTTAAAAGCAATAAGGAAGAGAATGACATCTGATTCTTAAAATGGACAAAAGTTCATATGCTGTTTACAGAGCCAATACCCCCGCTCCCCACCACCAAACAAACAAAGTGGGCAAAAAACCTGAGCAGGTGCATCCCAAAAGGGACTATCCACATGGCCAATTTGCATATGAAAAGGTGCTCAATCTCCACTGCCAAAAGAAAAATGCAAATCAAAACCTCAATGAGACACTACTACACATTACCCACATGACCTCCAGTAAAAAGACTGATGCTACCAAGTGTTGATGAAAATGCACAGAAATTGACCTCTCATAAATTGCTGAAAAGACATAAATTATACAAATATTTCAGGCATCTGTTTGGTACTATCCTAGAATGTATGCATACCCTAAGGCCCAGGAATTCCATTCTGAAGGATGTAACCAACAGGAACAAGCACATATGTGTTTCAAGAGACATCGACAAGAACATAACAGCGCTATTCACCTTAGCCCCAAACTGGACTTGACTCAACGATCTATCAATAATAGAATGGGTAACTAAATAATGCTATAATCCTACAATGGGTTACTAAATGGTGAAGAAAATGAACAAATTACAGTATAGGTGACAACATGAATAAATCTCACTGATTCAATACTGTGTAAAAAAAAGCTCCCCTCCCTCTGTCTCTGTACAGGGGAGCCTCCATTTTCTGCCTTCTCCCATCCTTCTTGCCTATTAAACTTTCCGCTCCCTAAAACCAAAAAAAAAAAAAGATACATGCAAAATTACATAGTTTTTAAAATTCCATTTATAATAAAATTCAAATGCAAGCAATACTAACATAATATTCAGGGCTGCATACTTTTGTGAAAATCCATAAGGAGAATAATTGAGGACAATGGTTATCTTAGGGAGTAGTGAGGGGTTATGATGGGAAAGTTGTAGGAAAGGTCTGTGGGAGCTGGCGATGCTCTTCTTCTGGATGCGAGTGGTGACTGTGTGACTTTTCACTTCCTCATAGTTCAAGAGACTATCATTTGAGGCCAGGAGTGGTGGCTCATGCCTGTAATCCCAGGACTTTGGGAGGCTGAGGTAGGTGGATCACCTGAGGACAGGAGTTTGAGACCAGCCTGGCCAACACGGTGAAACCCCATCTCTAGTAACAATACAAAAATTAACCAGGTGTGGTGGCTCACGACTGTAATCCCAGCTACTCCGGAGGTCGAGGCAGGAGAATTGCTTGAACCCGGGAGGCAGAGGTTGCAGTGAGCCGAGATCACGCCACTGCACTCCAGCCTGGGCAACAGAATGAGACTCCGTCTCTTAAACAACAACAACAAAAAAAACACTATAGTTTATATTTTGTGCATTTTTATCTTTGTGTATAGTGTTTCACACGCACAAAAAACTTAAACTTATACCAGGTATTAATTCCTTTTCTGAACAGAAAACAGATACTGTCCTAGTAAACAAAAACTCTTTAAACTAAATGCAAACAACTCTGAAAGCAACAGAAAGAAAATATTTGGAGAAGTTTTGGAGGCTCATTTATGTAGGGCCTTTATATGAATTAGGCAAAGCACTCTTCTTTGGGAGTGTAATTTAGCAAAAGCTGTCTCCTTGGGTGGAGGCCCCACTACAGCATTCTTTCATGCATTCCCACTGATCACAAAACCCACACCACTACCTCACTGATGCCATACCCACTAACAGTCACGCAAAGAAAACAGCCATTCTATATTGTTCTTCGGTGCTCTCATAATGTTTAACCTTGCCTTTTACTTAAAGGATTACAGGAACTGGCCTTAGGAGATCCAAAATATCCAACCAAGGTTGCAAGTATCCCACCTCAGGAAGGAATGCTAAACAACTGATTCATACAGCCTTGCTGCCACTAACCAGAGCACCAGATGGCCCATTACTCAAGACAACCATTGCCAGCAGATAAGCCGACCCATGTCCCCTCCCCCTCACGTTCTCTACCCTGCCCAGCCCACATTCCCTACCTTGACATCAATTTCCGCACATTGCCTAATAAAAGAAATCCCTATCAGCTCATTTCAGGGAGTCAGCCAGAGAATCCTCCCTCTCCTGTGCTTCCTCCCTTGTGCCTGGGCATATGCTCCAATAAAGCCTTGCTAGGAAAACTCTTTTGGCCTGGTGAGAATTTCTATTGCATCAAGAGCCTAAGAACCCATGATCGGTAACACTTTGAGCAAAGGAAAAGGTCCCCCTTCCCTAGGGAGATGCAGCTCTGCATACACCCATATGTTTGGTGGGAGTGCAAACTGGCTTCCCGTTGCATATGCCTCTCTGTCTAGGAGAACAGAAAGATGATAATTACATGCATATTGGTCCACCAAGCACAGGCACACATGGAACATGTACTGGCACAGGCCTACTACTGCCCAGGGCTGGTGGAAGCTGGCTGACATTGTCCCTTACCATGTAACCTTCTGTCTTCTTCTGGTACCATTTCAGTACAGCATTGCACTTGAAACCGCCATATTCCCGGGCCAAGGCCACCAGAGGGTTTCTTCTTTCCACACTGGTTAGAGAGAAGAGCACGTTAAGGAGAAGATGCTAATGTTTAGAATCCTCAAATTCACAAGAACTAAATACCTACTTTAGAAAAGCAAATGTCTGGTTTATTCAGCCAGAATCTGAAGAAACAACCACATTAGTTACATTAATAATGTATTTGATGTCTCACAGTGTGAAATAAACATGAAATTGTGCCTCCTGACTGTCATGAGTCTGGGGAGAGTTTTGCTACATTTTGTTTTAAAATCCATCTGTTGCTCATCCATCTAGTCTTTTATTTGTGTAAATATAATTCAGGCTAGAACTTTAATTCAAACTCATTTGAATTAAGGGTATCTATACAAAAGCATTCTACAGGTTTCAAGACTACATCAGTATCTAAATAACATTTAAAAGGTAGAGACGGGCACAGCACAGTGGCTCACGCCTGTAATCCCAGCACTTTGGAAAGCTGAGGCAGGAGGATTACCTGAGCCCAGGAGCTTGAAACCAGCCTGAGAAACATAGTGAGACCTCAACTCTGAAATAAATAAATAAATAAATAAATAAGCTGGGCATGGTAGCGCACACCTGTAGTCCCAGCTATTCAGGAGGCTGAGGTGGGAGGACTGCTTGAGGCCAGGAGTTCAAGGATGTAGTGAATTATGATTATACCACTGCACTCCATCCTGGGCAACAGAGCGAGACCCCCATCTCTAAAAAATAAAAAAAAATTTTTCAAGGTATATTGGAAGGGCATATTAAAAATACCAGATATCCTGCCATTGCTTTATCTCAATGAGATAAATGTAAAATTGAAATAAATTGATTTTACTAATTTAACTTTTCACTATGAAAGATAAAATATCAGAAGCATATTAATATACCCATAGCCTTCCTGTATGCATTTCTGGTATAATGAAAAGGAGAATTTTAGAATAGCACTAATTCTGGTTTTTAAAACCTCTTTTGATTATTTAAATCTCGCGCACATAAACAGGACAATATGTAATATCTGGGGCTTTAAATTAAACCTCTAAAATATATGACTTCATCTATTTGGGTGCAAATATAGGCTACATCCAAAGGTATAACAATAAGTCCTAGCTTATTCATTCAGACTTTCATAAATCCTTTGATAGTACCCTTATTAGTAATGATAATATGTATTAAAAAGCTACTACTAGCTACTTAGGAGGCTGACGCAGGAGAACTGCTTGAACCCGAGGCAGAGGTTGCAGTGAGACTCTGTCTCCCAAAAAAAAAAAAAAAAGCTATTACTCCAAAAGTAGCCGATTTTGTATACTGATAAATAAACAATACGTTCATATTGTATATGAATGAGCATACTCATTCGTAAGTTTTACTGAGTGAAATGTTATGTGTGTTGCACAATGCAAGGGGCTGGGAGAGATACCAAAGGTAAGCTGAACATTTACTGTCCACTAAATTACAGCATAAATGGAGATTAAGGCATATATTGTGCAGAAGTTATCCACACCACAAAGCAGTACAGAAATTAAACACCTGAAATAGCGTAAGACACCAAAGTCAAAGAAGGGAGATGTTGGCCAGGCATGGAGGCTCACACCTGCAATCCCAGCGTTTTGGGAGGCTGAAGTGGGCAGATCAGGAGTTTGAGACCAGCCTAGCCAAAATGGTGAAATCCTGTCTCTACTAAAAAAAATACAAAAATTAGCTGGGTGTCATGGTGCATGCCTTTATAATCCCAGCTACTCAGGAGGCTGAGGCATGAGAATCACTTGGACCCAGGAGGCAGAGGTTGCAGTGAGCCCAGATCACGCCACTGTACTCCAGCCTTGGTGACAGAGTGAGGATCTGTCTCAAAAAAAAAAAAAAAAAAAAAAGAAAAGAAAAGAAAAGAAAAAGAAAAAAAAAAGGGAGAAGGGAGCTGTCAATGCTGCCAGGTGTTAGCTATAACTTCATGAAAGTTTTGACCTTTAAATAAAGAGAACAGTATTTAGACTGTGAAAGGACAAAAGGAGGACAATTCAAGTTAGAACCTTATACACAAAGACTTACACTCAAATATGCTTGTGCACTATTGCTAAGGCACGGACTAAAACAGGTTCAGGTGGAGGGAGAGGCTGGGCCATTCTGGCAGGTGGGCAGGGGTGGTGCTAAGTAGTGGAGCATCTAGAAGATCAGGATGAGGAGTGCAGAGGACAGAGTCATGGGAAATTTCTGCAAGGTCTGCAGCAGGATGTGCTCAGTGCTTCAGAAGATTAACCAACATGAAGAAGCAGGAAGACATGAGAGAGGAAACAGTTGAAAGAGGTTTGCTGTAACCTGGGTGACCAGGGGCACTGAAAAGGGAGGAGGTGACAGAGGTGTGGCAGCAAAGACCACCTCTTAGGGACCACCCTGTTGGTCTTGCAGTCCTGCCCTCTGCCAAGCCCTCCTTCACATCCCTGCCAAAGTCCTCCTTAAACACTGATTTCAAAATGCCTCTCTAATCCTTACATGCCACTGTTTTCTGATGACTCCTCCTTAAAATATGGGTCCAATCTCACTGTACCATAACTCAAAAACAGGAATAAAATCCCACAAACTTGGTGGCTCCTCAGTGCTTTATCAAAATAAAGCACAAACCTCTTCCTTAGCAATGAAGATTTGCAATATGGCTCCAACCTGCCTTCCAGCTGGAATGTCCTAGTCACCTATCCATCCACCCAACAAATACTGACAGAGAGCCTACCATGCATATATATGGCAGAGTCCCTGGCCTTAGGAAGCCCAGTCTAGTCCAGACACACATTACCACCCCATTCCCTGAACTTCTACTTCTCTCTACATTTCTTATGCCAACTAACAACTCTCAAGTACTTTGCCTATTTAGTATTGTCTTTTTACAGCTCTTAATTTAATCTTGCACACTACTTACTGTCCAGCATCCTCCTTTTAAACTCACTGAAGACGGGCACTGCATCTTAATTATTTTCATGCAGCAAGTATTTGTCGAAGTCAATTGTCCAGGAGGACAAAACAGAAGGAACAATCAAAGCTGATCAGCCCTATGTTTTTCTGATTTCTTACTGTTTGAGACATGATACCTGAAACTGCTTCGTGGTTCCCTCTTTCTTGGGGCCACTTCCACTTTCCCTCTGGTGGAGGTGCTCAGCAGTCTCATGTCCCCAAAGTCCAGAGAGTGGGGGTCTGCTGAGTGACTCCAGCAAGGAACTCTTGCAGAGGTGGGGGTCTGGCTTCAGTTCCTAGGTCCTTCCCTTTCAAAGATCGGTGGGAACGACCACATAATCACCTATTCCTGAAGAAGAGGCTCTTGATTGCCATCAAACATCATTCTCCAGTACAACACAGTTCTCATTTTATCCTCAAGTATAAACATATATATGCTTCTGATGTAATGAAAATGCAATAGGGACGTGGATTCTCCAGGCAGGACCACCACTTCCTTTATAGGATCTATATGCAAATCAACCCTTGTTCAAAAATTATTGTGAATTTCAAGACGATGTCATCAGAGCATTAAACCCAGCATGCACCTTATGAAATTGCCCTTACCTGGGGAAAGACATTACCTGCCCCCAGGTAATGTTTTAATTGACAGACATCAGAGAGAGAGAGAGAGACAGAGTGGCAGGAAAATGCCTCAATGTGATGACCAGGTCACAGGCAGCGGCAGGCAAGAAGGAAACTGGGAACCAAGAAGAACTTTTTTACATGAGAAAGGCCATTCCAGCCACAGGGCCCGGTTCAATAAAAAAGCAGAAATCATTCTGTAGCAGATAAGAGCTGCAGACAAAACCCCTCAGACACTGAATTAAAGAAGGAAGGGGTTTATTCGTCTGGGAGCATCAGCAAGACTCCTGTCTCAAGAGCCGAGCTCCCTGAGTAAGCAATTCCTGTCCCTTTTAAGGGCTCACAACTCTAAGGGGGTCCACGTGAGAGGGTCGTGATCGATTGAGCAAGCAGGGGGTACCTGACTGGGGGTTGCATACACCAGTAATTAGAACGGAACAGAACAGGACAGTGCTTCACAGTGCTTTTCTTATGCAAATAACCGATTAGGTCAGGGGTCGATCTTTTAACTACCAGGCCCAGGGTGTGGTGCCGGGCTGTCTGTGGATTTCATTTCTGCCTTTTAGTTTTTACTACTTCTTTCTTTGGAGGCAGAAATTGGGCATAAGACAATATGAGGGGTGGTCTCCTCCCTTAATTCTTTCAAGGCTCTTTCTGCTGTCATATTAGTCACAATCAAAACAGATAATGAAATAGACTGAATCCTCCAGATGATATTTCTTTTTCTTTTTTAGATATGGAGTTTCGCTATGTTGCCTAGGCTGGATTTGGACTTAACCTCCTGGGCTCAAGTGATCCTCCCACCTCAGCCTTCTGAGTAGCTAGGACTATAGGAGCATGCCATGATACCTGGTCAGATGATATTTCGTAAAGGACCATAAAAATACAGAACAGGATAAACCTTTCAAGATTGTCTAGTTTATAGTTATAGGGGAAACTGGAGCTGAGAGAACTAAGTGCCTTGTTTAGAGCTACATAGCAAGCCAGAGACCAGGCCCACAGTTGCTGCCCATGACCCACAAACAGTCACGGAAGAAAACAATCCTTCTACAGCTCACAGCCACCAATTATGGGTACTAAAGTTGGGAGTGGGGCTAATTAGCTCTAAATAGCAGAGAAAAACAGTATTTACGTCACTAAAGAGAACAACAAAAACAGCCCATTAATCCCTGTTTCTGCAGCTTCTGATGATCTCAATGTTGACAAGCAACTTCTGGGGATTGCTGGAAGCAAGCAATTGTCACTGTGATCCTTTATTACAGTAAATAGAATCATCCAAGCAGACAGGTGCCTGGAGGGGGCTAAGTGGGGAGTACTGTCAATGAGGTATTTACTTCAGGGCAATAGTTGTTGTGGTCTCAACTTTAGTATGCATCTTGGCAATTAAAAGAATGGTTTTTTTGGCCAAGCTTGGTAGTTCACATCTCAGTGCTTTGGGAGGCTTAGGTGAGAGGACTGCTTGAGGCCAGGAGTTCAAGACCAGCCTGGGCAACAAAGCAAGACCCTATGTCTTTAAAAAAATCAGCAACAAAGTTTCTGTCTCCCTAGCACAAGCACACTGAGAGGTGCAGCTGGCAGGAGATAAGACACTTATTCCTTGTGTCAGCTGCACTGCTGGATCTAACGTCCATGACACGTCCATTATTCTGGGGTTGAAACTGCAGTAAGTCAAAAGTCTTTTATGTTTATATATAATTTACCTGTAAGGGGAAGGTCAGGAAGGTTCAAGCATTGAGTCATCCCTTTGCTGGCCGACTGCACACTGCTCTAAGCCAGATGCCTCTGTAAAAACCAGGGGGGCAACAGAATGGTGAGCTTGTAACATCAAGAACAGCACCAACACAGGTGCGTGTGTGTGTGCGCACGCGTGTGTGCGTCCAACAGTTCTTAAACACAGTGGAATAACTGGGGGAGTTTTTAATTAACTCATTTATTCAAATAGGTAATATATGCAATAGACACAATCCTCAAAAGAAACAAAAAGGGCAAATAGTGAAGAGAAAGTCTCCCTTTCACTCCTGCACCCCAGTTCTCCTTCCCAAGAGTGCTCATTACTAATCAGCTTTGTGAATATCTTTCCTGGAATGTTCTCTGTATATTCAAGGACGTGTGTAAAAGCACTCTATTTTGAATGGCCAACAAGTATATGAAAAGATGCTCAACATCACTAATCATCAGGGAAATGCAAATCAAAACCACAGTGACATGCCACCTCACACCTGTTAGGAAGGCCATCATCAAAACCCAGAAAAAAACAAGTGCTGGTGAGGAGGCAGAGAAACCCTTGTGCACTGTTCATGAGAGCGTACAATGGTGTAGCCATTACGGAAAACAGTATGGAGGTTCCTCAAAAACATAACAATAGAACTACCAAATGATCCAGCAATGCCACTTCTAGATATTTATCCCAAAGAATTGAAAACAGAATCTCAAAGAGATATTTGCACTCTCATGATCATTGCAGTGTTATTCACAAAAGCTGAGGTGGATGCAACCCAAGTGTCCACCACCAGATGAATGGATGAAGAAAAGATGGTACATAATATACAATGGAATATTATTACCCATAAAATGGAGATATTCACCCATAAAAAGGAAATCCTGTCTCATGCTACAACATAAATGAGCCTTGAAGACATTATGCTAAGTCAAAGAAGCCGGTCACAGAAGGACAAATGTTGCATGATTCCATGTATGTGAGTGTATTAGTCCACTTCACACTGCTATAAAAACAAGTCAGTTACCTCCAAGATACAATGGGAGTACAGGCATTGAATAAATGCTCCTGTTCCAAATGGGAGAAATTGACCAAAATAAAGAAGCCACAGGCCCCAGGCAAGTCCAAAACCCAGTGGGGCAGTCATCAAATCTTAAAGCTCTGAAACGATCTCCTTGACTCCATGTCTCACATCAGGTCACACTGATCCAAGGGGTAGGCTCCTATGGTCTTGGGCAGCTCCATCCCTGTGGCTTTGCAGGGTACAACACCCCTTCTAGCTGCTTTCACGGGCTGGTGTTGAGTGCCTGTGGTTTTTCTGGGTGCACGGTACACACTGTCAGTGGATCTACCATTCTGGGGTCTGGAGGATGGTGTCCCTCTTCTCACAGCTCCACTAGGCAGTGCCCCAGGGGGGTTCTGTGTGGGGGCACCAACCTCACATTTCTCTTTTGCCCTGCCCTAGCAGGGGATCTCCATGAGGGTTCCATCCCTGCAGCAGATTTCTGCCTGGTCATCCAGGCATTTCCATACATCCTCTGAAATCTAGACAGAGGTTCCTAAACCTCAGTTCTTGACTTCTGTGTACCCACAGGCCCAACACCACATGGAAGCCACCAAGACTTGGGGCTTGCACCCTCTGAAGCAATGGCCCAAGCTGTACATTGGCCCCTTCTGGCCACCACTGGAGCTAGAGCAGCTGGGACACAGGGCACCAAGTCCCAAGGCTGCACAGAGCAGGGCGGCCCTGGGCCCAGGCCACAAAACCATTTTTAACTCCTAGGTCACTGGGCCTGTGATGGGACAGGCTGCCACCAAGATCTCTGACATGTCCTGGGGACATTTTTTCCCACTGTTTTGGTGATTAACATTCGGCTCCTTGTTATGTAAATTTCTGCAGCTGGTCTGAGTATCTCTTCAGAAAGTTGGTTTTTCATTTCTATTGTACTGTCAGGCTGCAAATATTCCAAACTTTTATGCTCTGATTCCCTTTGAAACATAAGTTCCAATTTCAGATCATTTCTCTCAAGTTCAAAGTTCCACAGATCTCTAAGGCAGGGGCAAAATGCCATCAGTCTCTTTGCTAAAAGACAGCAAGAGTGACCTTTGCTCCAGATCCCAATAAGTTCCTCATCCCCATCTGAGACCACCTCACCCTGGACTTCATTTTCCACATCATATCAGCATTTTGGTCAAAACCATTCAACAAATCTCTAGCAAGTTCCAAACTTTCCCACATCTTCCTATCTTGTTCTGAGCCCTCCAAACTGTTCTAACCTCTGCCTGTTACCCAGTTCCAAAGTCACTTCCACATTTTCAGGCTATCTTTATAGCAGTACCTGACTCTACTGCTACAAATTTACACTATTAGTCAGTTTTCACGCGGCTATAAAGACCTTCCCTGAGGCTGGGAATTTATAAAGAGGTTTAATTGACTCACAGTTTCACATGGCTGAGGAGGCTTTAGGAGACTTACAATCATGGTAGAAAGGGAAATAGGCACCTTCTTCACAAGGTGGCAGGAGGAAGGTGGGGGAAGGCGGGGACAGAGAAAGACAGAGTGCATGTGGAGGAGGAACTGTCAAACACTTATAAAACCAGGAACTGTCAAACACTTATAAAACCATCAGATCTCGTGAGCACTCACTATCCGAAGAACAGCATGGGGGAAATGGACCCCATCACATCCCACCAAGTCCCTCCCTAGACACATGGGGATTATGGAGATTACAATTCGAGATGAGATTTGGGTGGGGACACAGAGGGAAACCGTATCAGTGAAGAATCTAAAGTAGTCAAACTCAGAGAAGCAGAGAGTAGAGTGGTGGCTGCCAGAGGTTGTGGGGAGGGCAAGTGGGGAGTTGTTCAGTGGGTACAGTTTCAGTCAAGCAAGATAAAAAAGTTCTAGAGGACAAAAAGATGGCAACAATAGACATTGGAGAGTGGTAGAATGGGGAGGGGGGCAAAGGTTGAAAAACTACCTATTGGATACTATGCTCACCACCCGAATGATGGGATCAATTGTACCCCAAACCTCAGCATCCCACAATATACCCATTGTAACAAACCTGCACATGTACCCTGAATCTGAAATAAAGTTGAAATTTTAGAAAAAGTTTCTGGAGATCTGCTGTACAACATTGTGCTTATAGTTAACCGTACTTAAAAATTTGTTAAGAGGGTAGTTTTCATGGTGTATTTGTTTTACCACCATTAAAAAAAAGCATTTCAGAATGCAGGTGAGAGTGATATTATTCAAGGAAAACCCTTGAAGAAAAACCCTCTGTTATTCTAAAAACACAAATGTTATCACAGGATTCCATTGCTTTGCATACCGTTTTGCTTCTTTCACTTACTGGTCATTCTCTATCTACCTTTTTGGTGGCTTCTCATGGGAAGTGTTACACAAGAGGCCAAGCACAGGGCTCTGGGGCCACATAGCCACCAACCAGCTGCACAACTCTGGGTTACTTCATCCTCTGTGCTTCATTTTCTTTATCTATAAAATGGCACTGATATAAATAGTACCTACCCCAGAGGATTGTTGGGGGGGATTAAATGAGTTAAATCTGGTCGGGTGTGGTGGCTCATGCCTGTAATCCCAGCACTTTGGGAGGCCGAGGCGGGTGGATCACTTGAGGTCAGGAGTTCAAGAGCAGCCTGGCCAACATGGTAAAATCCCATCTCTACTAAAAAAATATAGAATTAGCCGGGTCTGGTGGTGCAGACCTGTAATCCCAGCTACTTGGGAGGCTGAGGCAGGAGAATTGCTTGAACCCAGGAGGTGGAGGTTGCAGTGGGCCAAGATGGTGCCATTGCACTCTAGCCAGGGCAACGAGCAAAACTCCGTCTCAAAAAGAAAAAAAAAAAAAAAAGAGTTAAATCCAGTTAGAACAATCAAAACATGGCCTGGTACATAGTAGACATTCAGTAGATTTTAGCTATTTTCATTACCATAATTTATTTGATCGATTCTCTGTTAATACTGGCATTGATATTGATATAAGCATTAGGAAACGAATATCCTGGTACATCTGTCTGTGCACATGAGTGAGGAGGGCCATTGTGAGGTTTTCCAAAGCATTCTTTCCCTTAGAGGTCCTACTCCACATCGCATTAAACACAATTCCATGTATCCATGTCTCACATAAATATAATGGTATACAGTTTTCAAAAGTAGTTTTATATCTTGCTTTTGAAATGAGCTGAACAAAAGTGACAATATGGGGCATTCCTATCTCATTCATAATCTTGTGGGAAAGCGTCCAATATTTCACCATTAAGTATGACGTATGATGTAGATATATAATAGAGACCCTTCATCAGATTAAGGAATTGCCCTTCTATTCCTAGTTTTCTAAGACTTTTCATTAAGAAAGGTATTAATCTTTACTGAACATATTTTCCTATCATCTACTAAGATGACTATACTTTTTATATACCTTTGTTAATGTGGTAAATTAACTGTGGTTGGTTTCAGTAGTTAAAACCACCTTGCATTCCTCGAATAAACCCAATTTAACATGATCTTTTAAATGTATCTCTGAGGCCAGGCGCGGTGGCTCACGCCTGTAATCCCAGCACTTTGGGAGGTCAAGGTGGGCAGATCACCTGAGGTCAGGAGTTCGAGACCAGCCTGACCCACATGGAGAAACCCCGCCTCCACTAAAAATACAAAATTAGCCAGGCGTGGTGGTGCATGGCTGTAATACCAGCTACTTGGGAGGCTGAGGCAGGACAATCACTTGAACTTGGGAGGCGGAGGTTGCGGTGAGCCAGGATCGTGCCATTGCACTCCAGCCTGGGCAACAAGAGTGAAACTCCGTCTCAAAAATAAATAAGTAAATAAATAAATAAATGTATCTCTGAATTAGGTTTTCCAAGATTTTGTTCTGGATTTTTGCATGGAGGTTCATGAGAGACACTGACCTTTTAATTTTCCTGTCTTTTAATGTCCTTGCAAGAATTAGGTATCGAAGATACACTGGCCTCTTAAATGATCTAAGAAAGTTTACCTTTTTTTCTAGTCTTTTTCTAGTCTCTGTATGAATATATATAAGATTGGTGTTATTTCTTCCTTAAATGTTTGGGAGATTTCATGATGAAACCATCTGGGCCTCCTGGCATTTCCTTTGAGAAAATTATTTAAATTACAGACTATCAGGATTTCCTACTACTTTTTATGTCAGTTTAGTAAGTGATGTTTTTCTAAGATTTTGACCATCTCATCAACATTTTCTAATTTATAGAGTAGTACTATACAGAGCACTAATCTGTAATCTCCTCATCACTGTTTTCATAATTATGGGATCTTTAGTGATACACCCCTTTAAAAATTCCTGATATAGCTAATTTATACCTTTTCTTTATATCAGCCTTGTCAGAGGTTCATCAATTTTAATAATCTTTTAAAAGAACAAACTTCATGCAGAACTTTTTAAGATAATCTTTTCATCACAAGTACACTGGTAAAAAAGAAATCTGTTTTTGTTGTACTGAAAGCATCTTCCTTTTGTGTTCACCTTTGAAGGGTATTTTCACCAAGTACGGTATTCTAGGAAAGCAGGCATTCCTTCTGCATTTTGCAGACGCCACTGCATTGTCTTCTGGCTTCCATCATTTTTGTTGAGAAGGCAGATGTCAGTTTTAGCTCTTGCTCCTTTGATATTAAGGTTTCTTTTTTCCCTTTGAGTGCTTTTACGATGCTTTCTCTTTCATTACTAGCAGTTTTAGCCTAATGTGTCTAGGTGGTTTTCTTTGCACTTACTTTGCTTTCGGTTCATGTTGTTCTTGAATCTAGGGCTTAACATCTGTTTAGTTTTCAAAATTCTTGGCCATTATCTCTTCCAATACTGCTTCTGCCCTATCTGTCTTGTTTTTCTTGTTTTCCCTTTTGGGGACTCCAATTACACATTAGATCTTTTCACCCCATCCCATGTAGCTCTTATGTCCTTTTCTCTATTTCCTATTCTTTGTTTTCTCTGCGCTTCAGTTCAGATATTTCTATCAACTTGTCTTTAGTTCCTTAAGCCTCTCTGAAAATGTTTAATCTACAGGTAAACTTTGTTGAGTCTTAAATTTAGGCATTTTATTTTTAAGTTACAACATTTCTAATGGATTCTTTTTTATAGATTGTGGTTTTCTGCTGAAATTATCCACCTTGTTACTTATTTTCTTTACTGGATTAATCTCAGTTGTTTTAAAGTCCGTGTCTAATATCTGGATCTCCTGTGTCTGTTTCTGTTGCCTAGTTTTCTCTTGTTTTTTTCATCATTTGGTATTATCTATTTGTATACTTAGTATTTTTTAAATTGACTATGACACCATATATTTTTTTAATGTGGCTATAAGTTGAGGTTCTGGATGATGTAATCTTCCTTCAAAGAGTATTTATTTCTGAGTCCAGAAGTCAGTTAAGATAGGGAAAGATCACTTAAATTCAAACCCATGTTTCTATGGGTTTTAAGACTGAACAAATAAAAGACTTCTTTAAGATGTTAAGGAAGAATATTTTCATAATCTAATAGCTAGAAAGGTCTTTTTAAGGTAGGAAACAAAACACTTAAAATCATAAAGGAAAGCACTGAATACAAGATGCAACATTTTTCTTCAGTAAAATATAACTTCAAAGAAAGTTCAAAGAAAATAATAGCATTACATATAAAAAAGCTAAAAAGCACAATATATCAAGATTTCTTACAAATAGGAAAAAGACTAATACCTCAAAATAAATACAGGCAAAGTATGTAAGTTTTCATTCACACATATAAAAAATAAACCGTCTGTAAACATACGAAGTGCTCAACCTTACTGAAGGACAAAGTAAATCAAGTTATTATTGTTCATTTACTTAATCTTTAAAATTTATAGAGTGTGAAAATTCTGGGAAAACAGTACCTTGCATGGTATGAGTGGGAGGGTAAACTGAGGGCAATGTGTCTATCAAGTTTTTCAACGTGCCAGGACAGGTCAAATACACTTCCTTTTCTAGGACTCCATTTTCCTTTTCTAGGAATCAATGTGTGGAAGATCTCAGGACAGGCTCACTTGATTCCATCCTTGTCTCTTTGAAGGGTGATTTACTGACTTATATGAGACTGGAAAGCTAAGGGGTGTATTTGCCAAAGTCCTTAAAGCTTGGCTTATTAAGTGGCCTAGTTTCTGTCAAACAGGCCCCTTCTCAGAGGACGTGGAAGGTACAGGGAGTAGAAAGCTGCCCTTCTGCAGCTTCTCCTGGCAAGCATGGCTGGGAAGGCATTTGCTGTTCTGTGGCAGGGAAGTGGAGATTCTTAGGTCTGTTCCATCATCTTCTGGGCAGTATGAGGCAGGCACAGAGCATGGTGTGCTGGCATGGACTGCACCTGTGGCTGTGTGGTCCCAAGGCTGATCCTAGATCTTGGCAGCAGTGGTGGACCTGGGCATGTACCTACAGAAAGACTTCCTGATTCTGGCAGGAACAGAAGCTCCTTTACTGGACCAGCATTGAGATGCTCTGGGAACCCTTCCTGGAAGCTCAGTGGACAGAGCCTACTGCCTTCTCCAGCCCTTCCAGTACCAAATGCCCTGGATTAAATCCCTTTCTGCTTAACTACAGTGATCTCTCATATTTGCAAATGAATCTTGATCCACCCTTATGCAGAAATAGCCCCTTTAGTGGTCAAAAAATTGCATAAGGATCTTCACTTTATTGTTTACCCCAAGTAACCTAAAATCTATCAGTAGAAGTATGGCTATATAAATTGATGTGTATTATATAACCTTTACAAAAAGGAATCATTTCTCCAAATGTTGCAATGTAAAGATGTCTCAGACATATTCCTTTATTCATTCAACAAATATTTGTTGAGCTTCTATCATGATGTGACCATGTTTCACTCCCTGTTACCGACAAAAGATGTGTTAGCAAGCAAAATAAACAAAAATCTTGGTCCTCACGGAGCTCACATTCCAATGATAAAGTGAAATGAGTAAGTGTTGGACTAACGTGTAGTATAATCCAATTTACACAACACACACCCTCTCTCTACACACACAGACACAGACACACACACACACACATATGTATAAAGAAAAACATCTAGAGGGATATACAACAAACCATAAGCAGTGGTTATTCCTGGGGCTCATCTACCTGGCAGGAGAGACAGCAGCTGCTGGGGAGGTCCTCATTGGTATTTCGCTTAGGGGGCTTCTAAGGGCCTTATGGACAGAAGTATTCTGTCCAGTTCCATCTGCCAAGAAAAGAGATGGGAACATTTACATGTTGTTCCAGTTCAAAATAGCAAATAATACTTTTTGATTTACCTCTTTGGTGACTTGAGAAGTATTCCATGGTGTTTAGTGTGATATTTATTATTCTTTTCTCCTCTGGACTAGAGCTGAATTGGAGAAATGAGAGGGGAGGAGGAGTTAGCTGAGTGGAGGCCAGTCCTAGATGTAGGACAACTGAGTAAAACGAATATGTTTAAATAATGAGGTGCCTAGGGGAGGAAGGAACAGGAAAGTTCTTGCACAAACTGTGACTGTTAATTCATTTCCCATTTTCACTGACTCACTCACTGGGCTTTCATGTCTTTCAATATGTGTAGTTTAATCTTCATTTAATTTAATTGCAAACTATTTTAGCAGAGATAATAACCGGGTACATTCTAGGATTAATTTTTACTACAGCCTTTTTTTTTTTTTTTTTGAGACAGAGTGTTGCTCTGTTGCCCAGGCTGGAGTGAAGTGGGGCGATCTCGGCTCACTGCAAGTTCCACCTCCCGGTTCATGCCATCCTCCTGCCTCAGCCTCCTGAGCAGCTGGGACTACAGGCACCCACCACCATGCCCAGCTAATTTTTTGTATTTTTAGTAGAGACGGGGTTTCACCATGTTAGCCAGGATGGTCTCAATCTCCTGATCTCGTGATCTGCCCGCCTCGGCCTCCCAAAGTGCTGGGATTACAGGCGTGAGCCACCGCGCCCACCCTACTAGAGTCTTTCAATACAATGGCATGTTCATTGAAGTCCAGGAAGAAAGATACTGTTACAGTGGACAGATGCATATTGTTTCTTCTATTTGCTATCTTTATGTGTACAGTATATGTATGAAGTATAGCTATGCATCTTTCTCATACATGAAGATAAACATGACTAAAGGGGTATTGTGAGTCTATCAGAAAATTCCAGGAAACCTGGGAGCACACCAAGATCAGAAGTGACAGATCAACACAGGTGCTCACATACAAGACCAGGTAGAAAAATGTCTAGCAGGCTGCAAGATGGGGATGGCCAAGGGTGCCTACAAAAGGGTCAGGTGCACAGTTGTGATGCCTGGTTTCCTTGGAGATGAAGCCTCTGGCTGACCGTGCTATTTCTCATGAAATAAGAAAATGGCAAATAGTAGTGACCTGAATTTAATGGCTATGAGAGGCAGAAAAGAAATGAGGCAAGGCAGGAACTGGAGAGGAGGAAGAGGTAGAGAGGAAGAGGCTGCTTTTGTGTTACTCATGAGTCAGGCTCTCCATCAGTGCCTCCCCGGAGCCTGGGCCAGGCTCCTGCCTGCAGCGGCTCCATGTGGTAGTACCTGGAAAGTGCCCTTGTGGTTGTTAACAACGTGGGGCCAGGGTACAGTCAAGAAACGTTTGATATGTCGGGCCAAAGTTTGAATGTGGAACTTTGCTTATAGAAAAAAATGATTAAATACCAGGGCATCCCAAGTCAAATGACTTGATGAGTGACTTATGGTGGTCATGGGCTCTGAGGGCGTTGGAGATGTTCTGTTAACACACACACCAGGCCACTGGCCAGCAGCATCGACCTTGGGGGACTCTGGCTCTTCATCCACAGGTCTGCACGGCAAAGGTCAAATCAAACTGAAAAGGTGGAAGACGTCCCCATGGGAGAAAAAGACACAGAGGAAAACAGAGCTGATGTGGAGAAAATAAACAAAGCTGGAAGGGAAATTCTAAATTTAACATCCTATTTTCTCTACCAGCTTTGCATCAGGAAATAATGTAGGCATTGCTCTTGATTTTTTAAAAAGCTGTTTCTTGAGAAACGGTCAAAAATGATATTTTTATATGTAGAATGACTTGACATTAGCTCTAATTAAGAAGTCTGTATGCTGCAAATTGTGAAAAAATGCAAATGTTACTGATCATAAACATTTTGCTTATTGTCAATGGTGAATGCAGTGGATTGGCTTGTTGGCAAATGCTCCAAACCCCACGTGGCACACAGAGGCTGGAAAGATGAAATCTCAGAGCTCTCCTGCAGCTGGGATTTTGGGCGTGATTTAAGTTCCATCATCAGAAAGACTTGAGCGAGACCCGGAGTGGCACCTGAGTCAGGGGGAGAGAGGCAGGGCACAGGGCGTTCACTATGTGCACAGAGACTGTAGCAGAGACAAGATGCTTCTGGTGCTGGTAACTGTGGTGGCACCTTTCCAACTGGGTGGGCAGCTTTCTGAAGTTAAGGCTCCTGTCCTGGTGGAGGGAGCAGGTTCCCTGGTGGTCCAATTCTGTGTGGAGACTTTGGGAGCTGCTCCTGGAAGCTCAGCCCTCCCAACAATTCTGCAAGCCATTTAACGCTTTTCCGTCTAAGCCAACGAGAGTGCAATCCATTATACACAACAGAATCCTGACTCAGACATTCTGTCTTCTAAGCCTAAGAGTCGCAACACAACTCTAAAATAACACTGCATTCTGCATGAGCTGAAGCTCCTGCTCTCACCCAAATTCCCTGGTGTGTTCTTTGTGAGGTTTCTAAGTGTAAGCACAGACTCACAGAAAGTCTTTTATGATAGATCATTGACCCAATCCTCAATCCTCTCATGTATGGCTCCCTTATCTAGGGGACTTTGGCATGTCATGTGATCTCCCTGTGAATGAGCCAAGACAAGGACTCCCAGCCTTCTGACTGCTAAATCATTGCTCTCTTCATTACATCATATTGTCACAGCTGTTTTGCAAGATGACTAATTTATGAGAATAGTTCAAACAACGTATCTGGAAGTAGATTTTTAAAAAGGTCAGTGGAAGTTTAAAATATTTATTTACTGATTGTTTTGAAGTTAATCTAGCTACTCATAAGCTTCTGTGGTTGAATTTACGGTGTACTTAATTCTCTAAGCTTTCCTCTGTTGCTCTGTAAACATGAATAGAATACATTTCACAGAAACAGAACTTAAAACAGTTAACCCACGCTGTCTTACACTCTTGACTTCACAGCCCCTTCTTCTGAGTGGAAAAAAAATCAGTAAACTGAAAACTTCATTGGAAGAAACCATTAGGAACTTAACAAACTGTAAGGGGTTGGGTTTTTAAATAATTTTTAAAGGTTTACTGACAGGAACTGGTTTTCACATTTTCCCCTTTATGTTACACAGAATAAAATCAGGTTGGCAAATATGCAGAAACAGAATGAAATCAGGTTAGGTCTGAGGAGAAAAAAATCTCTGTCTGTGCCAGCCATTCTCAGGAAGGTCATCAAGACACAAAACGGGCCACCTTCTTATCAGTCCATTTAAATGACTTGGTCCCAAAGGCCTCCAAGGACAATCATTTTAAATAACTCATGTTCATTTTCTTCTTTGATAATTTAATAAGAACAAAATAGAGAAGCCTACATTCTGCTGAGGTATTCCTTTCAGTTATCTAAGTTTCTCTGCAATTCAAAATATTGAATGATAAATAGACTCATTCAGAGTGTATAAGAAAAAAGCAAGGCCACAAGAATTAATTTCCAGTACCCCTGTCTTTGGGCATCCTAAAATGTTATTTCAAATGCTCAGTCTGCTTGGCTAGAACAATACGAGTCAGTATGAGAAAGCCCTGCATCATTTAAGCAGATTAGAGAAATACTCACTAAATACTCACCATGTTATATAATTGTGTGTGTGTGTGTGTGTGTGTGTGTGTGTGTGTGTGTGTATGTGTATGTGTAGGTGTATGTGTGTAGGAGGCATTCACAAAACAAAGCCTGAACTGAATAACCAAAGAAAATCGTTATTAAGAATGCTATTAGTGGCTGGGCATGGTGGCTCATGTCTGTAATCCCAGCACTTTGGGAGGCCGAGGCGGGTGGATCACTTGAGGTTAGGAGTTCGAGACCAGCCTGACCAACAGAATAAAACCCCGTCTCTACTAAAAATACAAAAATTAGCCCGGTGTGAGTGATGGCACACATCTGTAATCCCAGCTACCTGGAAAGCTGAAGCAGGACAATCACGTGAACCCGGAAGGCAGAGGTTGCAGTGAGTGGAGATTACTCCCACTCCAGCCTGGGTGACTGAGCGAGACTCTGTCTCAAAATAAAAAATAAAAATAAAAATAAAAAAAGAATACTATTAGTGTCCAGGCCTGGTGGCTCACACCTGTAATCCCAGCACTTTGGGAGGCCGAGGTGGATCACTCAGGCTGGAGTGTAGTGGCAACACCTCGGCTCACTGCAGCCTCAATCTCCCAGGCTCAAGTGATTCTCCCACTTCAGCCTCCAGAGTAGCTGGGACTAGAGATGTGCACCACCACACTTGGCTAATTTTTTTTTTAAGAGATGAGTTTTCACCACGTTGCCCAGGATGTTCTTGAACTCCTGGACTCAAGCGATACCTCTGCCTCAGCTTCCCAAAGTGCTGGGATTACATGCATGAGCCACTGAGTTTGGCTCTTTCTTTAGTTACATCACTGATGAAATAGTTGCTTTGTGTTTAGGGGCTACATTTAACACAACAAAATGAAGCATGTGTTCTGCTTGTCCCCAGAATATAAAACTATGTTAATAACAGAAAATTTCACTGAAACAAATATACATACATAATATGGTTTGGTTCTGTGTCCCCACCCAAATCTCATGTTGAATTGTAATTCCCATTGTTGGAGGTGGGGCCCAGTGAGAGGTGACTGGCTCATGGGGGCAGTTTCTAACGGTTTAGCACCGTCCTCCTAGTGCTGTCTTGCGATAAGAGTTCTCAAGGGATCTGGTTGCTTGAAAGTATGTAGCACCTCCTGCTTCATTCACTCTCTCTCCTGCCAGCCATGTGAATATGTACCTGCATCCCCTTCACCTTCCACCATGATTGTAAGTTTCCTGATGCCTCCCTAGCCATGCTTCCTGTGTGACCTGTAGAACTGTGAGTCAATTAAACCTTTTTTTTTTTTTTTTTGAGATGGAGTCTTGGCTCTGTTGCCCAGGCTGGGGTGCAATGGAGTGATCTTGGCTCACTGCAAGCTCTGCCTCCCGGGTTCATGCCATTCTCCTGCCTCAGCCTCCTGAGTAGCTGGGACTACAGGCACCCGCCACCATGCCCGGCTAATATTTTTGTATTTTTAGCAGAGACGGAGTTTCATCGTGTTAGCCAGGATGATCTCGATCTCTTGACCTTGTGATCTGCCTGCCTCAGCCTCCCAAAGTGCTGGAATTACAAGTGTGAGTCACTGTGCCTGGCAATTAAACCTTTTTTCTTTATAAAATACCCAGTCTCAGGTAATTCAATTTTTTTTTTTTTTTTTGAGACTAAGTCTTGCTCTGTCTCCCAGGCTGGAATACAGTGGGGCAATCTCAGCTCACTGCAACCTCTGCCTCCCAGATTCCAGCGATTCCCCTGCCTCAGCCTCCCAAGTAGCTGGGATTACAGGTGCATGCCATCATGCCTGGCTAATTTTTGTATGTTTAGTAGAGATGGGGTTTTGTCACGTTTGCCAGGCTGGTCTTGAATTCCTGACATCAAGTGACTCTCCTGCCTTGGCCTCCCAAAGTGCTGGAATTACAGGCATGAGCCACTGTGCCCAGCCTCAAAGTAGTTCTTTATAGCAAAGTGAGAACAAACTAATACAGTATAACTCCACTGTATATGACAGGCACAGTACCATGTGTCTTAAAAATGTTATCTAATTTAATTTTCCACAAAACCTCCACACATTATCTCTTATTTTAGAGGAAAATTTGATGATGGTCACATGGTTCATGAATGGTAAATCTGGGATGCAAATCCAGCTCTGGCCAGGCCTTTCTCAAATTTTCTGTTGTGCACAAGTGTTCTGTAAGAGGTATACACGGTTCCAAAAATAATGCTGATGGTATTTCTTCTTAAAATATAATAATATTTAAGAAAAAACATTCCCAATATTTCTTTCAACATTCCTATTTTTGTACAATAATCTGTTCTTACAAGGTGGCAACCCATACCTGTGAATAACATTTGGAGGCCAGACTTTCTGATGGTGTGTCACACACAGCAGGTGACACGCACGCACCCTATAAGCAGGCAGCGTCTCCACAGAGCACAACAAGGTGCACGGCCCTCCTCACTGAACGCTGGTCTGCCTTCTACGTCTTACCTTGTCATTTAAGACCACATACATATATGTCTGTAATTATTTCCCTTTAAAACTTTTATTTAACCTCTCTAATTTGTTGCTTTCTTTGTTATATTAGAGAACAGAGTCTTCAATTGCCAGTGATTGTCTATAGCTTTTACTTCCTCAAGACACCACTTTACGTTGTTTATTCTGATCCAGGCACAGGTGAGCTCCTATACAAGATTTTTTTTTTAATGTTCAGTAGAAACAGGGTTTTGCCATGTTGGCCAGGCTGGTCTTGAACTCATCACATTAAGTGATTCATCCACCTTGGCCTCCCAAAATGCTGGGATTACAGGCGTGAGCCACCATGCCCAGCCCATGATGATTTTTTAAGTATTCAAGGGTAACTCCATTTGGGAAGCGTTGCATGGCACCACTGCTACCTTCACAACTGGCAGATTAATATTTGTGAAGAGGGCAGGTTGTGCCAACCACATGCTCATGCCTGCTGGGATCTTTCCTGAACACCTGGATGAAGCCCAGCCCCAGGCCTTTCAATTGATCTCCCATGAGTCCCCTCTACCCATCTAGTTTTTGGACTATACACCCAGCCACCTGAAGTTTTTTTTCTTTTATGTCCTGCCTCTGTGCCTTTGCTCATTCTATGCCCTTGCCTGGAGCGTAATTTTCTCTAAATACTTCTTATTGTTTTACACAAAAAGAATCTAAGAGAAGTTTGTCCCTCTATTGTGAGACAGAAATTATGAAGTACTCTCTCTCCAGATGTCAAAACAGTATCTTCTGAATTTCACTTTCAAATTTCAATATAAGCATATTCAACAACAAAATCAAACAGGATAAGATGGCAATTTGAACATAAGCATCTTCATCTACAAATCTGAACAAAAAGAATCAAAGAAACAGTAAAAATCTTGTAGTCAGGTATCATCTACAAGCCTACACTTTGAAGAATTTCTGCTAATAGAGAGTATGTGGTGGGGGGGAAATTAAAATAAAATACCAAGAGCTTTCCCCCAAATCCCTTCCAAAGAAAATGGAGATCAGGGAAACCCTCCACTAATGTCCCCCACCCTAGAAGGCCAGGGCTGGTGAGGAGCACGAGAAGCCCAGAGAGATGCAGGGCGTTCTGGCAAAGGATCGGGAACAAGAGGAATTTACATCTGAGGAGGCCAAGGTTGGTTTACCCCAGACACAAAGGACAGTAGTGACAAGGGACAGGGCAGGAAAAGCCATGGCGTGCATCTAAAATGGACGAGGGGCACGCAAATGTAGACCCAGAGAGTTGGCTCTGTATTCCAGGCTCACCAAGCAGAGAACAAACTGGGCACAGGTGAATTTCCCCGTTAGGCACTCACCCTTTTCTACCCTACCTGAGCTTCTGTATCTTTCAATATGTAATATATATGCACCTTCAAGAGCCTTCCAACGCGTTTCAGTCATAAGATCCTAAGCACTGTCAGGTAAAGGCAGTGGAACTGAGCAGGATCCAGACACTGACCTGGGCCAAATGTCACGCCCTGCCACACCTGGATCTGCTTCAGCAAGAGAAGGTGATGAACAAAATAATGCCCTGCTTGATGCAAATATTTCTTTTTTAAATTTTTATTATTTTATTTTATTTTTTTGTGATACAGTCTAACTCTGTCGCCCAGGCTGGAGTGCAGTGGCACAATCTAAGCTCACTGCAACCTCCACCTGGGTTCAAGAGATTCTCCAGCCTCAGCCTCCCAAGTAGCTGGGATTACAGGAACGTGCCACTACGCCCAGGTAATTTTTGTATTTTTTTAAGTAAAGACGGAGTTTCACCATTTTGGCCAGGCTGGTCTCGAACTCCTGACCTCAGGTGATTCACCCACCTAGGCCTCCCAGAGTGCTGGGATTACAGGCATGAGCCATGATGCCCAGCCAATGCAAATATTTCATAATACAAAGTGAAGGGGAAACTGCACTCAAGAGAGGACCAACGTTTGTAAATTCATGACCAGAAACAATTTGACACTGATAGTATCTACCTTAAAATTCAATAAAATAAGAAGACATAAATTAAAGATGACAATTTAAAATGAAAGGTGAGTTAAAAATAATATAAGCAATCTAATAACTCATTAATATTTTAAAGCAGATCTAACTCAAAAGAAAAAGAAATGGGGGCATACTTAGGGCAGTTCTCTCCGAATGCAGATGAAATGAATCATGTAAAGGTGGGATTTCAATTCAGTGGACAAAGGATGGTTCTGGTAATAGTGCTGGCATGACCAGCTATCTAACCGGGAGAGAAAGACGCACAGCTCACATCAGATTAAATAAAGAAAGGTGGATCAAACGCCTGTGTGTGTGTGTATCTGTGTGTGTGTCTGTGTGTGCACGTGCATAAAACAGAGAATGAAACTTAATAGTTTATTTGTAACAAATAAGATTGGAGAGGGAAAACCTTCAAACAAACAAAAAGAAATAACAAAAGAAAACACTAACAGTTAACATTATATAAAAATATAAACTTTTCTATGATACAGATGTTAAAGCCAAAGGCCTGTAGTGCACTGGGGATAAAAACACATCTTTGGGCAAGCACAGTGATTCACAATTATAATTCCAGTGATTTGGGAGACTAAGGTGGGAGGATCACTCAAGCCCAGGAGTTGAAGACCAGCCTCGGCAATAAAGTGACACCCCATCTGGACAAAAATTCGAATTAGGAAGGCATGGTGTTCGCCTGTAGTCCCCGCTATTTGGGAGGCTGAGTAGGAGGATCATTTGCGCCTGGGAGGTCAAGGCTTCAGTGAGCTGTGATCGTGCCACTGCACTCCAGCCTGGGTGACAAAGCAAGACCCTGTCTCAAAACAACAACAACAAAAAACAACCCCCCCAAAACAAAACGAAACAAAAAAACCCCGACATCCCTAATAAAATACTGACTTATAAACTGATGAAAGAAACAATCAGCTCAGTGAAAAAATAGGCAAAAGTGCTAAACTAGCAACTCTAGAAGAGAAAGTGCAATTGGTTAGTACACATAAAAATATGCTCAGAGAAATACAAATTAAAATCTAATAAGATAGTATTTTTCACTTATCCTATTGGCAAAAATAAGATCAACACTTTCTGTGGCTGCTCAGACTATGCAGAGATGGGCACGTTCATCAAGAGTGAAATGTCGGCCAGGTGCGGTGGCTCACGCCTGTAATCCCAGCACTTTGGGAGGCCAAGGCAGGCCGATCACGAGGTCAGGAGATCGAGACCATCCTGGCTAACACGGTGAAACCCCGTCTCTACTAAAAAATACAAAAAATTAGCCGGGCGTGGTGGCAGGCGCCTGTAGTTCCAGCTACTCGGGAGGCTGAGGCAGGAGAATGGTGTGGACCCGGGAGGTGGAGCTTGCAGTGAGCCAAGATCGTGCCACTGCACTCCAGCCTGGGTGACAGAGCGAGACTCCGTCTCAAAAAAAAAAACAAACAAAAAAAAGAAAGTGAAATGTCACAGCAGTCAAGTGAGTAACCTGGAGACATCTATTAAGATAAAAATGTGTATATTCTCTAGAGCAGCAGTCATAGTTTTAGAAATTCATCCTATAAAAATAAAATCACAACTATATAGGACTATATGAATAAGGACTCGTATTATAGCATTATTCATAACAAAGAAAACTATAACCTTGCTGGCATTAGTAAGACAATATTTGAATATTCCAGGGCACGTCCCTCCTGTGGAAGGCCATGCAGCTCTTAAAATGAGTTCTCTTTGTATGTATTGACCTGGAAGGATGCCCATGTTACATGAAATAAAAAGTGAAGGTGCAGCATACTGTGTAGAACACAGTCCTGTTTATATTTAAACATATATAAATGAAACCTATACATTTTATGATTAACAAAAAATATACACACTGTTACCAGTGATTACCTTGCAGGGTGAGTACTGAAGGAGGAGAAAGATTAGTATTTTTCTTGACACATCTCCATTTTGCTACCAGTATACCTAAATATTACTTCATAATTAGGAGAAAATCCAATACATTAATTCACCAATCTATTCATTTTTAAATTTCAACAAGACACATCTAGACTAAAAAGTCCATACTATATTTTCTGAGATTCTACAGTTTTGCTTAAAAATTAATTTATGGCCGGGCGCGGTGGCTCACGCCTGTAATCCCAGCACTTTGGGAGGCCGAGGCGGGCGGATCACGAGGTCAGGAGATCGAGACCATCCCGGCTAAAACGGTGAAACCCCGTCTCTACTAAAAATACAAAAAATTAGCCGGGCGTAGTGGCAGGCGCCTGTAGTCCCAGCTACTTGGGAGGCTGAGGCAGGAGAATGGCGTGAACCCGGGAGGCGGAGCTTGCAGTGAGCCGAGATCCCGCCACTGCACTCCAGCCTGGGCGACAGAGCGAGACTCCGTCTCAAAAAAAAAAAAAAAAAAAAAATTAATTTATGCAAAACTAGTGTTTTTGCTCCACGTCCTCTTGTTCTAATAATAAAATCATTCATATCCCAGCTCAACCTTCTATCTACAACTTATATTTAAAGTCCAGCTTGTTTCTCCTTCAAATTCTATTATTTGAGGAGGCTTTGAAGTTCTGAAACTATATTCATGAAAAAATGTAGAACAAAATGACATAAAGGGCCTGCAGAAACATAGCTGGTGATTAAAACTCAAGCAGCAGGCCGGGCGCAGTGGCTCACGCCTGTAATCCCAGCACTCTGGGAGGCTGAGGTAGACAGATCACAAGGTCAGGAGATCCACACCATCCTGACCAACACAGTGAAACTCCGTCTCTACTAAAAATATAAAAAATTAGCTGGGTGTGGTGGTGGGCACCGGTAGTCCCAGCTACTCAGGAGGCTGAGGCAAGAGAATGGCGTGAACCCGGGAGATGGAGGTTAGTGAGCTGAGACTGCGCCACTGCACTCCAGCCTGGGTGATAGAGGGAGACTCCGTCTCAAAAAAAACAAAAACAAAAACAAACAAACAAAAAACCTTAAGCAGCAGACGAGCTTCTGTATAACAACATTATTTAGCATTTTACAAATGCTTACAGATAAAAATACTCAGCAGTACCTGGAGTAAAGATAGGACAAAATGTGGGCTGCAAATACAGTGGTGCCTTTTAAGTTGAGGTTGCAGTTTTCTTAATGTTTATATTTAAAAACATCCAGCAAATGAGTTTTAAATCATCCCAACAACTCTGAATACGAGATAAAGAGCTCCCAGAATCTGCAGTCCTACTCGCAAGTATTTATTTTTACACAGAAGATATCAATGTCTCTTCCTTCTCACACCAAGCTAATGTTTCTAGTGATTCTGTGCTGTCTGGTTTGACACCCCAAAACATCTTCCTGAGTTTAAAGAGCACTCCTGTTCCTAATTTTCCTTTTATTAGACAGTAACTCTTGCCTTGTCTCATCCTTTGGATAAAATAGATACTAGCTTTCCTTTGGATAGCTAATAGCTCCATGCTGAGAACTGCAGGAGGTTTCTGCCTGATGGAGGTTGCTGAAATGGATTTGGATCTTCACAAACACAGGTATTTCTGGAAGTTTAAAATCACATTTCTGGAAGTTTAAAATCCACATAAAATTGTGGATCGCTCTGAGTTGAACACTAAGTTTCCAGGCTGAGTTTCACCCATGGGGCTTTTGGTGTAGTTGTCATTCAACTGTTTTCCATTAGATTTCTATTGCCACTGTCACCATGCTTACCTATCTGGCTTAACAGCATCCTTTATGATCAACTGCTGAGACCAGCTTGGTCGGGAGACCCTAACCCAGTGGCACTAGAGGAATTAAAGACACACACAGCAACATAGAGGTGTGGAGTGGGAAATCAGGGGTCTCAAGCCTTCAGAGCTGAGAGCCTCAAACAGAGATTTACCCACATATTTACTGACAGCAAGCCAGTGATAAGCATTGTTTCTATAGATTATAGATTAACTAAGACTATTCCTTACGGGAAACAAAGGGATGTGCCGAAATAAAGGGATGGGCTCTGGCTAGTTATCAGCAGCAGGAGCATGCTCTCCTTAAACAGATCGCTCATGCTATTGTTTGTGGTTTAAGAACGCCTTTAAGCGGTTTTCTGCCCTGGGTGGGCCAGGTGTTCCTTGTCCTCATTCCGGTTAACCCACAACCTTCAGCGTGGGCGTCATGGCCATCACAAACATGTCACAGTGCTGCAGAGATTTTGTTTATGGCCAGTTTGGGGACCAGTTTATGGCCAGATTTTGGGGGCCTATTCCCAACAATGAACGAAACATCTACTTGTGTTTAGCCCAGCAAGATTCTGGAAATCAAACCAAAGCTTAGTGGTACTTAGTTTCAGATGAGGTAATGAAGTCAGACCCTGTGTAAAGAGGCACAATCAAGACCCCACAGAAGGAAGCCAAACTTTCTGACTTCTTCGGAATAAGCATTACTCAGATCTGCTCTGCCACTGTGCCCTCTCAACATTCCAGCTGCAAATAACTCTTCTTCATGAGACCTGTACTTTCTTTTTTCAGTACAACTTCATTTTATTCTCCAAATAAAAGACTGCTGAAGCTTCTGAGAAAAAGAAAAAAGCGAAGGATCATCTTTGATCATGCAGTGAGCTGATTCCAAAATGTGGACAAAAAGCAGACTCAAAGGCAATGATTCCGAGAAACAGTGAATGTCACAAGGAGACACCTGGGCTCTTTATAAAGAGGTAATTTCTCTTCTACACATTCCCCCTTTCATACAGAGATGGCTGTGGCTCCCAATCATGGGAAGAGCTGGGCTGTCTTTCTTCCACCAAATGCTCTGCTAGCTGACAGAGCCCACGGAGAGGTGAAAATAGAAATGGGGAGGGAGAGGCTGTAAAGGAGTTACCCTAAGGCAACACGGTCTTAGTTCACAAACGCAAGAATTTCCAGCTTACACTGTCCTACAGGGACAAGCTAATGTCCAGGATAGGCCAATGGGTTTTAATTCCTACTGCTCCAATTTTTTGGAAGCCAAAGGTTTTCGGACATAAAAAAAATGTCAGACTACAAATGCCTGTACTAGGCTCCTCCACCAGAACTTCTCCAACAAAGAACTGTGTGGTGAAGCAGAGATGCCCATGATGAACACCACAGGCCCCTCCAGAATTTACAGAGAGGCTTGTGCTTCCCTCTACTGTCAAGGCCAAAAAACTTTTTTTCTTTCATAATTTCAACCTAAAAATCCTAAAGGCCTAAGAGAAGCTTATGTCCACACCGTTCAAATCTGTAAAGATGCGGATTAGGGAATAGGGAGGCAGACACAGCTATTTAGAATTATAGACTGTGTATCTATGTCATAAATGTAAACTATAAAAAAAAGTACTATGTGAGTCAACAGATAAGGCTGGCTACAGTAAGAGGATATCAGAGGACCAGGTTCTACATTAAGGGCCAAATTAAATGCCAGAAGCCCCTGTTCGTCATGGGTGCTAAGGTGAAGTCTGTTCAGAAACTGTTTAGGAATCCTTAGCGGAATGGGCTCCCTCCACCTGGGACAGGGGGTCGGTACCAGAGCATCTGCAGCGAGAGAGCTTGAAAAGGGACCTTAGGGACCCAAGAATCTATACCTCCAACTTCTGCCCTTCCCCTCTCTGCAGCAGCTAGAGAACATGTGCTGAGCGGCTGTGACCCATTAGAGCCATCAGAGCAACACAGAGGGCAGTGCGGGCACATGCAGCGACGCTCGGGCTGACACTGATGTGCACACACGGAGTTAAGCCAATTCCAGCGGAGTCTGCACATGCTGTGCTGCCACAGTGCTCACCTCCGAGAGGGGACAACCCAAGAACTGGTGGTGCAGGCAAAACACATTCGAATCACAGACATTCTATTTAGATACCAATAGCATTAATTAGGCACAGATGTTAAGTGTGTTTAATGATCTCTTTTAAAGATGTTTTCCATGGATGTTTACTGGTGTTATATAAACACTGTAAGAATTAGGTAAGTCACCCTGAAATAACAGCATTTACTGTTTCAGAACAAGAGAAATAAACAAACACAGTAAATGCAGAGGTCTTTCCCCGCTGCTGTTAGAGAAGCCTTGTGTCATGCACTGCTCATCAACAATGGGGAAACCACTGTGTCAAAGAGGTTCAAAGGATTGTATCAGAAAGATGCTAAGGCTGGCACAGGAATTTCTGACTCTCCCACCAGGGAAAGGTCAGCTGAACAACCAGTCCAGAGAATAGCAGAGCTTAAACGGACCTTGAAAACTACTCACTTTTCCCACCTCTTTTAACAGAGGCAGGAGACGGGGCTGGGAATGAGATATTGCTAGTTGGCTGCAAAGATGAGGCTGAGAATGAGATACTGCTGGTTGGCTGCAAAGACGAGGCTACCACCTTCCTTCCCCATATACCTTAACATCACTTATTCTAACTCTGAAATACAAATATTTTTGAAAGTGTAACAGGGCTGAAGATCATTGATGAGTTAGATAATATCCCACTGTGTAGCCACTGAGTTCCGGCAATAAATGCTGATTTGCATTCCTGCCTGGGTGCTTCATCTCATGCCTATCAGCATGGCTGCAACCATCCCCGCGAGTGCCCATGGGGGCAAACAGTTTAAGAACCAGGTAATCCCGTGTCAGGATCCAGGTGCTTTTTGGGTGTTCTTACCTTCTCTCAGTTGTACTTGAAGATCTCATCAGAGAATGTTCTGCAAGTTATTTTGCTGTGGCTGAACCAAGGATGACTTTTGAGTTCTCATTAGATGACTGCCAAAGTCAAATTGAGTTTCAATCAAGAACTCATTCAGCCAAGATGGAAACACTGGCTGGCTTCGGGAGCTTGGAGGGTGTGAGTTGGTTTTAGTTCTTGCTCATGGGGTAGGTTCCAGGAGTGACCGAGCCATGAGCGAGTAATTACCCAATAGTCAACTCTTCAGAGGTGACAGCTTGCCAGAGAAGTGCAAAATCAGACAAGAAACCATCACTGGCACTTGTCTGACTTCCTGCCAAACACAATGGCAGGCAAAATCATCATGATGCCTGATTTCAGTACCATGACACGTTCTCATTGGTGTCAGTTCCAAAATTTGAACTGTTTTGTGGTAAGGGATTAAACTGCTATATTGAGAAAGTAATGTTGCAAATCACCGGAAAATCAAAAAAGAAAATTCTGTGTTTAAAAAAACAATGACGTTAAGACTGAAGATGCAGGATGCAGCATAGGGAGTCCTAAACTGCCAGGATGCATGCGGAGATTTCCTAGAATACCAGGGTTCACACTGCATGGTATGGCCTGTGTCTCACAGTATACATAAGAAATGCAGCAGCTCATACAAGAACCTGGTTATTCAGGGCTACCATGGAAACTTAGGACTTACCTTTTACCATTTATCATTAAAATAGCGTCCATGTGAAGCAACACAAGTTCTGACTGGGATCTTCTTCCAATGACAGACAATAGGGAAGCAAGACAGAGGCAAACAAACAACAGCAGACACAGAGGCCACCCTGAATGCCCTCACTGCTGTTTCAACAGGGAACACTGCAAAATCTAGTTTTCCTAAAATCCACATCCTTTGGTGGCCAGAGGGTAGAGGTCCGGCTATAAAGTAATGATCTTGTCTGGTGCAACTGTAGTCCCAAATACTCTTAAATGTCACTATTAGCAGAGCTCTCTGGGCTGATAGGCTATGTGTTTCTTCCCATCCAGAGCAGAGGGGAATGTCATACATCAGCCAAATGCATGTTTTCCACTCTTTTTAAAATAAAGTGAGTTATGTCAAGGCCTGTTGAAGTAGCCCATGGGTGTTGTCAAATAAGTAGGCACATCCCTGGGCCGGGAGGAATGTGTCCTTATTTGGTGGCTCCTCCCCTCAGGAGTGATTCCAGCTTCTCCCACTGCATGGGAGTGACCTGTGCAAGGTGGTGGGTTCGTATTTATCAGTGTGCACTCCCTGCACTAATAAATACTAAGATTCAAGGAGCATCCTAGACAGGACTTCTATTCTTTAAGCCTAGCAGGATACTTGGCTAGAACTGGCCCTTCATATGTAAGTGAGAAGCTTAGCAGCCCCTTATGCTGCTAAGCATGGCAGAAACTGGGCACTGGATGGAATGTTCCTAGTGATGCGGTAGCACTGGTAATGCAGACTGATCCCAGAAAAGAAACAGCAGAGCCTTGCACAGAGAGACATGAAGCGTCTCATCCCTACCAGGGAGCCCCACGCACAGTAATTAAGTGAAAAGCAAGCATGGCCTGGGTGCCCACTAGACTCACGGAGGGGCAGCTCTGCTGGAAACCACCCTGCCGCAGCCCTGCACATCCCCCAGCTCCTTCTGCAGCCAGGCATTCTCCTCCTCCTTCTCCTTCTCCTCCAGCAGTTCAGCAGTTTCCTCTTCACAGTGCCCAGCTCCTGCTGGGCTTCTCACTTGACATTGTTGGCCACTGCCACCGCAGTCTGCAGATCCGGCTGGAACCACCTCCATTCCATGGTCTTCTTCTGAAAATGCCAGAGCCCAACCCTGTGTCAGATGCCTGCCAGGGCTGGTGCCTGGGCAGAGACTCCAGAGCCCCTGTATCAGTCACCAAGAAAGAACAGCCAGCAGTGCTTAGTGAGGCCCTGCTTTCACGGTGTCTTGCTGCTAGGAAAAGGCACTGGTGGAAATTACACCTTCAGGTTATGAGAGCTCTCCATCCTGACAACAAATGACTGCTTTGATTTTACTTCCTGCTGGCAAGAACTTACAGTTTCAGGACCCATGTCATGAAAATGTTCCAAGATAAAGCAGGATAGAGAGAGTGATCCAGACCTTGGAGGGGTAATTTATAGGAAGATGGTGGTGAAGGCTCCTGCCACATCTCCCCTGTATCTGCTCAGTCAGAGTCTTTAGCTGCCTCCCCAGATCTGACTTCTGTTTCTCCAGCTTGATCACATTACCTAGAAATAGACAATTCAGACAGGCCTTGGAAGAGTTGTGAGACTCTTGAGAGAAGATAAGTCAGGTAGCAAAGGGGCAGCTCCACATGCCACAGCAGGTGTTCAAATCTACTCTAAATGCATTCTACTCTAAATGCAACTTTTAGCAATTTCAATTTACCCTGCAAAGAGGGGCTGGAAGCAGCAAGTTCCTCCAAAATAGGGAACACGATGATCTGAAAAACACATGGTGCATATTGAGGTTACAGTCTCAGCAGACAGGATGCACAACCAAATAGCACTACGGGAAGAGGCCTCCTTGGCCACACACACTTGCACACCGAGCCCGGCCTCCCTCGCACTCACACGCAATCATCCTGAGTGTCCTTTATTGCTGTGAGATAGAGGCTTTCACATAACAGAGCACATGACTGCTTATTCCTCCTGTGGTTTGTAAAGCACTTTCCAGAGTCGTGGGTCTCAACGGCAGTTAAGCCTCTGAATCATTGGTGAAGCTTTTCAAAAGCACTGATGTTCTAGTCCACACTCCAGACACCTGGAGGCAGAATCTCCAAGGGCAGACAGAACCCGAGGATGTGTGCATTTGACATCTTCCCAGGTGGCTTGCCTGCCTCTCCCTACTTAAGGACACCTGCAACCCTTCGTTCTCCTCGCCTCCAATTCTCTCCATATGGCTATCAGAGTCATTCGAGTTTAAATCTGATGGTGTCAGTCACCAAGCTGAAATTCCTCAATAGGTCCTCATGCTCTAACCTAGAGCAGTTTTCTATGAAGGCTGTGAATCAGAATCACCAGAGAAGGCTAAAAAGATGCTTGTGGGCAGGTCCTACCCCAGCAGTTCTAGTTCTAGTGGGCCTGGGAGTCTGAGTCTGGGATTATTCTGCTGAGTAGAAAACACCCCCTAATTTCCTTTCATTTTTCAGTCCATTTCTCTCCCATCAGGATCTCATGGGAAGGAGTGATCGGTCTAGGGCTGTGTCTCGGGGTCTCTGAGCAAAAAGATATCTGAATAATACTTCAAAATCCTTTTAAAAAGTTTAACAGCTTTTCAAAAGATGGCTTGGGTTATTGTCAGTCCTGGATATATGATGATATAACCACAGGGGTGGGCCTAAATTTTGCTGTGGACATTAATTATACACTGGTTTTCTTGGTGTGTCTGTGCTGACTTTTAAGGATTTAGGGACAATACAACCCCATTCTCAACAGCAAAATATCACAAAAACAAAAACAAAACAGAACAGAACTTGTCTTCTTTGACTTTTCTTCACAATCATGGTGCTGGGTTTGGAAGGATACACTGATGATAATGGTGTCCAGGTTTTCAGCTGTATCCTGAGAACAGCCTGGATGGCACCGACACTGAATGCTGAGGTTCCACAGTTCTACTGCGTGTCATGTTCAAGAAGAAACGAGGCAGGTGCTGTCAACTCTCACTCTAACCAACTAATCAATATCTGGAATACACAGTCAATTCTCAGGTTCGTGCACAGAGTTGCATCTGGCAATATCTCCATAAAACAAGCAAGTCTCATCAGCAGTGGAAACTCATTCTTCCCATTTCCTTCTTCCTAACACTGAGGAAGTATTTTTAAATTTTTCCTCAGTCTCCTGATCTGCACAACCTGCCTTGCCTGCAACGTTAACCATTCTCACACCTTACAGCCTTTCGAAACCTAGGAGCCGACCAGCACTAACCAAGAAGGATTTAATATTTTCCTGACCTGAGATGATGTGCACGTACGTGTCTTTGGTTTTCAGTCTCACAATAATGTTGCCCACTGCTTTTTAAAATTGGCCGTCTTCTCATGAATCCATAAATTTGGCTGCTTTTCCATCTTTTCCACAGCTGCATCACACTCTACAGATGTCCCTTTAGCATGTCAGGGCAGCTTTACATACATATTGTTGAACTTCCTCTCCCTTTCTCTGATGTACTGTGTTGTCGATTCAGTAACTCAGGCTTAACAGCACAGGAGCTCATGCCTTCAAGAAACTTCCGTAACATACGTGTCTTCTCTGCAGGTCTCTCTCAGCCTCCCTGCGCTTAGGGACAGTGGACAGCACTGCAGCACTGCAGCACTGCACTTGGGGCCATTTTAAACAGCGAAGTCACCAAAACCACGCAAAAAAATGCTAAAAGCACAGTACTAAACAGACCATGGAAAAGACATATGTACAGTATGAGAAGGTAAAGTGTCTGTCTGACCTCAGTGGGGAGCATAAGCACTGGATGACTCAACGTTTTCACTTCTCTGTGCATGTCCAAAAATGACAAAAATGACTCAGTGGAAGTACTCTGCCTGTTGATTTGGGGGTTAAAATACATTTGAGCAGCTGGGCGCAGTGGCTCATGCCTGTAATCTCAGCACTTTGGGAGGCCAAGGCGGGTGGATCACCTGAGGTTGGGAGTTCAAGACCAGCCTGACCAACATGGAGAAACTCCGTCTCTACTAAAAAAATACAAAATTAGCCGGGCATGGTGGCGCATGCCTGTAATCCCAGCTACTCGGGAGGCTGAGGCAGGATAACCTCCGGTGAGCCAAGATTGCACCATTGCACTCCAGCCTGGGCAACAAGAGCAAAACTCCATCTAAAAAAAAAAGAAATTTTTAGCAAGCAGGTGAATTCACAAATGTGCAATCTGTGAATCTGTGAATAAGGAGGATCAACTGCACGGTGTGGGGAACTTCTCAGGCAACTGACCAGGCTATTCTTAGTAATGATTGGTGTGACCTAAATGCTTTGCCCATTAAACCTTTTTTTTTTTTTTTTTTTGAGGCAGAGTTTCACTCTGTTGCCCAGGCTAGAGCGCAATGGTGTGATCTCAGCTCACTGCAACCTTCACCTCCTGGGTTCATGTGATTCTCCTGCCTCAGCCTCCTAAGTAGCTGGGATTACAGGCACCCGCCACCTCACCTGGCTAATTTTTGTATTTTTAATAGAGACAAGGTTTCATCATGTTGGCCAAGTTGGTCTCAAACTCTTGACCTCAGGTGATCCACCCACCTCGACCTCCCAAAGTGCTAAGATTACAGGCGTGAGCCACCACACCTGGCCATGTCCATTAAGTCTTTTGTCACAAAAGCGAAGCACATTAGATGTGATAATTTGATAAGGCTCATTTGGACAAAGCAGGCAACGTTTAATCCCTTTTAAAAATTTCTTTTCCCAAGTCAAAGTAAACAATGAGCTCATAAGCCACATAATGATGCCTCTTCAGCAACTAAGTGGCCAACATCTGTAAGTTACTTGATATCCTACCATCAATGGCACACATGCAGGAATTGTTTTCTTCCTTAGACCAAGAGCACACATTTTTCATCCACTCTGACACCTATCATCCAACTCTATCAGCTCCAAGAGACAACACATTGTCAATGCTTGGTGACAACACAGTGTCAATGCTTGGCAAGGTATTTCTTCTGAATAACCCATTCCTACCCCACAGAATGTCCTTAGGAAAAGTCCCTGTGAACTCTCACACAGTCACAGCTGAAGTGTCCCAACTTGTGGCCTCCAAGCCGATCAGGCTGCTCAGAGACAGTGGCAGCAGCATGGCTCACACACAGCACATCTAGCACAGACAAGAAACATTTGTGGCTGGGTACAGTGATTCACATCTGTAATCCCAGTGCTCTGGGAGACTGATTTGGGACAATCGCTTGAGCCCACAAGTTTGAGGCTGTGGTGAGTATGGTCATACCACTGCACTCCAGTCTGGGAAACAGACTGAGACCCTCTCTCTAAAACAACAACAAACAACAAAGCATTTGCTATTTTTCACAGTCACTTATGTTACTTACTCTTTTCTTCTGTTATCCAGTTTTCAACTTAGTTTAAGAGATTAATGATTGTTTCTTAGGTGACATTCTTCCCGGGAGATTATAGCACACTCAAATGAAAGACTCTTCATAAACCCCAGCCAACACACGGTCAAAAACCTTCCCACAGTCACCCACTGCTGCTGGGTTCTTTAGTGTCCTACTCACTTCCAATCCACATTTCACCTGGGCTTGACCCCACTTATTTTTTAGCTCACTGATAAGTTGAGTACTGTGTAACTTGATAACCCAGTGCTGTTCCACCTGATCTTCCAGTGCAAACATGGTTTCTTTCATGTCTTTGATCTCTGCATCACTCTCTGATGATGCTTCTTGCAGCTTTAGGCTGGTTCTGTTTAGCTGTTCTGCTTGGTGATTACACATCTCCTTCAGGTATGAATAATCTTTTTCCACTTAAAATAAAAGGAAAGTTCCCTGGTCAGTTTAACAACAAAGTTCCCGCAGCGATCAGTCCACTACAAGCCAAAGCCCCATCATGACACAATATACCCATGTAACAAACCTGTACACGAACCCCCTCAATCTAAAATAATACATCACAAAAAACCCCTGGCAAGTCAGCAGCAGGCTCATGGACACAGTGGCAAAGACGCCTTTGGCATGTGCTGTTTCTTGCATTATTAGCCTCAGAAACAGCCGAGGCCACGAACAGTCAGAGAAACATGATGTATGCTTCCAAATGGCTGGATTCTGTACCCCTTCCTACAAGCGAAAGGGAAATCTGCACGCATTTAAATATTCCTCTTTCCTGCAGCTGGGGGAGCAGTGCTTCCCTGGGAGGCACTGGCCCTGTACCAAGAGGGCTGCCTGGTGTGGCCGCCCCACCGCACATCAGCTATGGGGTGGCGCCCTCTGCTGCTGAGCTGTGAACAACGCCCCTGAAGCAAGGCTGATCTTCAATCTCCTTAGCCATAAGATACTTAGCAGTAAGTTACAATGTTTCTTTAGAGAAATACACTATGAACCTGATAGAGAACCACAGTGGAAGGCACAGAGCACTGAAACATACACATACCAGAAGCAGAAAAGTGGCACAGTACAGTCCTTCCACCTGTTCAATTTTTGATTGTTAATATTCTAAATATACAGGAAACTACCAAGAATAATGATAAACAGGTACTCAGACTTAACAATAGTTAAATTTTGCCACATTTGCAAAATCTTTTTATTCTAGGAAGAATTTTTTAAAGCTTCAATGTACCCTCCCACCTCAGAGAGTAATAAGCATTATCCTAAAATTGCTATGTGGTCATCCCTTGAATGGTTTTTCACTTTTACTATATATGTATGTATCCATGATAATGCCTAGTATTGTTCTGGGTGTTTTGAGTGTTTTACACAATGTTATATATACTATATTGTGCTTTTAGAGTGTCGGGTTTGTAACATGGTAATATGCTCTATCCCTCACCATCTATGCTTATTATGCCCTTGCACCTTGCTTTTAGCTGTGTTTTCAAAATGTATCCATACTGGTACACATCCTGCTAGGTGGCTACTTTAGTTGCTGCATAGTATTCCACTGTCTTCAGAAGAAACTATCAACAGAGTAAACAGACAACCTATAGAATGGGAGAAAATATACATTGTTAAGGTATATATTAACAAAGGGAAGCCAGGCAGGTGGCTCAGGACTGTAAACCCAGCCCTTTGGGAGGCCGAGGTGAGTGGATCACCTGAGGTCAGGAGTTCGACACCAGCCTGGTCAACATGGTGAAAACTCCGTCTCTACTAAAAAATACAAAAAATTGGCCAGGCACGGTGTCTCACGCCTGTAATCCCAGCACTTTAGGAGGCCGAGGCAGGTGGATCACTTGGTCAGGAGATCGAGACCATCCTGGCCAACAGGGTGAAACCCTGTCTCTATCAAAAATACAAAAATTAGCTGGGCGTGGTGGCATGTGCCTATAATCCCAGCTACTTGGGAGGCTGAGGCAGGAGAATCACTTGAACCAGGGAGTCAGAAGTTGCAGTGAGCCGAGATTGCGCCACTGTACTCCAGCCTGGTGACAGAGTGAGACTCTGTCTTAAAAAACAAAAAACAAAAAATTAGCCAGGTGTGGTACCAGGCGCCTGTAACCCCAGCTACTTGGGAGGCTGAGGCAGGAGTATCGCTTGCACCCTGGAGGTGGAGGCTGCAGTGAGCCATTGCACTCCAGCCTGGGCAACAAGAGTGAAACTCCATCTAAAATAAATAAATAAAAATAAAAAGGAACGCAGCAAGAAGATATAACAATTATAAATTTATATAAACCTAATAGCAGGATCCCAAAGTATATTTTTAAAAATTGACAGAATGAAAGGGAGAAATACTCTTACACTAATACTAGGACATTTCAATACTTCACTTTCAATAATAGAACAACCAGACAGATCAATAAGAAAATACAGGACTTGAACAACACTACAAACCAACTGGACACAACAGACACATACACAACACTCCACCCCACAACAGGAGAATACACATTCCTCTCAAGTGCACATGGTACGTTCTCCAGGATAGACCACATGTTAGGCCACAAAACAAACCTTAACACATTCTTAAAAATTTAAAATAATTCAAAGTATCTTTTCTGATCACAATGTTATAAAACTACAAATCAATAACAGAAGGAGAACTGGAAAATTCACACATGTGGAAATTAAACACACTCTTTCTCAACTGGTCAAAGAAGAAATGACAAGGGAAATTTGAAAATATCTTGAGACAAAGGAAAATGAAAAGGCAACATGCCAAAAGTTATGGGATACAATAAAACAATGTGAAGAGGGAAGTTTATGTAAACGCATACACTGAAAAAGAAGAAACATAACCAGATCATAACCTAATTATACACCTTGAGGAAATAGAAAAGGAAGAGCAAACCAAACCCAAAGCTAGCAGATGGAAATAATGATTACAGCAGAGATAAACAACATACAGATGGAAAAACAATAGAGAAAATCAACAAAACCAAAAGCTAGCTCTTTAAAAGATCAACAAAATTAGCAACACATTAGCTAGACTAATAAAAAGACTCAAATTATCAAAATCAGAAATGAAATTTGTTAAGAAAAAGAGAAAACTCAAACTATCAAAATCAGAAAGGAAATTTACTAAGAAAAAGAGAGAAGACTCAAATTATTAAAATCAGAAGTGAAATTGGAAACAGTATTACTTATTTTATGAAAATAAAAAAGATTATAAGAGAATACTATGAACAGCAGTATACCAATAAATTTTATAACCTGGATAAAATGGGCATATTCCTAGAAACACACAATCTACCAAAACTGACACATTAAGAAACAGAAAATCTGAATAGACCTACAACTGGTGAGGAAGTGAGGAGACTGAATCAGTAATAAGAAACCTACTGGCCGGGTGTGGTGGCTCACACCTTTAATCCTAGCACTTTGGGAGGCCGAGGCGGGCAGATCACTTGAGGTCGGGAGTTCAAGACCAGCCTGACCAACATGGAGAAACCCTGTCTCTACTAAAAATACAAAAATTAGCCAGGTGTGGTGGCACATGCCTGTAATCCCAGCTACTCAAGAGGTTGAGGCATGAGAATCGCTTGAACCCGGGAGGCAGAGGTTGCAGTGAGCCGAGATTGTACCATTGGACTCCACCCTGGGCAACAAGAGCAAAACTTTGTCAAAAAAAAAAAAAAAAAAAAAAACAATGACAAGCACAAGACCAGATTGCTTTACTAGTGAACCCCACCAAAACATTTAAAGAATCAACTCTAATTCTTCTCAAACTCTTCCCAAAAATCAAAGAGGAGGGAACACTTCCTAACTCATTCTATAAAGTCAGCATTACACTGATACCAAAGCCCAATGAAGCCATCACAAAAAAGAAAATTACAGACCAATATGCCTTAAGTATTTAGATGCAAAAATTCTCAATAAAATATTAGCAAAGTGAACCCAACAGCATATCAAAGAAATTATTCACCATAACCAAGTGGAATTTATTCCTGGAGTGCAAAGATGGTTCAACATAAAAAAAACAATCAGTAAAATGCACCACATTAAAAAAATTAAAAGGCCAGGCATGGTGGCTCATGCCTGTAATCCCAGCACTTTGGGAGGCTGAGGCGGGTGGATCATGAGGTCAGGAGATCAAGACCATCCTGGCTAACATGGTGAAACCCCATCTCCACTAAAAATACAAAAAATTAGCCGGGTGTGGTGGCGGGTGCCTGTAGTCCCAGCTACCTGGGAGGCTGAGGCAGGAGAATCGCTCAAACCCAGGAGGCAGAGGTTGCAGTGAGCCGAGATTGCACCACTGCACTCCAGCCTGGGTGACAGAGTGAGACTCCATCTCAAAAAAAAAAGGAAAAAAATTACAGAAAAAACTATGTTCATCTCAGTTGATGCAGAAAAAACAATTTAAAAAATCCAATACTTTTTCATGATAAAAACACAAGAAACTAGGGTAGAAAGTAACTTCCCTATCATGATAAAGGCCATATTTGAGAATCCCACAGCTAACAACATTCTCAGTGGTGAAAGAGTGAAAGCTTTCCCCTAAGATCAGGAACAAGATCAGGATGCACACATGTCACTTCTCTTCAACATAGCCAGAGCACTTATGCAAGAAAAAGAAATAAAGATATAAACATTGGAAAGGAGAGCATAAGAATATCTCTGTTCACAGACAACATAATCTTCTATGTAAAAAACACTAACAATTCCACTCAATGGGGAAAAGGACAGTCTCTTCAACAAATTACGCTGGAAAAACTGGCTATCCATGTGCGTGAATGAAGCTGAATCCTTATCTGACACCATATACAAAAATTAACTCAAAATGGGCTACAGGCTAAAACTATAAATGTTTTAAAAGAAAACACAGGAGAAAAATCTCCATCAACTGAATTTGGAAATGATACTTTGGATATGGCAACAAAGGCACAGACAATGAAAGAAAAAAATTAGATAAATTGAACTTCATGAAAATTATAACTTGTTTTAATTTTAATAGGACCAAAGGATACTACTGAGAGAGTAAAAAGACAAGTCACAGAATAGAAGCAAATATTTGCAAATATTAAAACTCAACAGTAAGTAGTGTGCAAAATGAAATTAAGGGCTGTAAAAAACAATACTGAATAGGCAAAGTACTTGAGAGTTGTTAGTTGGCTCAAGAAATCTAGAGAGAAGTGGAAGTTCAAAGAACGTGGGTGGTGTTGTGTGTCTGGACTAGACCGTGGGCTTCCTGAGGCCAGGGACTCTGCCATATATACGCATGGTAGGCTCTCTGGCAGTATTTGTTGGGTGGATGCATAGGTGACTAGGACATTCCAACTGGAACGCAGGTTGGACCCATACCGCAAACAGTCTTCATTGCTAAGTAAGAGTATCCAGAATATATTAGTATCCAGAATATATTAATATAAAGAATGCTTATAACAGAATAACGAAAAGACAAATTTCAAGAGACATTTTACCATAAAAGACATATGACTGGACAACAAGCACATGAAAAGATGCTCAACATCATTTGTCACTAGGGAAATGCAAACCCAAACCACACTGAGATACCACCTCATACCCCCTGGGAAGGCTAGAGTGAGAAAGATGGTCAATAACAAGTGTCAGTGAAGATGTGGAGAAATCGGAACCCTCGTGCACGAAGTAAATTATAAAATAGTGCAGCTGCTCTGGAAAGCAGTTTGGCAGGTCCTTAAAATGCTAAATGTAGAATTATCATATGACCCAGTAATTCCACTTCTAGGTATCCATCTACTCAAGAGAAATGAAACATGTTCACCCAAAACTTGAACCCAAAAGTTCATGGAGGCATTATTAACAATCACAGTGACCAAAAAAGTAGAAACAACCCAAATGTCCATCCACCGATGACTGGAAAAGCCATATGACATATCCATAAAGTGGAATGTTACTTAGCCACAAAACTGAAGCAAGTACTGATACCTGCTACAACATGGACAGCCCTTGAAAACATTATGCCAAGTGGAAGAAGCTAGTCACAATACATCACATATTGTATGATTCCATTTATGGAAAATGTCCAAAACAGGCAAATCTATAGAGACAGATAATAAATTAGTGGTAGCCTAGGGTAGGGGAGGAATGAAGATTGACAAGGTTTCTTTTTGGGGTGATCAAAATTAGTTCTAAATTAGTTCTAAAAATATGTTCTAAAATTAGTTAGGGTGATTGTTGCATAACTGTGTAAATACACTAAAAAACAGACTTGTACACTTTACACAGGTGAACTTTATGGCATGGAAATTACATCTTAAGAAAACTGCTTACTCGAGGGGAGGCGAGAAGGGAGCAGTTGGTGGACAAAGAGGGAAAAAAGACTTTATTAATAATCTTTCAATACATTCTGAGTTTCAAATCATCTGACTATATTATCTATTCAAAAGCAAATCTAAAATCAAAGGATCAAACAAAATTAAAAACAGACTCCTAATTCTCCCCCAGTTTGGGCTGGGGAGTGGAGAAGGAGGGAGCTACCACCCACCCTGCCATAGTGTGAAGCAGTGGCTGAGTAAAGTCCGGCAGTGGATCCTATGTGACAAGGGCAGCCTTGGGGAGGCTCCAGGGCCCATTCATGGCCTGGAAGCCACCAAAGCCACCGGACCTGAGGGGGAGATAATGCCCGACTGACCTGATGGCAGATGCCCAACTGATCAGAGAAGCTGTCCATGCCCTTCCTCCTCTACTGCTATCTCAACCTACATAAAATCCCAGAACCCCCATCAAGCCCAAAGAGGAGCATGAAAACCCTAAGACTGACACCAGCCAGGTGGAGTAGAAGCTTGAGGGAGAAGCTCCATTAACAGAAAGGGAAGAAAGGGAATTCCTCTCTGACACTAGCTCTGTGGGCTGGGCTCACACCCTGGACTACCGCAGACTGGGATGTAGCACGGAGACTCTTTCCTGCACCCTGAGACCAGAGAGCAGCCAAGGAGGGTGATTCTCAGAGCTCTCTACTTGTGCCTCCTCACACACTTGGCCGGTTAACAGGTGTTGCACCAAGAAAGAGCTCTGTGGTCAATTAGCTTGAAAAATGCTGGGTTAAAGAAAGTCAAAAAATTTTTTTAACTGCAGGACTTCTCAGAGCCTTTTCTTGTGACTCTTCAAGAGGGAGTCTGGCAGGTTCAAAGCACTTTTGTGTTTTTGAGGGATATCTAATAGGAAAGACAGTCTTCTTCATTTTACAGCTGAGGGGAAGTGGCTCAGCCAAGGTCCCAGAGGGGGTCAATGAACAACTGGCCAGGGCTGATTTGGCAGCACCAGACAGCTTCTGCCACTGCCAGGTCACAGTTCTGGCTGGGTTCTGACTCGTGGTGCCAGAGCACTGGGCAATTTCATCCTGTGTCGAGGCAGCCTCTGGTCACTGCCTTATCCAGCTCGCTCAGAAACTGTATGTATTTGAGCCCCTGGTCGGGTACATGTCTGGGATATGGGTGGTGAGCACAAAAGATGATCAGAGAAAAGATTTGCTCCCCGCCTGGGGTGTGGGGACAGAGCAGCAGGGAAAGGCTGTGAATCTAGGCTGTCTCCGGGGTCCATCTGGCGGTGGGTTCCATCTGCACAGCGAGGCACCTGCAGTTTTCCCCTCAATCTGTTGAATGTAAATCAGCTGCAACCCCTCCCAGCCCCGTGCCTGCACCTCGGGTCTCAGGAGCCCAGGTGGGTGGCTGGGGTCTAGGCTCCTAGCATCCCATGAGGCACTGCCCACCAGTGCGCACAGAGCAGTGGAAGGCCTGCCTGGCCCTGGGATAAGGTATCAACTATGGGATGGCCCGAGTCTTCAAGATCTGGCCTTGGTCAAACCCTTGGTCCTGATCTCCTGCCCCCCCTCCGCCACACACCCAAGGCCAGCTCTCCAGCCTCCCAGCATCACTCAGGCCTTTCCTTTTTCCTGGACATACTTATTCATTGCCTGGTCAGCTCCTCCTGCTCCTCCTTCAAGGTTCCACTGAGGTGTCACCTCCTCCAGGAAGCCATCCCTGACTTCCCCAGCCCAAGTCAGGTGGTGTTCATTCTCTGTGTCTCGTTTGTCCTGTCCAACATCTAGCAGAGCACTTGAGAGGCTGAACCCCAGGGCCAGACAGCCTGGGTTTGACCCTGCTGCACACCAGCGGAAGGCCTTGGTAGCAATTTATGAAACTCCTCTGTGCCTCTGTGTTCTCTGTGTAAAAGTGGATGAGAACATTGCCCATCTCACAGGTGGTTATGAGCATGAAGTGAGGGAGCACAGTTACATTCTTAGAGCAGATTCTTGGCACACAGCAAGTCCTCAATACAGGCCGTGGAGGATGAACATTATGGCCCATATTGCACTGCATGGCAACTGCACTCCTCTGTCTTCCCCATCCTCTGAAACCTCCCAGGGGATGGGAAGCCCAGCAACTGTCAAAGGTGGAGTGAGAGGAACGTAAAAGCCAAAGAAAGCCCATGGGCCCTTAGGAAGAAACTGAAGGACAAGGAGGACGCGGGCAGGTGGAGAGGAAGGAGGGAGGCTCCGGGAAGCAGCTGGAGCAGGGTGATAGTGCACAGAGCAGGAGAGGAGATGCAAATGGTCAGGAAACACAGGAAAATGTCCAGTCTACCAAAAATCAGAAAAACAACTGAACAATGAAAAATTCCCAGCTCATAATTATAGAATAGTCCATACAAAGAAAAACACTAAAATGAAAATAAAGATAATATTTAAAAAATTTTTTGTGTAGCTGGCATTACATTGAGGACACAATTGGACCAGGACACATTATGGGACACAAATAAACAAAATTATGTCACCTCTTTCATAAACAGTATGTATCTCCTTTTTAATAAAGAGAGCTGGGGCCGGGCGTGGTGGCTCATGCCTGTAATTCCAGCACTTTGGGAGGCCGAGGTGGGCGGATCACGAGGTCAGGAGATCGAGACCATCCTGGTTAACACGTGAAAACCTGTCTCTACTAAAAATACAAAAAAAAAAACTTAGCCAGGCATGGTGGCGGGCGCCTGTAGTCCCAGCTACTTGGGAGGCTGAGGCAGGAGAATGGCGTGAACCCAGGAGGTGGAGCTTGCAGTGGGCCCAGATCGCACCACTGCACTCCAGCCTGGGCGACAGAGCGAGACTCTGTCTCAAAAATAAATAAATAAAACAGAGCTACAAATATTCTAAGCAAAATATTATATGAATGAAGTCACCTATGAAAATACAGTAGATCAATACTAAACGGAATATACACCAAAATGCAAGGTCCTTAACATTCAAAATGAATCGTGTAAGTCATCCCATTAGCAGAAAAATACAGGAGAAAATAGTAAGATCATTTAGCTGAAAAGTTTTTTAAAGCATTTAATAAACTTTAAAACTGAACCGCAAACACAAAAAAAACTTGAGTAAAATATAAAAAGAGGACTGGCCAGGCGCGATGGCTCACACCTGTAATCCCAGCACTTTGGGAGGCCGAGGAAGGCAGGTCACCTGAGGTCGGGAGTTCGAGACCAGCCTGACCAACATGGAGAAACCCCATCTCTACTAAAAATACAAAATTAGCCGAGCGTGGTGGCACATGCCTGTAATCCCAGCTACTCGGGGGGCTGAGGCAGGAGAATCGCTTGAACCCGGGAGGCGGAGGTTGCGGTGAGCCAAGGTCGTGCCATTGCACTCCAGCCTGGATAACAAGAGCGAAACTCTGTCTCAAAAAAATTAAAAATAATAAAAAAAAGAAGGCAACTTCCAGCCGGGCATGGTGGCTCACACTTGTAATCCCAGCACTTTGGGAGGCAGAGGCGGGGGGATCACCTGAGGTCAGGAATTCAAGACCAGCCTGGCCAACATGGTGAAACCCCGTCTCTACTAAAAATACAAAAATTAGCCAGGCATGGTGGTGGGTGCCTGTAATCCCAGTTACTCAGGAAGCTGAGGCAGGAGAATCACTTGAACCTGGGAGGTGGAGGTTGCAGTGAGCTGAGATCGAGCCATTGCACTCCAGCCTGGGTGACAAGAGTGAGACTCCTTCCCAAAAAAAAAAAAAAGTTGGTTTATAAATATTAATATACTTAATAAACCACTAGTGAAACTAATTAAGGCAAAGAGAAAAGACACAAAAGATCACTATCAGGAACCAAAACAGAAGCCTGCTCTATAGAGTAGTGTATTATTAAGACACTAGGAGGGTTCTGTGAAATACTTAGGACTAGAAGTTTGACAACAGAGATTCAAATAACATTACATTGAAAAATAAACTTCCTAGGCCGAACATGGTGGCTCACGACTGTAATCCCAGCACTTTGGGAGGGTGAGGTGGGTGGATCACCTGAGGCCAGGAGTTTGAGACCAGCCTGGCCAACATGCCGAAACCCCATCTCTACTAAAAAATACAGGCGGGCACGGTGGCTCACACCTGTAATCCCAGCACTTTGGGAGGCTGAGGCAGGTGGATCACGAGGTCAGGAGTTCGAGATCAGCCTGGCCAACATAGTGAAACCCCATGTGTACTAGAAACACAAAAATTAGGCTGAGGCTGGAGAAATCCGGGAGGCGGAAGTTGCAGTGAGCCGAGATCGTGCCACTGCACTCTAGCCTGGGAGAGCGAGATTCTGTCCCCCCAAAAATAAAAATAAAAATAAAAATAAACTTAGTAAAATGGGCACAGAAATAACATAAAACAAGAAAACTCCTACATATACCAAAGGATTTGAATTATTAGAAGTCAAACCAGCCAACAAAAATACTGTTCCACATGGAAAATTCCATACCTAGTCTAAAGACATATTCCAAATATTTAAGGAAGAAAACACCTAAATTTCTCAGACTCTTCTAAAGAGAAGAAATACAGGAAATATTTTTCAGTTTGTTTTGTGAAGCCAGCATTACGTTGGCACCACAATCTGAACAGGACATTAGAAAAAAAATTATACGCCCTCTCTTTCATTAACAGAAATACAAATATTCTAAAAAAAAAAACATATGAATTAAACCACATATGAAAATGTAACACATGGATACCAAGTGGGATATACTAAAAAAGTCAGGATTGGTTAACATCCAAAAATAGCTCATGTAAAATATCCTATTTGCAGAAAAATAGAAAAGCATATGATTTACAGTATATGTAAATATACTGTACAGCAAGAAAGAAATGTTAAATAAAATTAAGGTACAATGACCAGACTAAGAAACAACTATCTGCACTAGAAATGACCCCGTAAAGGATTAATTTATAGAATACCTTTTTAAATTCTTCAAATCAACGTAAGAACACAAATGACCCAACAGAAAAGCCAGCACTGAAAATGAAGACAAAGACGCAAAGGCCAATAAATATTCACAAAACTTCGCTTCACTAACTTATTTCCAGTTCCAGATGACAGAAGGCCCTCAGGGACCCAGAAGGCAGGACCACAGGGAGGTGACAGCGCCAGCAGCAGGAGGGCAGGCCTCTGCCTTGTCCCAAGCGGGGCCACAGCTCCTGGCGGGCTGCGGGGGCCGGGAAGCCAGAGCAGCCTGGCGCTCCTGGCCCCTGCACACGCTTCCCTCCCTCCACCCCGTTCCTCTCTCTCTCTCTGTGCCTTGGGCCCCGTGGGATGCGCTCACATCCAGACTCACCAGGCCCGAGACATTGGGAGAATGGAGAAGTGCTTGCGAGCCGAAAGTCCTCCAGGAACACGTGAAGGACGCTTCCTCTGCACCTGGGACACCCTTCCCTGATGTTGGCCTCAAGGCAGGCGCGCCGCACACGCTTCCGGTCCATGACGACCACAGCGCAGAGAAGCACGCGAGCCCAACCTCCACGAAAAGAAAATGGCAGAATGGGCCTTCGCCTCCCTTTTACAGTGGCTGTACGCAACTGCTGTACTTGTAAGCTTGGTTCTGATTGGGTGAGAAGGAACTTTTTTTGACAACTCTTATTGGATAATAGTCTCCATCTCTGACTGGATAATCTTCACTAATCGGAGTTGGAGACTTATCCAATCTGTGTTGTAGTACAGAGTCTGCTCTCATCCTATCAGAAAGAGGCTTCCAGGATATGTCATTTGAATACAGTCATTGTGAAAGGGAGGCAAAGATCTGCACCTGCCATGGCGGTTGGGCTCACGTGCTCCTCTGCATTGGAGTTAGCCAAGGAGCGTGTGCAGAACACTTGCCTCGTAGGCCAGCCGTAAGGAAGGATGTCCCAGGTGCAGGCGAGGTTTTGTTCATGTGTTCCTGGAGGATTTTTCCGGTGGCAAGTGCTTCTCCATCCTCCAGCATCTCAGGCCTGGTGAGTCTGGATGTGACCGCTTCCTATGGGGCCCCCAGGCACAGAAAGATGCAAAGGAGGGTGGATGGAAGGGGAACGTGGGCAGGGCCCAGAGAGCATCAGGTTGACTGTTTCACCAGGCACCCCTGCTCCGGTGCAAGGCAGAAGCCGGCCAGACGCCCACCCAGCGCCCCTCCTGGGCTCTGGCCCTGGCACCTAGACCCATCCCGCCATTCTCCGCAGCTCCACTGCCCGCAGGCAGGAGCTGCCGGCGTGGAATCTGCGGGCTGCAGTGAGCAGTGGAGGCAGTAGCCGCTGCTCCCTGGATTCCCGGGATGTTTTTCTTTGGCTTTTTTCTTTTTCTATTTTATTTTAGATTCAGAAGGTACACGTGCTTGTTTGTTATATGTATATCACATGCACAATGGGGGGGGGTGTGCTTCTAGCATACCCATCACCCAAATATTGGAGGTTGTACCCAGTAGGTACGTTTTCAACTCTTCCCCCCAACTTTTTGAGTCCCCATAGTGTATTCTCTCCATCTTCATGAGAACATGCAGTATTTGGCTGTTTCTGCATTCACGTAGGATAATGACCTTCAGCTGCATCTGTGTTGCTGCAAAGGACATGATTTTGTTCTTTTTTATGACTGCCTAGTACTTTGTGGTGTATATGCACCACATTTTCTTTATTTAATGAACCGTTGGTGGATACTTACCTTGGTTCCATGACCTTGCTGTTGTAAGTTATGCTGCGATAAACATGGGAGTGCAGTGCCTTTTTATATAATGATTTCTTTCCCTTTGGGTAGATACCCAGTAGTGGGATTGCTGGGTCGAAAGGTAGTTGTACTTTTAGTTCTTTGAGATACCTCCCTACTTTTTCCATAGAAGTTGAACTAATTGACATACCCACCAACAATGTATGAGCATTCCCATGTCTGGAAGAGTTTTCCCAGGTTTTCTCCCAGGATCTTTATAGTTTTAGGTCTTACATTTAGGCCTTTAATCCATCTTGAGTTAATTTTTGTACAGGTGAGTGAGAGGGGTCCAGTTTCATTCTTAGCATATGGTCAGCCACTATTCCCAGAACCACTTAGTGAATAGGGTGTCCTTTCCACGTTAAGTGTTTTGAAGAGCCATTGGCTGATTTTTTTCCTAGCATTATTTCTTGAGCAAAATCCTTCAGTAGAATGTTGATGAAAGTGGTCAAAGTGATTATTTATGTATTGTTTCCAATCTTATGGAGTAAACATTCTTTACCCACTAACTTAGTTGAGGATGTTTATCGTAGGTTTTCTTAGATGCACTTGACCAGATTGTGGAAGTACTCTTCAATTTCTAGTTTGGTTAGGGTTTTAATCATATGATGGATTTAGCCAAATGCTTTTTTTTCCTGTGTCAATCAGATTATCACATCCAAGTCTGGTGGTCAAACCTGTAGACGTGTATAGTCTTATTACACACTGGATAATGGGTCATTCTTATCTCTGCTTTGCCCATGCAGTGCACCAGCCTTCCTGTGCCCGTTGATGGACTGAGAGGAAGATGAGCCCTTAGGATGCCTGCCATGCTCAGTGTTAAGGTAGGACTCATCCTTCTCCCTTGAGCACCAGTGTTTCTCCTGCCCATTTCTCAGTGACCATTTCCTATCATTGGCCTGGACATTCTGGCACTTCAGTTCCCCAACTGAGGGTCTCACCCCACCAAGTTCTTTGCACGGAAGTAGGTCATGCCTACTGGGAACTTTTACAGCTCCCCAGACTCCTCCAGGTGGTCAGTACTTCATAATATCACCCAAGCAAGGCACAGAGGGGATCTGCCCAGTTAATAGAGCTTGTGTTCTGAAACCCACCATCTCACCTTTTAACTCACCAATGGCCCTTTCTCAAGGCCAGGGAAAGGAATGAAGGCTCATTGCTAAAAACCGCAACCTCAACAAGGCTGTACTTCCTTTTAGAGTCCCCTTACCCAGCATTGTCATTGTCTTTGAAGAAGTTCAGAATGCTTCTCCCTCTTGGTTTTGTTACTGACCTGGCAAACATGTTATATTGTGTCTATTTGTGAAGAAGATCAGGTGCAGTTCACCTTCAGATTTGAAGGCTGACAGTACACCGTTAGGAGGCATCTGATGGACTACCTCAACAATCCTCTGCTGGCTCAAGGTTGCATTGACTAGATCTAGCTACCCTCTGACTGCCACCTGATGTCCACTTGTGGCACTATGTGGATAATGTCCTTCTGCCTGATAACAAAGAGGGAGAGGTTCAATGGGCCCTCATATTGACAACTAACCACACAACTCAATGGGAATGAGCCATTGTCCCACATGATACAACAGCCTGCCATTTCCATCAAATTGTGGGGCTATATTTACTTATTTTTTTGGATGTAAAATGTTAGTTTTACAGGAAGAATGGAATTTAAAATGGCATTCTTTAAATGTGGAGTATCCAAGTTCAACAGTCTGTACTCATTGATTTCTTCCAAAAACAGAAAAATTTAAGGGGCAGGCCTGAACAAGTCACTAATTACTTAAAGCTATATGGTTTGCAAATGTTTTGCTCTTATTTCAGTACAGTTTCATATAATGAGATGGGATTTTTCCAAAACTGATACACTATAAATCTCAGTGGACATGCTAGTATCCTTTCAATAAATTTGCATTTCAATAATATGGACAATATCCATGTATTATATACAGAAGGCTAAGAAACAGAAGAAATTGCCAGACTATATTATTCAAAACATCAAGAAACTGATGTCTGACTAATGTATTCAATCCTTGTTCTGGAGATCAACATTGTGAATGCATGAATTTCTAAGGGAAAATTTTAAAATTATAATTTACTCATAAATTTTGATGTTGAGAAAATTAGTTTTTGGAATACATCTTTGATTTTTGTCACATAATAGAAGAAAAATTTCCAGTGTACTAAACAGCATATGACATTATTTATGGCAAAACAAAATGATTCTAATTGATGTTTCCTTTAAAAAATCTAAAGAGTACTCATCCCTTGACCTTTCTGAATTCCCAAATATACTCCCTTAAATTAATAAAATTGAAAATGTAATTGTATCAGGAAAGAACTATTGTATTCTTATATTCTTTTCAACACTGTTAAGCTATTGTTACTTTTTTTAAATTTTAGTAGGTTTTTGGGGAACAGGTGGTGTTTGGTTACATGAATAAGTTCTTTAGTGGTGATTTCTGAGATTTTGGTGCACCCATCACCCGAAGAGTCTATACTGTATTCAATGTGTGGTAGTCTTTTATCCCTCACCCTGCTCCCACCCTTTCCCCATCGAGTCCAGATTGTGAGGCTATATTTAGAGTAAGGCAGGCAGACAAAATCTACAACCAGTCGGCCTCAGGCTCTTCACCCTCCTCAGGCCACATTGAGTTTAACCCTTAGGCCACCCTTATCACTGTTTCTACAGCCTGTGCCTCCTAGAGACACTTGGCATCTCAGTTGTGCTTTGCAGCCATTAGAGATGGATAGGACCCAAAATGGTTGATTGAGCCACCTCCAAGATCAAGTTTTTGTGCCTATGACATCACCTCCAACACACACAGTGTGTTTAGACCTTACTGCTTAGTTCTGAGTCCTCTTGGTCCTGTCCCATTCTAGCCTGCCATTGCTCACAATGCAGCAACTCCAAGCCTACTACCACCCAGACCTTTCAACTCCTTTTACATCCCCTTGGAACCATTTTTCCAAGCCTCAGTGTGCCGTGGCTTTTGCTGTCCCAGGTTTCCCAAAGTCCCTCACATAATTGTGTCTTCTGCAGGCCTATTCACCAATTACTCGGCACTCAGGTCATGGACAGTTTTCATCACAGGGTCATTTCAGACACCACCCAGTAGCCGGCCTTTTAGCTCACCAGTCATGCCTTTGCTGACATCCTGCCACCTTACGGTCAGACCCTGGTTATGACTCATTCGCTGCTCTTCCCTCACCATTGGTGAGTCTGCCTCAAGTCTGCAGCTGCACCTCACTCGCAGTATCTCCTCTAATAGGTCAGCCGCCAATGGACCTACTATGCCCTCTCTGCTGATGGTGCAGTTCAGTTCCCAGCAACCGTTTCAAGGATGCCACTGATTTCTGTCTTACCATCACAATATGCCCCCCTATGAGAGACCTTCACACTCTTTCTAATTTTAATTTATCTTGTGTTGTCTTCTTTGACCCATACTTTACTTACAAGCATATGTTTCAAATCTCCATGTATCTTGGGATTTTCCAGATCTTTCTGTTAACTGATTTCTAGTTTGATTCCATTGGGTATGAAAACATAGAACATATGTAATGTGATTTCTAATTTTTTTGCATTGTTCAATGTATATTTTATGGCATAGAATGTGGTGTATCCTGGTAAACCTTCCCTTATTCTGTTGCTGGGTGGAAGTATTCTATAGACATCTATTATATTCAGTTGATTAATCATGCTGGGGGAGTTCAACTAGGACAGTCCTGATTTTTCTGTCTGCCATGTCTGTCTATTACTGATAGAGGGTATTAAAATCTTCAACTAAAATACTGGATGTATCTAGTTCTCTTTGCAGTTCTATCAGTTTTTGCCTTGTGTTTTGATGCTCTGTCATTGGGCATATACATTGAGGCATATATATGTACATTGATATCACTGATTGAAAAATTGACCCTTTTAAAATTAACAAATGTTCCTGTTTATCCCTGATGAATTTCCTTGTTCTAAAGCCCCCTCTGTCTCAAAACAAGCTTCTTTAAAATTAGTCTTAGTATAGTATACGTTTCCGTATACCTTTACTTTTAAACTATATGTGTATTTATATTTAAAGAGTGTTTCTTGAAGATGACATACAGTTGCATTTTGTTTTTTGATTCACTCTACATCTGTCTTTTAATAGATGAATTTAGACCATTGATTAGTTATTGGCATAACTAGATTAATATCAACCATATTTGTTAACTGTTTTCTATTCATTGCACCTGTTCTTTGTTTCTATTTTTCCTTCTATTATTTATCTGCCTTTTACAAAATGAGTTTATGGAAGAATGATTGACTTACAAAAAGCAGTAAATATTTAATATGTAAGTTGGATAGTTTTGGATAGTTACAGTCTATTCTGTAAACATATCCAATAACTCCAAAATTTTCCCCAGTGCTCTTATTTATATTTTATGTGATAAAAACACAACACAAAATACACCTCTAGGCAAGTTTTGTTTTGTCTTGTTTTGTTTTGTGTTGTTTTTTTTTTTAGACAGAGTCTTGCTCTGTTGCCAGGCTAGAGTGCAGTGGTGCGCACTTGGCTCACTGCAACCTCCGCCTCCTGGGTTCAAATGATTTTCCTGCCTCTGCCTCCTGAGTAGCTGGGACTACAGGCATGTGCCACCACACCCAGCTAATTTTTTGTATCTTTAGTAGAGACGGAGTTTCACCATGTCGGCTAGGATGGCCTCAATCTCTTGACCTCATGTTCTGCCTGCCTCAGCCTCCCAAAGTGCTGGGATTACAGGCATGAGCCACCGCACCCAGCCCCAAGTTTTTTAAGTATAAAGTACTGTAAAATTTACTGTAGGACCTATGTTGTATAATAGATCTCTAGGACTTATTCTTCTTGCACGGATAAAATTTTGCACCATTTTTTCATTTTCTTTTTACAGCTTTATTGAGATATAGTTGACAAACCTTATGTGTATTTAAAGTATACAACTTCATTTCTGCTTTATTTATTTTTCCTCTAATCTTTTTATTTATTTCCTTCTACTAAGTCTAAGGTGAGTGTTGTTGACAACATATCGTTGGATCTTGGTTTTCTATCCTTTTGGACAATCTGTATCTTTGGATTGATGCATTTGATCTATTTGCATGTAAAGTGATTATACTTAAGACTTACTATTGCCACTTGGTTAATGATGTTCTGTTCAGCAATTGTTTTTTTTGTTCCTCACTTTCTGCTTTCTATCTTCCTTTGTGATTTGATTTTTTGTTTTTAGTGATTATATAGATTAATTTCTCTTTCTTTTATGTATCTAGTGAAAGTTTTTCTTTTTTTCTCTTTTTTTTTTCTTTTTTCTTTGAGACAGAGTCTTGCTCTGTCACCCAGGCTGGAGTGCAGTGGTACAATCTCGGCTCACTGCAACATCTGCCTCCTGGGTTCAAGCAATTCTCTGCCTCAGCCTCCTGAGTAGCTGGGATTACAGGTGCCCACCACCACGCCCAGTTAATTTTTGTATTTTTAGTAGAGACAAGGTTTCACCATCTTGGCCAGGCTGGTCTTGAACTCCTGACCTCGTGGTCCACCTGCCTCAGCCTCCCAACGTGCTGGGATTACAGGCATGAGCCACTGTGCCCAGCCGAAAGTTTTTCTTTATGGTTACCATGAGGCTTGCATAAAAGTTCTTATACTTCATAGTCATCAGTTTTCAGTGGACAACCACTTAACTTTAATCACATAGAAACACTCTATACTTGGTCAGATGTGGTGGCTCATGCCTGTAATCCCAGCACTTTGGGAGGCTGAGGCGGGTGGATCACCTGAGGTCGGGAGTTTGAGACCAGCCTGACCAACATAGTGAAACCACGTCTCTACTAAAAATGCAAAAATTATCTGGGTGTGGTGGCACACGCCTGTAACCCCAGCTACTTGGGAGGCTGAGGCAGGAGAATTGCTTAAACCTGGGAGGCAGAGGTTGCGGTGAGCTGAGATCAAGCCATTGCACTCCAGCCTGGGCAATAATAGCGTAATTCTGTCTCAAAAAAAAAAACATATATATATATATATATATATATATATATATATATATATATATACACACACACATGTATATATATATGTGTGTGTGTGTGTGTGTGTGTGTGTGTGTGTATATATGTATATCTATTTACATGCAAGAATAGCCAAGGCAATTCGTAAATGGAGTAGTAATAAGAATTTTTCATTCCCTTAGTTAAGAAAATACATTATATGTTTCTAAGTCAACGCCTAATAATTTATGTGACCATGAGTAAGTTACTTCACATCCTGAGCCTCCTTTTCTTGGATTACAAAATGAGGAGTGGAGGAGTGATCCAGGGTCACCTGTAGGTTCAACCATATGAAGTCACCTGTACTCAACCGACTTGATTTACACCACAGAAATTTCATGTGGTTCAACTTAGTAGGTGATCACTAATTCCAAAATGAATGTCAATGTAGCTTAACATTCATTATCAGTAGCTATATTCACTTTTTAAAATGTTGTAAAATTTTCCTCATGCTAATATTGCATGAGAATACAAATTTAGCAAAAGAGTCATGCTATAATATCTTGAAGGAAGGAAATCCAGGAGGCTTGCATAGTGGCCAACTTAGCTAAGTTTAAATATTATGGAAGAGCTAAATTTTGAAAAAGATTCAAGAGTCAGGGAACTTGCCCAGGAGTAGCTTTGAGCATAAAAAAAGAAAAATAGGCAATAAAAATACCAAACAAAGCCTCACCCACCCCAGCCACAGATGCAGAGTCAGCCACCTGAGTAGCTGGGATTACAGGCACCCGTCACCATGCCCAGCTAATTTTTGCATTTTTAGTAGAGATGGGGTTTTGCCATGTTGGCCAGGCTGGTCTCAAACTCCTGACCTCAGGCAATCCACCCGCCTTGGCCTCCTGAAGTGCTGGGATTATAGGCGTGAGCCACCGTGCCCAGCCAGAGTCCCCTACCACTTAAAGGTGTCCACCCTCTGTTCACACAGCAGATGAATGGTGGTCCAAGGTTGGAACCTACTCCATCTGGCCACAGTCTACATTATCACCTGCCTGCTGCCTTGCCCTCCTGCTTTCTTCCATTTGCTAGCTCCTGAAATGGGACCCTGTCCTAACCTGACACCCAGGCATTCAGGGGACCCTGTCCAAACCTGACACCCAAGCATTCAAGTCACTGTGAACTAGAGAGCAGAGGTGAGGCCATATTTCCAAAGAGCCACTGGTAAGTTACATGCATAGGTTAAGAGGGGTGTCCTGTGATTGTCACTGACCTTTGTCCACCAGCACATAAGTTCAGAGCTCCAGCCATGTTCACTGGGCCTCCATGCAAAGAGCCTGGACTCGAGGAGCAAGGGTGGGGCAGAGGAGATGCCCTGTCCAGCAAGACTTCCCTGGAGCTCTGCTAGAAATGTCATCCTTCAGGTTCTGCCGGCCAAAGGCCAAGGATCAAACCAAGGCCCAGTCTGCAGCTCCAGCTTCAGTTCTAGCTCAGGCTTCCAAAGGTGTCCAGGCCCCCACGAAGCCTTCAGAGTAGAGGTCTCTGTCAATCTGAGAACAGAAGGACTGGTGTGACCCCTGGGCTGCTATATGCGTGGGGGTGGTGTCCTCCTGTGCTATTTGTACAAATAAACCTGAGGCAGGATTTAAAAAAAAAAGAAAAACCATCCTACAGAACCTCTGACTGCTGGAATCCCTGGGCAATGCCCAAGCAGGTATCACAAAGGCATTTGGAATGAGAGAGAAGAAATCAGCCTTCTTTCCTAAATGTTGCCTACAGCGTGCCATGCTGATCTACATCTCACCAAAGAATTCCTTTCCAGTAAGATTTTTCTTTAAAGCTTTGAGTCAGAGGATAATCTTCAAGGACTTGTCTAGCAACAATAACAACCACTGTGCATCCTAAAGCTGTAGAGAAACTCAATGTGTGTGTATTCCAAGGTTTAACTTTAGGAAGTAGCTGAGCTGGCATAGACCTGATTCCTTCAGTGTTGAGGCACCTGTGGCATCTTTAGCAGGTTGGTTGTTCAAGATAACCTGGAGATTACTGTGAGCTTCTTTGAGTAATTGGTAAGTATACTTATTTTAAGGGACACATGACGCTTGGAGGCTCTGATGACCAGGCCAGGATGTTCTCCAGAGGTGACGAGAAGTGTTCTGATAAGAAAACACATCGGTTTCTAAAGCAGCCCTCAGTCCGTAGGAGAAGCATGTGCCCCAGCCTGTGATCCTGACAGAAACTAGATGGCCATGAGGAGCGGCCTTGAACACATGTTCTTGTCACGGCTTCATCCAGCACCTTCTGTTGACCCACTAGGCCTTGGCTCATCCTGGGTCCCTCTGTCGTTAGCTCTGCAGATCCCCTAAGCTCCTCCCTCCCCAGCCTCTCTTCCCTCTGGGCCCATTTTCAGAGGCCCACATTGACCACTTTCCGTGAGACTTTTCCTGAGGGTCATCTTTTTGTGACCCTAATCCAGGGCTGAGCGATGCCCGCTATATGACTCACCAAATGACCAGTTTCTACTGGGTTGTGTCCTCACAGCCCCGCATTCCTGACGAGCACCTGGCCGAGGCTGCTGGCAAATGCCAGGCACCAGTCATTAGGAGCCTTGGGGCCACCCCAGGGCAGCCTCCCAAGCCCACCCCTTCCTAGGAGAGACTCTTGAGCAGGGAGGCAGGGCTCCCTCTGAGGAAGGAGGACACGCTCATACTCTGGCCTCAGGCTAGGGAAGGACACAGGTTCTGAGACGCAGGAAGCCTCTGCAGCAGAGTCATTGTCACTGCAAAATCACCACCACTTTGATTTAATCATAGCTGTTTAGAAAAGGAGAAACAAAAAAAGGACAAAACCTGAATGTACACCAAGAGATAAATGTGCTACTGTACCACCTCCAAATAATTGGTTAAATTCCAAATGACATGGTCTCTATATTAACGTATTCTTGATTGTGAATTACCTTCCAATTAGATCTGTATGTAAAATGGAGCTGTAAAGATTCCCACTCTTGGCCGAGCGCAGTGGCTTCTGCCTGTAATCCCAGCACTTTGAGAGGCTGAGGTGGGTGGATCACGAGGTCAAGAGATTGAGACCATCCTGGCCAAGATGGTGAAACCCCGTCTCTACTAAAAGTACAAAAATTAGCCAGGCATGGTAGTATGCACCTGTAGTCCCAGCTATTCGGGAGGCTGAGGCAGGAGAATCATTTGAACCCGGGAGGCGGAGGTTGCAGTGAGCCGAGATCACACCATTGCACTCCAGCCTGGCCACAGAGCGAGACTCTGTCTCGAAAAAAAAAGATTCCCACTCTAGGAGTGGCATACATCTACAGATTTCCAAAGCAAGTCTCCCTGCCCTGACTCCTGCAAGCCTCTCCTCCTGTCCCAGGCCCCAGGCCCCAGGCCCCCACCAGGTCCTCTTCACACAGAACAAGTTGCTATTGTCTCTCCCTCCTTAAAAAACTCCCTTAACCCCACGTTGCCTGGAGCCAGTCTCTGCTCCATATTTTGATATTCAAGGCCCCTTACAATGTGGCCCAGCCCACCTCCCAAGACTCAGCTCTCTGCAGCTCTCTGTAGTTTCCTAAAATACAAGTTCCATCCTGTTGCACTGCCCTGTAAGCTCACAGTGTCCTTCCGTGCCTCTGTGCCCTGCATGGAGGTTTGTTCTGCCCGAAATGCCCCATCCCCTCGGGGCAACTGTTTAAATCTCTGATCGCTAATGTGGCACATCTGCAGTCTTGCCCTCTGTGGAGCAGTGCCTGACCTCACAGTAAACTCCTCCACTTTGTCCTCCCTGTTCTGATGGTGTTTCTGTGTGGACCCAGGTGCAGCCCAGGCTCTGCACTGTGCTTGTTCTCATGCCTGCAGTTGGCACCAGATATTCTGCAGACTCATTGATTCCTTTCTCTTTTATCTCCCAGGGTTTTCAAAAGAAATGCAGGCAGCATGGTGCACTACAGACTCCAGCCTCCCTTTGAAGCCAGGTTCCAGAGCTTCCTCCCTTTGGCCTGGAACCTCAACAGCAGGATTGGGATGAGGATGGAAGTGTACAGATATGCATATAGTATTGCTTATCCCCAGCTGAAATCAATGTTGGCATGACATGTTGCAAAACCAAACTGACATTGAACATGACTTTTTTCAGCCCTTTAAATAGCTGTTCATGTAGAACTTAGTTTTTTATGGAAGACCTTGATAATCCTGTCTTTAGTTACTTTAGAAGTTAACTTCCTGGGTGGACTTGAATTGAGTCTTATTCATCTTTAAATTTCCAGGGTTTAGCAAAGTACCTGCTTCAGAGTAGGTGTTAATAAAGCTAATGCCCTTCAAATCAACAAGAGGATTTCCTGTGAGGGGTGGTCCTGTTTTCTGACACTCAGATGGCTCTGAGTGTGGCATCTCAGAAAAAAGAAAGAAAGAAAAAAAAAAAGATTGGGCTGGGCGCGGTGGCTCACGCCTGTAATCCCAGCACTTTGGGAGGCTGAGGCAGGTGGATCACAAGGTCAGGAGATCGAGACCATCCTGGCTAACACAGTGAAACCCTGTCTCTACTAAAAATAAAAAAAATTTATCCTGGCATTGTGGCGTACGCTTGTAGTTCCAGCTACTTGGGAGGCTGAGGCAGGAGAATGGTGTGAACCTGGGAGACGGAGCTTGCAGTGAGCCGAGATCACACCACTGCACTCCAGCCTGGGCAACAGAGTGAGACTCCATCTCAAAAAAAAAAAAAAAAAGCCGGGCACGGTAGCTCACGCCTGTAATCCCAGCACTTTGGGAGGCCGAGGAGGGCGGATCACGAGGTCAGGAGATCAAGACCATCCTGGCTAACGCGGTGAAACCCCGTCTCTACTAAAAATACAAAAAATTAGCCAGGCATGGTGGCGGGTGCCTGTAGTCCTAGCTACTTGGGAGGCTGAGGCAGGAGAATGGTGTGAACCCAGGAGGCGGAGCTTGCAGTGAGCCAAGATCGTGCCACTGCACTCCAGCCTGGGTGACACAGTGAGACTCCATCTCAAAAAAAAAAAAAAATTGGCTGCTTCAGTGGAAAAAAATAGGTTTTATTTAACAGCATCAATACATGTTAATATTTATAAACCTGTTATTCTGTAAAAATAAAGAATATGTATTTTGAAATGTTTAGGGAGCATATGGAGAAAAAAGAGGCTACATATAGAACCTCCTTCTATTCAGTACTGGGCCTGCTCTGAGTAGATTTGAGTTTAGAAAATGCATTAACGGGAAGATAACAACATGGGAGGAAAGTGGAAGTAGTCACCTTCCCTGATGAAGGAAAACCTGGAAATACTGATGTTTAGTCATATGAGAGAATGCTGCTCCTTGTTATCTACTCCCAGTGTGGAAAACACAGAAAATAGTCAAGCTAATTAGAAAAAGCAGTAGCTCAGGTCGGGCGTGGTGGCTAATGCCTGTAATCCCAGCATTTTGGGAGGCCAAGGCGAGTGTATTACTTGAGGTTAGGAGTTCAAGACCAGCCTGGCCAACATGGTGAAACTTCATCTCTACTAAAAATAAAAAGCTGGGCGTGGTGGTGCGCACTTGTAATCCCAGCTCCTCAGGAAGCTGAGGTAGGAGAATTGCTTGAACTTAGGAGGTGGAGGTTACAGTAAGCCGAGATTGTGTGCCACTGCACTCCAGCCTGGGCGACAGAGCGAGACTCCGCCAAAAAAAAAAAAAAGGAAATAAAAGAAAGGGAGATATAATAGGAAAGAAAGACAGAGAGAGAGAAGGAAGGAAGGAGGGAGGGAGGGAAGGAAGGAAGGAAGGAAGGAAGGAAGGAAGGAAAAGAAGCGAAGGGAAGCAAAGCAAAGAAAAGAAAAGAGAAAAGAACACTAGCTCAATTCGGTTCAATATCTGCTCATGGAACTTTTCCCCTGTGCAGGGCACCGTGCTGAGCAAGATGTGCGAAGCACGGTCCTGTGTCCAGGTGCTGAAGAGCTGGTGCAGGTGAGGGAAGATGTGGATTTATTTGTAGCCAAATTGGAGAATGAGATTCTCATTCTCAGTTTATTCAAACATATGAATAGAGGATATATTTTGATCTAAGAATAAATGGGATACATTTCTCTAAACTTTAATAGCCTTAAGCTTTTTATTTGATGTTAAGTAGGAAAGTATTATTAGTAATCCTAGAATCATATGAAACACAGCATCCTCTCATACTTTTCGATATGAGATCCTATTTTAATACTATTTTATTTTTTCTAATTCCTGTTAAAGTTATTATGCAATTAGTCACTGATTTATTTTTAATCACTTCCCAAATTAAACTTGCTAGCAAACTATTCATCTAAAAGAGTGTAACTAAGAATTTGTTGAAAGAAAATGTTGAGACACATGAATACACATTTAATAAGGTACAGCAGAACCAGCATAGTTGGATTACATAGCAATAACTAAATTAGGTTAAAGATATGTAACTTTCATGCATTTAAAATGCTATTTTTTTTTTTTTTTGAGACGGAGTCTCGCTCTGTCTCCCAGGCTGGAGTGCAGTGGTGCAATCTCGGCTCACTGCAAGCTCTGCATCCCGAGTTCATGCCATTCTCCTGCCTCGGCCTCCCAAGTAGCTGGGACTACAGGCGCCCGCCACCACGCCCGGCTAATTTTTGTATTTTTAGTACAGACGGGGTTTCACAGTGTTAGCCAGGATGGTCTCGATCTCCTGACCACGTGATCTGCCTGCCTCGGCCTCCCAAAGTGCTGGGATTACAGGCGTGAGCCACCGCGCCCAGCCTTAAAATGCTATTTTTTTTTTTTTTTTTTTGAGACAGAGTCTCGCTCTGTCACCCAGGCTGGAGTGCTGTGGCGCAATCTCGGCTCACTGCAGGCTCCGCCCCCCGGGTTCATGCCGTTCTCCTGCCTCAGCCTCCCGAGTAGCTGGGACTACCGGCACCTGCCACCTCGCCGGGCTAATTTTTTGTATTTTTAGTAGAGACGAGGTTTCACCATGTTAGCCAGGGGTCTTGATCTCCTGACTCGTGATCCACCCGCCTTGGCTTCCCAAAGTGCTGAGATTACAGGCGTGAGCCACCGCGCCCGGTTTAAAATGCTATTTTTAAATACCAGACATTGTTACCAGACTTTGTGCTTTTTTTTTTTCAATTACACTTTAAGTTCTAGGATACATGTGCAGAATGTGCAGGTTTGTTACATAGGTATATACATGCCATGGTGGTTTCCTGCACCCATCAACCCCTCATCTACATTAGGTATTTCTCCTAATGCTATCCCTCTCCTAGCCCCCCACTGTCAGGCCCCAGTGTGTGATGTTCCCCTCCCTGTGTCCATGTGTTCTCATTGTTCAACTCCCACCTATGAGTGAGAACATGCAGTGTTTGGTTTTCTGTTCCTGTGTTAGTTTGCTGAGAATGATGGTTTCCAGCTTCATCCATGTCCCTGCAAAGGACATGAACTCATCCTTTTTTATGGCTGCATAGTATTCCATGGTGTGTATGTGCCACATTTTCTTTATCCAGTCTATCATTGATTGTTACCAGACTTTGAAGCCTGAAATGACCTATGATGACTGAAAGACCTCAGAGTTGGACAATAGGACCAGTGACTAAGAACACAAAGGCATCTCTAACAAGTAACATTGTTGTCTCACAAGCACTTAAAATGTAACAAGTCCCAACTTGCTTTCTTCACCTGGCTCACACACCCCTAAGCCTACTCTTCCTTCCCTATTCCTTGTCTCTGTTAGTGGTTCTGTCATTCACCAGGAACTTACACTAGAGACTTGGGAGTCATCCTTGACACATCCAGTAAATAGCAAATTCTGAATACTTTATCTCCAAATTATACTCAACTGCATTTCCTTCTCTCTAGCTCTACTCACCCACTTAATGCAAAGCTGCACTCACCTCGCTTTCTGCAATTGCTTTCTTACTGTAGGTCTCCCTGTCTCTGAACTCAGTAGTACATTATGTTCTCCACATTGCTGCTAAGTTACCTTTGAAAAATGCAAATTAGATATAATTGGTTGCTTGTTTACAACATTCAGCAGCTTTCCATTGCTTCTAAGATAGCACACACTTCTCAGCAAGGTTCACCATCTCACCTCCTGACAGCCTTCGTTTCACCTCCTGCCTCCTCCCCACCAGGCCTTCTTTCAGTCCACTGAGCCACACTCTCTTCTCACCCTTTGCACGTGGGTTTACCTGCTGAAAATGCTTCTTCCCATTTTTTCCACCTGTATGTTTACATCCCACCATTCAAGTCTCTGCTTAAATATGACTCCTTGGAGATGCATTTCCTGACCTCTAGTCTCAATTTGGATTCTCCCTGTTGAGTTGCTGTTCAGTTGTGTCGGCTAACTTGAGGATTTCTTGAACCATGATTGGGCACTTTCTGATGCATATTTGTAAATGTTATGTGAAAGTAGATTGGTGTGTTAAGATTCCCTTGTTTCTTTTCATTCTTGCCTTCTGGACACTTTCAAGAAAGGCAAGCCTTTTTCTGCCTACTTCTTCCATTCTGAGCTGTAAATTGTCACTGTAGTTTCTAGGATTTTAGGATGTCTCCTGTGAAATACATTCCTTCCTCATAGAAGTAAGAAAGTGTGGAAGCACTGTCCGCTCAGTGAGGGCAGGGCCAGGCCTGTCCTGTTCACTGTTTTCTCCCAGCCTCCAGCACAGTGAGTGATACCCAGAAGGGGCTGCATCAATGTTAATGGAATGAAGCTGTGCTTGTGGAATGATTGGAATTGGGTCAAGCAGAGAGAAGATGGGGAAAATAGGATTTTAATAAAACAAACTATATTATTAATATCCTTGACAAAGCAGAATTTCAAGAAGACTGTCTATGTCAAAACCAATCTTTTATAGTATACACAGGAATATGTGGCCAGGAACAGAAATATTGATCTATTCTTTATATAATATATATTCCAATGAAAGCCATCAGTGGAGTGTACTGAATTACACAATATGGAGGTCCAAAAGAATAATTTATTATGTGAGGTTCTCAACAAAAGAGGGAATTCAACTTTCAGATCAAAGATGGCAAACTATCTGCCTGTGAGCGGTTCTCACCATGGCCACCTCAAAACAATCAGAGCCAGGCTCAGTAACCACAGCTAGAGGATTCTGCAGTGCATGGGGTGGCAAACACCTTCCACGAAGGGCAGCCAGCAAGTATTTTAGGTATTATCTTTTGTTTTCATGTCTGTTTTTTTAATAACCCTTTACAAATTAGCTCTCAGGGCTGTACAGCAACAGGTTTCAGAATGATGAGAATAATTTCAGATGAGCAGCCTAATACTCCATACGTCTAAAAAAATCATTCCTGAATTTTATCTGTTGTTTTTTAACCCCCCAAATTGAGCTTAAATTCATTGTCGCTTAAGATTTTAGTTAAACTACTAGGGCTATGGCAGGGTACATTTTTGAAGTGGTTTTGTTACATTTATGGTGCTTCCTATCTGTATTCTATTTTGGTCATTCTATAAGCTTAAATCTGTCAACACATTGAATATGCCTTATAAATATAATTTGATGTTGAGGATGTGGTTAATTGTTCTAGGTACAAGTGGTAGAAGCCACATTAGAGAGAAAGTCAAAGCATTAGGATAAAAGGTTTTAAGGCCATTATTTTGTGTCTCAGTTACCCAGCAAAAATTTTACTAGTCCATTTTGCCTGAAGGGAAAGTTTCAGAAAACATAATTTAGGTGCTTTAGAGCAGTGGTTCTCAAAAAATATAGTCACCAGACCAGTGCTTCAGCGATCTGGGTTTAGCAAACACATCAGGACCTCTCATGCAAAGAGGATTAGTGTAACCATTACCCAGCAGTAGTGGCAACAGGGGAGCCAAGGACAGAAACCTTTTGACCAAATTAGCCTTGGCAAACTCATTTGTGGAAAAGAAATTTCTTGTTAGCTACCTGCAAAAAATAAACCTTAATTATAATTCTGGCTTTCAGTGACATACATAGAGATACGCTATACTCCTAAAATGTGAAAATACTTAGATAAGACTTCATTTGAATTTGACAGAGTTATGTTTTTATCAGGCATGTTCATTTAATTATTCAATAAAATAATTTAGTTGACATGATTGTTAGTGTGCAGTGTTTGTGTATTATACACTGGGTATAAATCAAACTAATGAATTTGACAGAGATTGCTGCATAAAATGTGTTACTATGAGTTCTAAACACAAATATTGTACTGTAAATATTTTAATCTGAATGAATTACATGTTCATGTATTCATTAGCCATAACATGTTTTTTGAAATTAAAAAGGCAATATCATATTACTGGCTTGAAAGACCTCAGCTTCATATTTTATTGTTTTTTTTTCTTGCACCTAGATTGATTACACAAGTTTTTTGTTGGTGGTGGTGGTTTTTTTTTTTTTTTTTTTTTTTTTTGAGACAGAGTCTCGCTCTGTCGCCCAGGCTGGAGTGCAGTGGCGCAATCTCGGCTCACTGCAAGCTCCGCTTCCCGGGTTCACGCCATTCTCCTGCCTCAGCCTCCCGAGTAGCTGGGACTACAGGTGCCCGCCACCACGCCCGGCTAATTTTTTGTATTTTTAGTAGAGACGGGGTTTCATCGTGTTAGCCAGGATGGTCTCGATCTTCTGACCTCATGATCCGCCCACCTCGGCCTTCCAAAGTGCTGGGATTACAGGCGTGAGCCACCGCGCCCGGCCTTTTTTTTATTGAGATAGAGTCTCGCTCTGTTGCCAGCCTGGAGTGCACTGGTGTGATCTTGGCTCACCGCAACCTCCAACTCCCTGGTTCAAGCGATTCTCCTGCCTCAGCCTCTCGAGTAGGTGGGATTACAGGCATATGCCACAGACATGAATTTTTCTTTCTTTTTTTTTTTTTTTTTTTTTGAGACAGAGTCTCGCTTTTTCGCCCAGGCCGGACTGCAGTGGCGCTATCTCGGCTCACTGCAAGCTCCGCCTCCCGGGTTCATGTCATTCTCCTGCCTCAGCCTCTCTAGTAGCTGAGACTACAGGCGCCCGCCACTCCATCGGCTAATTTTTTGTATTTTTAGTAGAGACGGAGTTTCACAGTGTTAGCTAGGATGGTCTCGATCTCCGGACCTCGTGATCCGCCCGCCTCGGCCTCCCAAAGTGCTGGGATTACAGGCGTGAGCCACCGTGCCCGGCCTAGACATGTATTTTTAAAGGACAATTATAACTTTTTTTCAGCTTGTGAAATATGAAAAATGGCCGGGCGTGGCCGGGCGCGGTGGCTCACGCCTGTAATCCCAGCACTTTGTGAGGCCGAGGTGGGTGGATCATGAGGTCAGGAGATCACGACCATCCTGGCTAACACGGTGAAACCCAGTCTCTAGAAAAATACCAAAAAAAAAAAAAAAAAATTAGCCGGGCGTGGTGGCAGGCACCTGTACTCCCAGCTACTCGAGAGGCTGAGGCAGGAGAATGGCATGAACCGGGGAAGCAGAGCTTGCAGTGAGCCAAGATTGCCCCACTGCACTCCAACCTGGGCAGCAGAGTGAGACTCCGTCTCAAAAAAAAAAAAAAAAAGAAAGAAAGAAAAGAAAAGAAACGAAAAAAAAAATGGCCAGGCACAGTGGCTCAGACCTGTAATCCCAGCATTTTGGGAGGCTGAGGTGGGCGGATCACGAGGTTAGGAATTCGAGACCAGCCTGGCCAACAAGGTGGAACCCCGTCTCTACTAAAAATACAAAAATTAGCCGGGCGTGGTGGTGCATGCCTATAATCCCAGCTACTCAGGAGGCTGAGGCAGGAGAATCGCTTGGACCTGGGAGGCAGAGGTTGCAGTGAGCTGAGATAGCGTCATTGCACTCCAGCCTAGGCAACACAGCGAGACTCAGCCTCAAAAAAAAAAAAAAAAAAAAAAAAAAAAAGAAGAAAAGAAAAATATGAGCGATTTTTCCCGGATAATATGAATTCCTTTGTGCCTATATTCTGTCTGGAATTGGTTTGGACTGATCTTTTTATATTTATGATAAAATGCAACTTTTTAATATAGGCTAATGCAAGTGACCTTGACATTGAAAAGGTAGACATTATCAGAAAGTTCAGAGAAAAAGGCAGTGACCAGCTGCAGCAGAACTTCCTTCATAGGCTCTTGAGGCACATCACAAGATAGGTGTGCCTTTTCGTGCTGTGGCTCAGCCAAGATGCCGAGAAAAGAAACTTGCTCACTTACTGGAGACCCTGTCATATGAGTTTACAGCAGTATTTAGTGAACTGAGGGTGCCCATGTGGGATTTTTATGGCCAGACAAAAGCAGATTCAAGTGGGTGCTCAAGTGAAAATTGTTAAAAGTCAAACCAATGAGAGCAAAGACACAACATACCAGAATCTCTGGGACACATTTAAAGCAGTGTGTAGGGGGAAATTTATAGCACTAAATGCCCACAAGAGAAAGCAGGAAAGATCTAAAATTGTCACCCTAATGTCACAATTAAAAGAACTAGAGAAGCAAGAGCAAACACATTCAAAAGCTCGCAGAAGGCCAGAAATAACTAAGATCAGAGCAGAACTGAAGGAGATAGAGACACAAAAAACCCTTCGAAATGTCTATGAATCCAGGAGCTGGTTTTTTGAAAAGATCAACAAAATTGATAGACTGCTAACAAGACTAATAAAGAAGAAAAGAGGGAAGAACCAAATAGATGCAATAAAAAATGATAAAGGGGTTATCACCACCAATCCCACAGACATACAAACTACCATCAGAGAATACTATAAACACCTCTATGCAAATAAATTAGAAAATCTAGAAGAAATGGGTAAATTCCTGGACACATACACCCTTCCAAGACTAAACCAGGAAGAAATTGAATCCCTGAATAGACCAATAACAGGCTCTGAAATTGAGGCAATAATTAATAGCCTACCAACCAAAAAAAGTCCAGGACCAGACGGATTCACAGCCGAATTCTACCAGAGGTACAAGGAGGAGCTGGTACCATTCCTTCTGAAACTATTCCAATCAATAGAAAAAGAGGGAATCCTCCCTAACTCATTTTATGAGGCCAGCATCATCCTGATACCAAAGCCTGACAGAGACACAACAAAAAAAGAGAATTTTAGACCAATATCCCTGACGAACATCGACGCAAAAATCCTCACTAAAATACTGGCAAACCGAATCCAGCAGCACATCAAAAAGCTTATCCACCATGATCAAGTGGGCTTCATCCCTGGGATGCAAGGCTGGTTCAACATACGCAAATCAATAAACGTAATCCAGCATATAAACAGAACCAAAGACGAAAACCACATGATTATCTCAATAGATGCAGAAAAGGCCTTTGACAAAATTCAACAGCCCTTCATGCTAAAAACACTCAATAAATTAGGCATTGATGGGATGTATCTCAAAATAATAAGAGCTATTTATGACAAACCCACAGCCAATATCATACCGAATGGGCAAAAACTGGAAGCATTCCCTTTGAAAACTGGCACAAGACAGGGATGCCCTCTCTCACCACTCCTATTCAACATAGTGTTGGAGGTTCTGGCCGGGGCAATCAGGCAGGACAAAGAAATAAAGGGTATTCAATTAGGAAAAGAGGAAGTCAAATTGTCCCTGTTTGGAGGTGATGTGATTGTATATTTAGAAAACCCCATCGTCTCAGCCCAAAATCTCCTTAAGCTGATAAGCAACTTCAGCAGTCTTGGGATACAAAATCAATGTGCAAAAATCACAAGCATTCTTATACACCAATAGTAGACAAACAGAGAGCCAAATCATGAGTGAGCTCCCATTCACAATTGCTTCAAAGAGAATAAAATACCTAGGAATCCAACTTACAAGGGATGTGAAGGACCTCTTCAAGGAGAACTACGAACCACTGCTCAATGAAATAAAAGAGGACATAAACAAATGGAAGAACATTCCGTGCTCATGGATAGGAAGAATCAATATCGTGAAAATGGCCATACTGCCCAAGGTAATTTATAGATTCAATGCCATCCCCATCAAGCTACCAATGACTTTCTTCACAGAATTGGAAAAAAACTACTTTAAAGTTCATATAGAACCAAAAAAGGGCCTGCATTGCCAAGACAATCCTAAGCCAAAAGAACAAAGCCGGAGGCATCAAGCTACCTGACTTCAAACTATACTACAAGACTATAGTAACCAAAACAGCATGGTACTGGTACCAAAACACAGATATAGACCAATGGAAAGAACAGAGCCCTCAGAAATAATACCACACATCTACAACCATCTGATCTTTGACAAACCTGACAAAAACAAGAAATGGGGAAAGGATTCCCTATTTAAAAATGGTGCTGGGAAAACTGGCTGGCCATATGTAGAAAGCTGAAACTGGATCCCTTCCTTACACCTTATACAAAAATTAATTCAAGATGGATTAAAGACTTAAATGTCAGACCTAAAACCCTAACAACCCTAGAAGAAAACCTAGGCAATACCATTCAGGACATAGGCATGGCCAAGGACCTCATGTCTAAAACACCAAAAGCAATGGCAACAAAAGCCAAAATTGACAAATGGGTTCTAATTAAACTAAAGAGCTTCTGCACAGCAAAAGAAACTACTGTCAGAGTGAACAGGCAAACTACAGAACGGGAGAAAAATTTTGCAATCTACCCATCTGACAAAGGGCTAATATCCAAAATCTACAAAGAACTTAAACAAATTTACAAGAAAAAAATCAAACAACCCCATCAAAAAGTGGGCAAAGGATATGAACAGACACTTCCCAAAAGAAGACATTTATGCAGCCAACAGACACATGAAAAAATGCTCATCATCACTGGCCATCAGAGAAATGCAAATCAAAACCACAATGAGATACCATCTCACACCAGTTAGAGTGGCGATCATTAAAAAGTCAGGAAACAACAGGTGCTGGAGGGGATATGGAGAAATAGAAACACTTTTACACTGTTGGTGGGACTATAAACTAGTTCAACCATTGTGGAAGACAGTGTGGCAATTCCTCAAGGATCTAGAACTAGAAATACCATTTGACCAAGCCATCCCTTTAAGGGGTATATACCTAAAGGATTATAAATCATGCTGCTATAAAGACACATGCACACGTATGTTTATTGCGGCACTACTCACAATAGCAAAGACTTGGAACCAACCCAAATGTCCATCAATGATAGACTGGATTAAGAAAATGTGGCACATATACACCATGGAATACTATGCAGTCATAAAAAGGATGAGTTCATGTCCTTTGTAGGGACATGGATGAAGCTCGAAACCATCATTCTGAGCAAACTATCGCAAAGACAGAAAACCAAACACCACATGTTCTCACTCATAGGTGGGAAATGAACAATGAGAACACTTGGACACAGGGTGGGGAACACCACACACCGGGACCTGTCGTGGGGTGGGGGAGTGGGGAGGGATAGCATTAGGAGATATACCTAATGTAAATGAGTTAATGGGTGCAGCACACCAACATGGCTCATGTATACATATGTAACAAACCTGCACATTGTGCACATGTACCCTAGAACTTAAAGTATAATAAAATAAATAAATAAATAAAAATAAATAAATAAAAAGAAAAAATCTTTGAAGGTTTGGAAACAAACTGGATGGAGCAGATAAAGATGAGTGCTAATTTTGACTTCAACCTTAGTCAGTGGCAATAGATGGTCTATTACTCTAATTGTACCCTTTACCTCTTCTAGGACATTTAGAGAGGTCTCCAGGGGTAGTTACCTTGTTATTTCAATGCAGAGAACAGTAAGTACTTCAGGGAAAATACATGTGAGTATCAATCATGGGGATAATACTTGAGAGAGTAAAATGTGAATTTGTACATGAAAAAAAAAAATCAATACTGAGGCCGGGCGCGGTGCTCACGCCTGTAATCCTAGCACTTTGAGAGGCCGAGGCGGGTGGATGACGACGTCAGGAGAGTGAGACCATCCGGGCCAACATGGCGAAACCCCGTCTCTACTAAAACACAAAAAATTAGCCGGGCGTGGTGGTGCGGGCCTGTAGTCCCAACTCCTCGGGAGGCTGAGGCAGGGGAAGCGCTTGAATCCCGGAGACGGAGGTTGCAGTGAGTCGAGATTGCGCCATTGCACTCCAGCGTGGCAACAGAGCAAGACTGTCTCAAAAAATAAAAAAATAAAAAATCAATACTGAATCCCATGTGCTCCTATATTTCTCGTCTGTAATTTTAGTTTCCCTTCTAAACTGTAGGAACTCTGATGAAAGGAACTTTGCATGTTAAATGTATATGCTAGCGCAGTAGTGAACGCAAGGCAGGCCCTTAAATAAGTATTTCTTCTTTATTTTCAGTACCTTACACTAAATTCAGTGGTTGATATATATATATATATATATCCTGAAAAACAGAATTTTGTGAATCACAGGCAAACATGGTAGACTATAATTCATACAGTCTCAAATATGAAACTAAAAAAGTTCGATAATCATTTAAGCATTTTCTTTGTTTATATTTCTAATCACATCATGAGTTTCTAAATTTATCATTTTCACTGAATACAGAAGAAATGAAAAAATATTGTGTTTTGTACAACATATCTATGTACGAATATCTGTTGTAGAATTTATAAATAGACAAATGACAGGCAAAATGTATGCAAAATATTCTGGGCTGGGTGCAGTGGTGCACGCTTGTAATCCCAGCAATTTGGGAGACCAAGGCAGGGGAATTGCTTCAGCCCAGGACTTCGAGCCCAACCTGGGTAACATGGTGAAACCCTGTCTCAACAATAAATACAAAAAAATTACTCAGGCGTGTGCCTGTGGCACATGCCTGTAGTCCCAGCTGCTGGGGGGTGGGGGTCCCAAGGTGTGAGAATCCCTCGATCCTGGGAGGGTGATGCTGCAGTGAGGTGAGATCACGCCACTGCACTCCAGCCTGGGGGACAAAGTGAGACCCTGTAACAACAACAACAACACAAAATAATTTGAAAACAGAATTTCTTTCTTTTTCATGTTTTTTCTCTTGTATCTGGCATGCAGCTAATTTCTTTTTTATTGTATGTATTCATCGTGTACAACATGTTTTAAAGTATGTGTACATTGTGGAATGATTAAATCTAGCTAATTTACAAATGTATTACTGCACAGTTACCACTTTTGAGTGATAAGAAAAAGCGATTTGAGAACACCTAATATCCACTCTTGGCACTTTTTAAGAATGTGTCATAATTAACTATTATAGTCCCTATGCTGTACAAAAGATCTCTTGAACCAAAACTTCTTTCAAAAAAGGAAAACTACAATGGAATTTAGAACTACAAACAGACATAACTCATTAACCTTTCAGTTTTTATGTTAGATATAACACTACAGGGAAGTCATAATATTTATCACAACATTTAGGAAGCTTGCTTTTTTCTTATTTTTAAATTGCCTTTAATAGTAAGAATCATTTGTTTATTCTCAGATCTTAGATTCGAATTCTACATTTCTTTTCTTTTTTTTTTTGAGACAGAGTCTGGCTCTGTCGCCCAGGCTGGAGTGCAGTGGCTTGATCTCGGCTCACTGCAAGCTCCGCCTCCCGGGTTCACGCCATTCTCCTGCCTTATCCTCCCGAGTAGCTGGGACTACAGGCGCCCGCCACTACGCCCGGTTAATTTTTTGTATTTTTAGTAGAGACGGGGTTTCACAGTGTTAGCCAGGATGGTCTCGATCTCCTGACCTCATGATCCACCCACCTCGGCCTCCCAAAGTGCTGGGATTACAGGCGTGAGCCACCGCGCCCGGCCCGAATTCTACATTTCTTAAAGAGAAACACAAAGAGGAAAAGCATAAAAAAATTTCATACCTGATCCTTACAGTCTCGTCACTTCTGAGCAGGGAGGAAAACGTAGACTCAAATCAGGTGAAATGTGCTGATACATACAGAACAGGTTATATACATCATAACTGGATCCAGGCTGGGATGAACTGGAAAGTTCAAGCTTCTGATCTCCAAAAGATGATCTGGCAGATCCTGAAAGCAAATGTTTCTAAAGTTTAATAACATCCTATTCTTGGAGTTATTAGCCAACAGCTGGTACACCCAAGGCAAAAGAAAAAAATATTTTGTCTCAAGTAATGCTAAGTCACATGACTTTGATACCTAAAAACATCAGCACATACTTATGGAGTTCTGTGCGAAGGAGTATTATGCCAGGGATCAGCGATGAAGCCTGCACTTAAGACAGTTTGGTAAGTTTCTGGCATTTTTCTTTGCCCCATAGACATTTCTATATTTTGTGATCTGAGTTTCCTCTTATTTTTCTACTTATATATAGAACATCTTTCAAATTAAAACTTTTTTTGGAGATATATCCTTTTCAAGAAGACACAGAATATTTATTAAAATTTACCACATGTTGAGATACACTAAAAACCTCTCAAATTTAAAAGGACTGAAATCATACAAAGTATGTTTTCTTACTACAGAGCAATTAAGTTGGAAATCAAATTGCAAAAATACTTAATAAATGACATTTATATGGAAACACTAAAGACCAAGAATAACCAAAAACTTAATCTTTAAGAAGAAAAACAAGATTGAAAGATTTGCTCTACTGGATATTAATAGAATACTGGTAAGTAATAGAAAAAGAAATCAATGGCAAAGAAGAGAAGGCCCAGAAATAGACACCCATTTTATGAACACTTAATTTATAGTTAAGGTGGCACTGCACAAGAAAGGATGGTCTTTTCACTAAAAAGTGATAAGACAACTGGATATCAATATGGAAAAAAATAAGCCTTCGGCTGGGCACGGTGGCTCATGCCTGTAATCCCAGCACTTTGGGAGGCTGAGGCGGGCGGATCACGAGTTCAGGAGATCAAGACCATCCTGGCTAACACGGTGAAACCCCATCTCTACTAAAAATACAAAAAATTAGCCGGGCGTGGTGGCGGGCGCCTGTAGTCCCAGCTACTCGGGAGGCTGAGGCAGGAGAATGGCGTGAACCTGGGAGGCGGAACTTGGAGTGAGCCAAGATCACGCCACTGCACTCCAGCCTGGCACGACAGAGCGAGACTCCTTCTCAAAAAAAAAAAAAAAAAAAAAAAAGCCTTCATTCAACCAAACATATTCAGAAAAAATTAGTTCCATGGGCATTGTAGATCTAAATTAAATGTTAAAGGCAAGCCAATAAAGCTTCCATATTTAAGTTAACTTACATGAAAGTTGTCATGACCTTAGGACAAGGAAGCACTTCTTTTTTTTTTTTTTTTTTTGAACAAGAATTTATTTCTTAAAATTTACTTAAGGGATTAGAGCTAATATAAAATAGAACATTTAATATAACACTTGGAGTTATGTCAACATAAAAATAGCTGTGGTTACAATTAGCACATGCAATTCACTGCAAAGGTAAAAACACATACTATACTCTAGACAAGGCTTCCAACTGAAGTTAGAGTAGATGGGGTAAAACAACAAGTGAACATGAAAGGATTGCACTTAGAAGAAAGTGGGACATAGCTAGGATATAAAAGAAGAAACATACCTAATGCTAATCACTGCATTGTCCTACTAGCAAATTGCACATTTATTTTTAGAGTATATTCAATACATATATACATTGAGACTAGAGAATTTTCAGATATCTACCTTTAAAATATCCCTTTGGTTCTAACACATCACATTATGGTATTAATGTTAACAGCACTTAAAACCTGTAGTTATCATTCAAAGCTTGTGTTCAAGAGATTAAAAAAAAATCTGTCACTATTGGCCTTAAATGCATCTCATCACAATCCATCAACTTTAATGAAATGGGTAATGAAGTTAAACTACCCAGTTTATACAAATATTGACTGAGAAAAAGCCCTTAAAAATTTAGGAACAAATGAATGACAGAAGAGCTCACCCTGAGCTGCTACCTTTTAATTTTTAATGCAATGTATATGAGAATATCATGCTAATGCACATACTAGTAGCATGTATGATGGAAAAAATAGGTTAATGCAAAAGATAATACACTTGGCTTTGTAAAGTTTTGTTTTGACTTACATCTGTCTGAATTCTGTTTATTGAGTCTGAAAAGGAACTGCTGCCAAAGACCAGTCCAAAGAAGAATTAGGCTGTAAGCCTGCTAGTTTATATCATCTATGAAATCAATGACAATGCCCAATTTTACGCTAACCCTAAAACACTTGCCATTTTATGACTCCATATTCTTTCAATTTACAGAAAAGTACAAACTTTTTAAAGAAAGTAATCTTATCAGAGCAATATAATTTAACAATACCTATAATAGAAAGCTGTCCCAGTAAATTTTTTGAACAATTGAACTTTTGTCTCATGTAGCTTATAACTTTGATATTTTATTCATCCCAACAAAATAAAACTTTATTGAAACAAAAGTGTATGGTTTAGGAATATGCTTTTAATAACAACTGAGCAAAATTAGAATGATGTGGACTATAACAGAATGAAGGAAGAGCTCTCCTGCTTGATGTACTTGGTCAATATATGTTAGTAAACAGAAATATTTTAGGGAATTCCATATGATTATTCTACTTCTACATTTACACATCATGGTTTTAACTAGTTAAATGGGGAGAAAAAAGACATCTTTAATAATTGATGTCTACTTCTCAAACTGGATGCTCTACTTTAAATATGAGCTTTAATAAATGTTTTGTAACATTTTTAAGTTGTAACATTTGTAAGTATACTCCAGTCATCTTCAACTTCACAATAAGAGCTAGGGTCATCGGATGACTTCATGTGGTAAAACCCCTTATGAAGGAATAAGGCTGAAATTAAATGAACAATTAGGTACTGAAGAGATATGAACACAGAACATATGAATGAAATTTCCTTTTTTTCCTTGCTGCTCTGTTCCTGAGTGCTGATTGATCTGTAATAAAAAAGGATAGGATTAAAATTTTAGGTTTTAATGGTACAAAGTGTGAAGTCTTGTAGTTTTCTAATAATTATTCAGTATTATCCGTTTCAGAGACGAGGGTAGGATACCACAGACATCAGTAACTGACAAGTCATAATATCAACACATGTAACATTTGGGTCCTTTTTTTTTATAACCTAAGGGGAGGAACTGCAGTTGCAGAAGCAGTGAGTGAACTAGTTTTGTCCACACAAGGTTTTCTGATGTGCTAGTATTACTTTAAACACCACTTTTAGACACTAAAGATTCAAAGTGATAAAGCCACTCACTTTATTAGACTAGTTTTTACATAAATAACCAGACTTGTTTCTTTGCCTACCTAAAATACAATTTACATACATCAACACGTAGATTACTCTAAGACATGCTCGGGAAAGTAATTTTGAATGTAAAACAAGTTTTATGATTTATTTTCTCCTTAGGGCAGAAGATGTACATTACATATTAGTGCTCAAATATATGTTCATTTCCAGAATGAATTTTTGCACAGTAATCATATATCCATTTAATATGTATAAAGTGTTCTTGGGGATGGGGGCATTCACTCACTGTACCATGTTTTATACAGGCTTCAACATGCAAATTTGTTTATATCATGGCCTTCAATGATCCTCCATTCTCATTCCCGTAGATAAAGAGTTCACATTGTATAACTGACCCTGAAATGTACAAACTTCGCACTATAACATTCTTCATGACACTATTTATTAGGAGAAAAGTTGCAGCTAAACATTACAATCATGTGACTTATTTTGAGAAAATGGAAAATGTAATAGGTATAAATTTCCTGACACATACAGCAAGACAAATCCAGCCCAGCCTTTGATGATCAACTTAAACGCTGGTGATGTCATTATCTTGTGTGAATTTGGGTCTGTACCTACCTTTACTTCTCTGTGCCTGATTTTCCTCATCTACTTTGAATTCATCATTCTATTAATCCACTTTTGCCTAAAGTGGGAAACTGAATATATCAGAATAAAGCATCTACTTTTTTTCATAAAGAAGATCATATAATATGTGAAAGAACTTTGAAGGATCAGGCATTATATCAATGCAAGAATATAAAAGATAAACAGGAAGTCTAATCTGAATAATATTCTGAGAGTAAAAAGTGTAATTATATTTCAATTGTAAATGTATACCAAGTTTTCTTAGCTTTCTATTCTCCAATAACCTCTAGAAACTATTCTTTTTTTTTTTTTTTTTTTTGAGATGGAGTCTCACTCTGTCACCTTAGAAACTATTCTAAGCATGCCTGGTTTCTGTAACTTAAATATGGCATAAAAACCTGTTTCCTTTGAATTCACTTGATAGCAGTAGTCAAACACTAATAATGCTTGCTAATTTCCTCTCACTTTCTTAAGAAAGCCCCTATATTTAGCCTCTGCCTCCATGTCGCATGTGGTGGTTAGGTGACAGCATAAGTACACTAGTGGCTTTAGCACTAAACTCGAGGCCTGGGTCACTTCTCCCCTGAAGAAGAAAGGTTTAAAAATTCCTAAATCACAATGTAGAACTAAGTTACACCCTACCTCAGAACTGCAGATATTAAAATACCATCTCTTTATTAAGTGTCTCTACAATAAGGATATTTGCTAAGATCAAGATGTACAATTTTTTGGGTTCTGTTTTGTTTTGGTAAATATTGCCCACGTCTTTTTAGTTTGCTTCAAACATTTACTAAAAATAAAAAATTTTAAATCTTTGCCTACTTAAAAATAAAAAAAATACTCAAAACAAATTTAAGCTGAAGATATATACTGTATAAAGTGCTTCATCTACCTAATTCTCTGAAGTCTTTTTTTTTTCTGTGTTTTAAGACTTTATCATTAAAAAAAGAAGAAATTAGAGAAGGGAGGTGGGGGGGACAGGAGGGTGAAAGAATCTCTCCAAAATGTCGGATCCGGGCGACCCTCCTTCCCTGACTGCCCAGCCACCCTGTCCCTTCTCTGTCCTCGCGGCGAGGCCCTAGCTGCCATCTTCTGGGGACCAAGGCCCAGGAGCCCAGCTCGGGTCCCAGGCAGAGGTGAAGGCAGAAGCGGGGCTCAGAGCCTGGAGGCCTTGCCGGTGTCCTTGAGAGCCCCTTGGGTGGGCACTCAGGCCCCCATGTCCCAGCAGGGCCCTAGGGAGGTAGGCGTTGAGCGGAGAGGCCTTTGGAGGTGGGATCCTGAAGCCAGAGGACCAGGCGGGAACCAGAGCCAGGTGTGAGGCTGGGGGTCACAGCCGGAGGCTGGGTCTCTCCCGCATCAGCCTCTATAGATAATGCCATTCTCCTTCCGAGTTCAAACTCATCCCCACTGATGCTGGAGCCCGGAAGGCCACGTGTGGCTCTGTCTCGGTATAGCCCCCGATGGGCTGGCCCTCTGGGCTGAAGGCTGCACCCTGCCCTGTGCGGTTGGATTGATCGATCATAGGTTGCACGATGCGTCTCCGGGCATTAATGAACCAGTTGTTGACTTGCAGGATGGTAAGCCCCGTGTCCTGCGCCAGCTGTTTCTTCTGCTCCTCCGAGGGGTACGGGTGTGAGAGGTGCTGGAACAACCAGGCTCGCATGATGTTGGTGGCCACCTTGGGGAAGATCCCCCTCTTCTTGTTTCGCCGTGGCTCCTGGTCCAAGTCCTCATCTTCTCCACCAGAACTGGGAGAGGCCACGCTGGTGTCCAGCCCGACTCCTTGGTCACTGGAGTTGTCCCCACTCTGGGAGGCCAGCCCCCCGCTGGATGGACCTGGGGTCCCCAAATGTACAGACCCGCTATCCTCATGGTCTCGAATCCATATATTATTCTGGTCTGGGAGGCTGGGGCAGGAGGCTGGGTAGTCCTCGAAGTCCTCCCTGCAGCCGCCATCCCGATCCTCGATGACCAGGTCGATGGGCATCTTTCCCTTCTCCAGCTCTAGCAGGTGGAACCGCAGCACTTGGATTGCCTGGATCATCAGATTGTCCAGTTCTGGGTTGGAGGAGAAGAAGGGCCTCTCAGAGCGAACCTGCTTGGCGAAGGCAGTGTTGTCCTCGTTGAAGGAATCAGAGGAGCAGACGTCGCCGCCGCGGGGGTGTCCCCAGCCCAGCTCCGGCCCCATCACGGGGAGAGCATGTAGCCAGTTCACATTTCTCAAAGACCAGGGCCAAGACGGGGAAGAGCGGGTGTCCATAGATCTCATCCTTGTCCCTCTTCAGGCCGTCGCTGTCCAAGCCTGGGGGTAGGGGCTGGGGAGGCCGGTGAGGGCCATAGGGCCCTGGTGCCGCGGGCACTGCCTCTGGGAAGCCAGCCAGGGCTGCGGGGCCATCCGCGATGCCTGGGTAGTGCGGCAGCTCATCGTACCTTTGGGCCATGGGCTGAGGCCGGCGGCACCTCCAGGGTCCCTCCAGAGCCTGGCCGCGGGGTAGGGCGCAGCCCCCGACGGCCCGTGATGTCGACGCCAGGGGGTGGGCAGGAGGCCAGACGCGCGCCCCCCAACCCCCGCCGCCGTCAGCCGCAGGCGCCGGGCCGGGTGGGGGCTCCGCGCATGGATCCCGGCCCCCGCCCCCAGCGGGGGTCACGGCCGGGAGCGCATTACCGCCGGGACGGGGCAGCAGGCGCGGGCGGGGCGCCCGAGGCCCCCTCCCCTGGGCGCCCCCGTCCCTCCCCCGGCTCTGCGGGGAATCGAGCCGTCCCCAGACGGACAGACCTGGGACCGCGGGGGGCGGGGGGCGGCCCGGGGCGGCGGGGGTCCGGCGGCGGCTCGGGGGTGCTGGCGGCCGCGCTCCGCCTTCCCGGTCTCTTCCTCTCTGTGGTCACATCCGGAAGTTCCACCCTCTGAAGTCTTAAGAAAGGTCAATGATGTGTGTGTGTGTGTGTGTGTGTGTGTGTGTGTGTGTACACACACACAATTTAAGCCTTTAAAAATGGCAATTTTTTAGATGATTTATGGGTTTTTTCCCCCTTTACTACTACAATTTAAGCCTTTAAAAAATGGCAATTTTTTAGATGCTTGAGGTAGTTTGGGGGATCCCTAGCTCTTAATCGTGGCACTCTGTTGAGTTTGTGAAATGGATCTTCAAAGAGGTTGTCAATAATAAACAAATTTTTGAAACGAGTCAGATTACTAATTATTGATGAATAAAAAATGAGTACTTTTAGGCCAGGTGCAGGGGCTCACGCCTGTAATCCCAGCACTTTGGGAGGCCGAGGCCGAGGCAGATCACGAGGTCAGGAAATCGAGACCATCCTGGCTAACACTGTGAAACCCCGTCTCTACTAAAAATACAAAAACATTAGCCAGGCATGGTGGTGGGCGCCTGTAGTCCCAGTTACTCTGGAGGCTGAGGCAGGAGAATGGTGTGAACCCGGGAGGCAGAGCTTGCAGTGAGCAGAGACCTTGCCACTTCACTCCAGCCTGGGCAACAGTGCAAGACTCCGACTCAAAAAAAAAAAAAAAAAGAGTACTTTTAATCTGCCAAGTTAAAGCTCTAGAATTCCTTTTCTCCAGTAATAACTGGCAGCATCACCACCAATGGAAGGGACCTAAGGAATATTTTGTACATTGATATACACGAGGCTGCTCCTCATTTTTTTTGTCAGATTACAAAAGCTGGGCTCATATAGTTAGGGCCTATGGACCTCTTTTTAAATTATTTTAGCAGAAGTAGATGGTCTAGACCTTGCTCCTCTAATCTTTTATATTAACTGTCCCTAAGCTACTTTGATGACTATTCTAATCAAAATCAGTATAGCTGTGCTCGCTAAGCATATCACTGCTTATTATTTAAATACCTTCTGTTTTCTATGTAGCAAAACAAAAAGTTTTATAAATTTCAGATAAGCTTTCTGTTTTTCTTCAGTGCAAACATCCTGAAACAGCACAAAATCATTCAGCTAATCTGAGGATAAAGTCAGTTTATGTAGTGCTTAAAGTAGAATCCCAGATATTCTGGAATGGAAATAGCTCATGTGAAACTTCAGTTCATTTTTGTCCTTAAGGACAAATGATCATCTTCAGAGAGTGAAGACTTTTTAAAATCTGAATTCACAGATAAAATAATTTTAGCTTTACTTTATAGGTACTGCTGAAGTTGTAGCAGGAACTACTAGTCCTTCACTGATGCATGTAGCTGCCTTGCCGTACAGTCTGTGGTAACTTTTAGGCATTCCTTCATCAATCACAGCCTCCATCCCAACTGTTTCAGATCTTTCTACTAGTCCCTCAGTACCTGGACCAAAAGTATCTATCTGCTGCAGAAACTTTCTGAAACATTTTCATTTGCCCAGATCCACAGGATTGTGAAATATGATCTGAAATCTGTTGTTTAAGTCTAACAAAATCTTCCTCATTGACTGATGAAACTTGCTTTGACCTTTCAAAATGTGAAATATCTGGACTGGATTCATGCTGACTGCAGTTCTGTTTGAAGTAGTGTTGCCTGGGCAAAATGCCATCACCGCCATCTGCATGATCTACTAATTGTAGATCTTTTGGCCTCTCCTCTGAATCTAACAAGGGCTGGGTGGACTTGGATCTTGAGAAGACCTGGACTGATGGAACTTGGTGTCTGTAGCCACTGTGTACCACAGCAGAATACTGGACAGTGTTCGAAGTGTTGTGTGAAGATTCATTTTCATCACTGCTAGAAATGCTTGGCCTAGAAGATGACATGCATAAAGACCCCCCCAATACCACTGCCGTGTCCTTCAGTATTAATTTTTTCCTTTTTGAACAGGTCTAATGATTTCAGATCTTCTGCAAAAGGCTTTTTGTCATTTGCTTCTATTTCCACAACACCTACATCAGTGAAATTGCCATCTGAATACATTTGATCTTTTGCATTAAAATTGTGCCTTGAAGGAGTGTGAGGTGACCACTGGGCAATATGACTCTTTGAAGGATCTGGAACGTTAGGCCAGATGTGTTTTTTAATTAGGTCTCGCTTATTAAAGCAGAACAGCACTCCCAGAAAAGTTGTCAATAGGAATGCTAAGCAAACAGTTTAAGATACTAGACAGTTCCTCTGAGTTGATCACTGATAAATTATGTGGCAGATTAGGCTTCACTTTATATACAGCATCAAAATTGATATGATCTGATGTAGCCTTCCCAAGGGCATTCTCTGCTTCTACCCAGACTTCAATGTTGACAAAATACACAGTAGAATAATCAATGGTGCATGAGGTGGGGGTGTCACATTTTGGTTGCAATCAGCAAACTTGTGTGTTGCCCATTCAGAGTTTAAAGTGAAGTTTGTCTCCAAGTGTGTTTCCCTTCCACGATCCCACTCACACCTCATTTTGTTTCCCTCATTCACAATGCAACTCAAATTTTTAGGTTTTTCTGGAGGCAAGCCTGAAATTATTGTGATTCCATAAACATTCTGTTCAAGCTGTCCGAATGTAAGAATGTTGCAAGGGAGTTGAATATTTAATGAAGCTATATGTGTAAAGGTGACACTGGATGCTGTTCTGTTTATGATAATATATTGCTCCTTAAGAATAGCAAAATGGTTTGTTTTCCAGACAATGTCATTAGCATTTACATGAAAATAATCCATACATTTTTCCTTTAGCACACAAACTGCAGTGAAATTAGAATGAAGTTGTACAACTGGAGATTCGGGACTGATATAACCACATGGATCTAGAAGTTCACCTATAGATTCAGTGGTGAGGAAAATAAAGCTGGCACTAGCCAAGTCTGCAACGTCAACATCTTGCGCAGATATTTCCAAATCACAAAATTAGTAAGTGAAAGAGTAGGGATTTGAAGCTAAGTCTTCTGCTTCTAAATGTCACACTTTTTCCATTGGCTTTCACTCAGACCGCACCGCCTGGATCCTCTGCGTCTCCACAGCACACGAACCCCTCGAACCCCTCGGCGCCAGTCTGGGCCAGACCCGTCGGCCTGGCAGGTGCGGCCCCCGGTTCAGCTGCTCCGGGGCGGCCCAGCGGGACTCCGCGGGCCTTTTGGCTGCTCGCCCCGGCTCCGGCTCCGGAAAGCTCGCGGATCTTTCTCCGGAAAGCTCGTCGATCCTTCTCCGCAGAAGTAGAGCGCCGCCCCAAGTCCCGCGGCGGGGCGGGGCAAGGGAAGCACTTCTTAAGTGGAAATAGAAAGCATTAATTTTATATATATATATATAAAATTGGTTTTTTTTTTTTTGAGATGGAGGCACTCTGTTGCCCAGGCTGGAGTGCAGTGGCACAATCTCGGCTCACTGCAACCTCTGCCTTCTGGGTTCAAGCGATTCTCCTGCTGCAGCCTCCCGAGTAACTGGGATTACAGGTGCCCGCCACCTTGCCTGGCTAAGTTTTTGTATTTTTAGTAGAAACGGGGTTTCACCATGTTGGCCAGCCTGGTCTTGAACGCCTGACCTCAAGTGATCCATCTGCCTTGGTCTCCCAAAGTGCTGGGATTACAGGCATGAGCACCTGGGCTAATCATAGAAATATTTTAATAAACTGAACTACGTGAAAGTTTAAAATTCGCATTTGCCAAAAGACTATTTAAGTTAACCCACAGAGGGAAAGAAGATAGAGCAACAAGCGTAACTGATGAAGGGCTCATATGCATCCAAGTACTAACCAGGCTAGACCCTGCTTAGCTTCTGAAATCAGACACATTCAGGGTGGTATGGCCATAAAGGGCTCATATCCAGAATACATAAGGAACTCCTACAAATCAATAAGAAAAAGACAGACCAGCCTATATATAAATTGGCTTAAGACTTAAACAGGCACTTCAGAAGAGAGACTATCAATCTCATTAGTCATGAGAAAAAAGTCGAAAACCCAAGGAAATATCACTATATACTCACCAGAATGGTTAAAACTACAAAGACTGAAAATAGCAAGTGTTGGCAAAAAAGTACAGGAATGTAAACAATCATACTCTGCTAGTGGAAATGTGAATTGATAATAATCACTATGGAAAAGAGTTTGGCAATTTCTACTAAAGCTCAAGATATTTATACTCTATGACTCACCAAGCCATTGTGAACATATACACAATGGAAATACTTGTACATGTGCACCAGGAGATATATATAAGAATGTTCATAAGTGTTCTTACCCATAGTAGCCCCCAAATTAGAAAAAAACCCCAAATCCTATCAACAGTAAAATAAGTAGTCGTATATACTTACTACATAAAAATACCTTACAGTATGCCATACAGAAACACTACTGTACACCACGTCATTGTACACCACAGGAAAAATTGTAATATACACTTACTGTACAGGTATAGAAACAAACTAGAACTACTGACAATTACTTGAATCAATCTCAAAAACATAATGTTGAATGAAAAAAACCCATAAACGGAAGACATAGACTGAATATGTTGTTTATTTTATATAAAGTTCAGAAAACAGAAAAACTTAAACTACAACATTCAGGGATATGCGCTTAAGTGGTAAGAAGTAAGAAAAGCAGGCCGGGCGCTGTGGCTCACGCCAGCAATCCCAGCACTTTGGGAGGCCGAGGCGGGTGGATCACGAGGTCAGGAGATTGAGACCATCCTGGCTAACAGGGCTAACAGGGTGAAACCCCGTCTCTACTAAAAGTACAAAAAAAATTAGCCGGGCTTGGTGGCAGGCGCCTGTAGTCCCAGCTGCTCCAGAGGCTGAGGCAGGAGAATGGCATGAACCCGGGAGGCGGAGCTTGCAGTGAGCAGAGATTGCACCACTGCACTCCAGCCTGGGCGACAGAGCGAGACTCCGTCTCAAAAAAAAAAAAAAAAAACCAGGCAAAAGTCGTTTATGGAGACAGAAGTCAGGGTGGTGGTTGAAGAAAAGCAAGAGAGTTATGATTATAACAATTGTGATACTGATTACTCTAGAATGACTGAAAGGCAAAGAAAAAGAGAGAGGCTATTGGGTTACTAGTAATACTCTTTCTTTACCTAGGTGATACCTACACAGGTGTTCCGCTTTGTAATAAATTACTGAGCTGTATATTTTTGTTTTGTGGATTTTTCTATGTGTATTGTGTCTCATAATTTAAAAATGATAAAACATAGCTCAAATTCCTTTCAAGGTTAGTGATCACATTGGGAATAATATATAGACATAAAACTAAATTCTTCAAAGGTTTAAATTATCATAATTCTCCATATAACAATGTTGTGGTTAACTATGGACCACATATACGACAGTGGTGCCATATGAATATAATGAAGCTGAAAAGTTCCTATCGCCTAGTGACATCGCGATGGTTGTCATCAAGATATGTAGGCCTAGGCTAATGTGTATGTTTGGGTCTTAGTTTTTAACAAAAAAGTTTAAAAAGTAAAAAAAAGAACTTTTTAATAGAAAAAAGCTTATACAGTAAGGACATAAATTATTTTTGGATAGCTATACACTGTTGTTTGGTGTTTTAAGCCAAGTGTTATTACAAAAGAGTCTAAAAGTTTAAGAATATTTAAAAGATTATAAAGTAAAAAAGTTACAGTAAGCTAAGATTTATTATTGAAGGAACAAAAATATATTCAGTAAATTTAGTGTATCCTAAGTATAGAGTGTTTATAAAGTCCACAATAGTATATATACAGTGATGTCCTAGGCTTCACATTCACTCATTACTTACTCACTGACTCACCCAAAACAACTTACTGCCCTGCAAGCTCCATTCATGGTAAATGCCCAAAACAGGTGTGATATGGTTTGACTGTGTTCCTACCCAAATCTCATCTTCAACTGTGGCTGCCATAATTCCCAAGTGTTGTGGGAGGAGCCAGTGGGAGAAAATTGAATCATGGAGGCAGTTTCCCCTACACTGTTCTTGTGGTAATGAATAAGTCTCACACGATCTGATGGTTTTATAAGGGGTATCCCCTTTCACTTGGCTCTCATTCTCTCTTGCCTGCCACCATGTAAGATGTGCCTTTCACCTTCTGCCATGATTGTGAGGCCTCCCCAGCCAAGTGGAACCGTGAGTCCATGAAACGTCTTTTGCATCATAAATTATCCAGTCCCAGATATGTCTTTATCAGCATCATGAAAAAGGAGTAATACAGTAAATTGGTGCCAGGAGTGGAGTGCTGATATAAAGATACCCAAAATGTGAAAGTGATTTTGGAACTGGATAACAGGCTGAATCTGGAACTGTTTGGAGGGCTCAGAAGAAGACAGGAAGATGTGGGAAAGTTTAGAACTTCCTAGAGACTTGCTGAATGGCTTTGACCAAAATGCTGATAATCATGTGGACAATATAATCCAGGCTGAGGTGATCTTAGGCGGAGATAAGGAACTTGTTGGGACATGAAGTAAAAGCAACTCTTGCTATGTTTTAGCAAAGAGACTGGTGGCATTTTGTCCCTGCCCTAGAAATTTGTGGAACCTTGAACTTGAGGGAGATAATTGAGGGCGTCTGGCAGAAGAAATTTCTAAGCAACAAAGCATTCAAGAGGTGATTTGGGTGCTGTTAAAAGCACTCAGTTTTAAAACAGAAACAGGGGACAGAAGTTCAAAAAATTTGCAGCCTGACAATGCAATAGAAAAAAAAAAAACCCATTTTCTGAGGAGAAATTCAAGCCAGCTGCAGAAATTTGCATAAGTGACAAGGAGCCAAATGTTAATCAACAGGACAATGGGGAAAATGTCTCCAGGGCATGTCGAAGAACTTTGCAGCAGCCACTCCCATCATGGGCCCAGAGGCCTAGGAGGAAAAAATGGGTCTGTGGGCTGGGCCCAGGGCCCCCCTGCTGTGTGCAGCCTAGGGACATCTCAGCCACTCTAGCCATGGACAAAAGAGGCCAAGGTATGGCTTGGACCATGGCTTCAGAGGGTGCAAGCCCCAAGCCTTAGCACCTTCCATGTGGTGTTGAGCCTGTGGGTACACAGAAGTCAAAAATTGAGGTTTGGGAACCTCTGCTTAGATTTCAGAGAATGTGTGGAAATGCCTGGATGTCCAGGCAGATGTTTGCTGCAGGGGTAGGGGCCTCATAGAGAACTTCTGCTAGGGCAGTGCAAAAGGGAAAGGTGAGGTTGAAGACCAAACACAGAGTCCCCACTGGGGCACTGCCTTAGTGGAGCTGTGAGAGCCACCATCTTCCAGACCCCAGAATGGTAGATCCACCAACAGCTTGCACCGTGCATCTGGAAAAGCCGCAGAGACTCAACGCCAGCCCGTGAAAGCAACCAGGAGCAAAGCCACGTGGGTGGAGCTGCCCAAGACCATGAAAACGCACCTCTTGCATCAGTGTGACCTGGATGCAAGATATGGAGTCAAAGGAGATGAATTTGGTGCTTTAAGATTTGGCTGCCCTGGCTCAAACCTGTAATCCCAGCACTTTGGGAGGCTGAGGCAGGTGGATCACGAGGTCAGGGGATTGAGACCATCCTGGCTAACACAGTGAAACCCTGTCTCTACTAAAAATACAAAAAATTAGCCAGGTGTGGTGGTGGGCACCTGTAGTCCCAGCTACTCAGGAGGCTGAGGCAGGAGAATGGCGTGAACCTGGGAGATGGAGCTTGCAGTGAGCCGAGATCGCACCACTGCACTCCAGCCTGGGTGACAGAGTGAGACTCCATCTCACAAAAAAAAAAAAAAAAAAAAAAAAAAAAGATTTGACTGCCCCCCTGGACTTCGGACATGCATGAGGCCTTTAGCCCCTTCATTTTGGCCAATTTCTCCCATTTGGAATGGTGTATTTATCCAATGCCTTTACCCCCTCTGTATCTAGGAAGTAACTAACTCACTTTTGATTTTGCAGGCTCATAGGTGGAAGGGACTTGCCTTGTCTCAGATGAGACTTTGGACTGAGGACTTTTAAGTTAATGATGAAATGAGTTAAGACTTTGGGGGACTGTTGGGAAGGCATGATTGGTTTTCAAAAGTGAGGACATGAGATTTGGGAGGGACTGGGGAAGAATGATATGGTTTGGCTGTGTCCCCACCCAAATCTCATCTTGAATTGTTGCTCCCAGAATTCCCACATGTTGTGGGAGGGACGTGGTAGGAGATAACCGAGTCACGGGGGCAGTTTTCCCCATACTGTTCTTGTAGTAGTGAATAAGTCTCACAAGATCTGATGGTTTTATAAGGGGCTTCCCCTTTGTCTTCACTCTCATTCTCTCTCACCTGCTGCCATGTCAGATGTGCCTTTCGCCTTCCACCATGTTTGTGAGACCTCTCCAGCCACATGGAACTGTGAACCCATTAAACCTCTTTTCATCATAAATTACCCAGTCTCAGCCATGTCTTTATCCACAGTGTGAAAACAGAGTAATAGAAGGTGTATCATCTTTTATACCATATTTTTACTGTACCTTTTCTATGTTGAGATATATTTAGATACACTAACACTTTCCATTGTGTTATAACTGCCTACAGTATTCAGTATAGTAACATACTGTATAGGTTTGTAGCCTAGGAGCTACAATATGTGATAGCTTAGGCTATATCCATATAGCCTAAGTGCTTAGTAGGCTAAACCATCTAGGTTTGTGTTAAGTGCCTCTATACTGTCCATGCAATGATGGAATAGCTTAGCAACACATTTCTCAGAACATATCCCCATTGTTAAATGATTCATGACTATTCTTGAAAGACAATGTTAGTCATTGATAGCAGTCTGCCCTATCCTCTCAAAATCTTCTCTATCTCAACCCATTATTCACATATGCATACATACATACACGTATTTAGCTTCTTTATAATGAGGTACCACCTTACTTTCTTGACTCTAATAAAAGTAATTTTCTCTCTAATATATAACCTATGATTTAAGAGTTAACCAGTTTCTCCCTCATTCAACTTAAAAGGCAATGCTTTTTAGTGAGTGCAACATGAAGGACATAAGAAAAGCTATCACATATTGCCAGGAAGATATTTATTACCTTTTTTCTGATAATAATACATTAAAAACTCAAAATTACCTAAAAATAGAAAATTTGTTGTATGAATTATGGTATATCCATATGAAGAAATACTATGAAGTCATCAAAAAGCAACAAACATGAAATGGTCACAATATATTATGTGGATAAAACAGATTATAAGACTGCATGGTTTGATCCCAACATTGTTAACAAGTATGAAAAAAAGACAAAGATCAATTGATTGGGCATTCTGTGAGCCAGAACTTTCAAAAACTATTTTTTGAGAAGTACTATTGATATGCACAAAATAAGATGGTAGGCCAGACACTGGGTTCATATTTTCTTCTTTCTTTAAGTAATTAAAATTTGGCTGGGCGCAGTGGTTCACATCTGTAATCCCAGCACTTTAGGAAGCCAAGGCAAGTGAGCTGCTTGAGGACAGAAATTTGACACCAGCCTGGCCAACATGGTGAAACCTCATCTCTACTCTTAAAAATTACAAAAATTATCTGGGGATGGTGGTGCGTGGCTGTTGTCCCAGCTACTCAGGAGGCTGAGGCACGAGAATTCTTTGAACCCAGGAGGTAGAAATTGCAGGGAGCGCAGACCATGCCACGGCACTCCAGCCTGAGTGACAAAGCAAAACTCTGTCTCAAAACAAAAAAATTAAAATTAAAATTAAAATTGAAATTAAAAAAGATAATCACTCCTGCCAGACCCAACTCTCTTGGAGATAACAATAAACTCTAGACCAAAACTAAAACAAAACAAGCAAATAAAAATCCTTTAGGCAAGGAAGAGTAAAGAAAAGTAATACAGATCCGGACAGGAGTTGACTCTTGGGAAAAAGGTAATGGCACAAAGTGAGTTATGTATTTTTACTGACTTTTAGCCTGAGTACACATCAAAGTTGGCACCACACAGGGTATATAAAGCTCCAATAGAAAACTCAGTCTTTCTGGCCTGAAGAACCACAGCGTAGAGTTCAGGGAAATCAGAGCTGCAGAAAAGTAAGGTGGGGATTCCTGGAAAGGAGAGATTCCCAAATTCTGTAAATAAAGCCTGTTCAAATATCTGGCTGATCTCTGAACTACCACCCAAGACAAAATTTGTAGTTTAAGTCCAACCAACTTACTTGTTTGGTAGAAGGGAGGAAGAAAGAAAGGAAAGAAGGGGACAGAGTTGTGTTAGTCTGTTTGCATCACAATAAAGGAATACCTGAAGCTGGGTAATTTATAAAAAACTGTGGTTTCATTTGCTCACAGTTTTGCAGAGTGCACAGGAAGCATAGTGCCAGCATCTGCTTCTCGTAAGGGCCTCAGGAAGCTTACACTCGTGGCCAAAGTCAAAGGGGGAGCAGGCACATCACCTGGTCACAGCAGGAGCAAGAGATGCACAGGGGAGGTGCCATGCTCTTTTAAAAAACCAGATCTCATAGGAACTCAGAGCGAGAAACTCACTTTGAATCAAGGCGATGGTGCTAAGTCATTCATGAGGGATCTGCCCTGTGATCCAATCACCTCCCATCAGGCCCCACCTCCAACATTGGGAAACACATGAGATTTGGAGGGGACAAATATCCAAACCATATCAGGAAGGAAAGGAGAAAGGGAAGGAGGAAGGGAGGGAGGAAAGAAGAGAGGGAGGAAGGAAAGAACCTTCTCAGAGGAATGTAACTGAACCTAGAGCCTCCACAACGTAACATTCAATATTTTTGATACTGATATCAAGAATCCAACCCCAAATTACTCCATATACAAAGAAACAAGAAAATGTGATCCCTTTTCAAGAAAAAAGACTATCCACAGAATCCAAACCCAGATGACCTAAATGCTGAAATTAGCAGACAAAGATTTTAAAGCTCACATACATGAAAGAAAATAGGTTTACAATAATGTAAAAATCAGAGATTGCAGTAGAGGAAAACTATAACAATGAACTGTAAACTCTAGAACTAAAAAATGCAATGTCTAAATAAAAAATTCATCACTAGGCTTAACTGCAGAATGAAGATAACAGAAGAAGAGACAGTGAACTTGAAAAAAGATCAATATTATTGACCCTAAAGAAGAGAGAAAAAAGATACTAGAAAAAAAATTGTCTCAGAGACCCACAGAACCATATCAAAAGGTCCAACATATACCTATTATACCTAATTGGAATCCCAGAAGAAGAAAAGAGAGGGGATAAGACAAAATACATGTGGACAAATACTGTAGATCTTCATAGAGATTTGTATTACACCAACATACATATGTCAATATTTAATAAATATACACTTAAAATTCACAAATATACACAAAATTCAACAAATATTCACTTGGGGAGCTCATTGTGCATAAAATTGATGTCAGAAGAAAACTGTAAAGAGATCATTGAAGTCCAATAAATGATATATATGTTTAAGTATTCAGAAGGAAATATTTATTGGTGTCTTCAATTTACTCTGAAATTCATTCCCCCCAAAAGGAGGATTAATAATGGATAGAAGAATGGATAGGAGGATGGATATTTGATAAAGCAAGTGTAGTAAGTAATGTTAATGGCAGAATCTATGTGGTTAAAGGCCGAATCTATCTAGGTTTGCAATAATGTAAAAATCAGAAATTGCAGTAGAGGAAAACTATAGCAATGAACTATAAACTCTAGAACTAAAAAAAATGCAATGTCTAAATTAAAAAATTCATCAATAGGTTTAACTGCAGAATGAAGATAACAGAAGAAGAGACAGTGAACTTGAAAAAAGATCAGTATTATTGAATTTAAAGAAGAGAGAAAAAAGATACTTGAAAAAAGATAGTCTCAGAGACCCACAGAACCATATCAAAAGGTCCAACATATATCTATTATACCTAATTGGAATCCCAGAAGAAAAAAAGAGAGGGGATAAGACAAAACATATGTGGACAAATATTGTAGATATTCATAGAGATTTGTATTACACTGACATACATTTGTCAATATTTAATAAATATATACTTAAAATTCACAGATATAATATATTTTTGTCCTAATGGCAAAAATGAATTCAAATACATTTACTAAAGTATAATATACACAGGTATCCTGTTATTCTACTGCTCAGTAATTTATCACAAAGAGGACACATGCTTGGAGCTACCACACAGTCCAAGAAAATGAAATAAAAATAACAATCTGGAAATCCCTCTCCTGAAGGTCTGCTCCCTAACCACTGCCCACCTGTCTTGTCAAAGCAAAGAGTCACCTGGATTTTAGCAGCCCCAATTAGTGTTGCTTGTTTCATAAATGGATGCATGGAGGGCCATTCAGTAGGAATGGTTTTGTGTGTGGCTTCTTTGGCCCAGCATTACATTTGTGACACTCCTTCATGTGGTTTCATGAAGCAGTTCATTTCTATTCCCTGCTCGGTGGTGCTCTGAATGAATATGGCACATCTATTAATTCTACTGTTGATGGACATTGGTTTGTTTCCAGTTTGGGGCTGTTAGCAATAAAGCCACTACGAACATTCTTGTTAATTTCTTTTGGTACACATGTATATTTTAGTTAAGTACAGCCCTACAGATAAAATCGCTTGGTCATAGTAACTGCATGTGTTCAAATGCAGTGCATGTCACTGAAAATGTCAACTAGGAGGAAAAAGCTCAAGAGCTCTATTGTACAACATGTTGACTATAGTTAATAACAATGTGGTGGCCGGGTGCGGTGGCTCATGCCTGTAATCCCAGGCTCTGGGAGGCCGAGGCGGGTGGATCACGAGGTCAGGAGATCGAGACCATCCTGGCTAACACAGTGAAACCCCGTCTCTACTAAAAATACAAAAAATTAGCCAGGCGTGGTGGTGGGCTCCTGTAGTCCCAGCTACTCGGAAGGCTGAGGGAGGAGAATGGCGTGAACCTGGGAAGCGGAGCTTACAGTGAGCCGAGATTGTGACACTGCACTCCAACCTGGGAGACAGAGTGAGCCTCCGTCTCAAAAAAAAAAAAAAAAAAGTGGTAATATTTGAAATTGCTAAGACAGCAGATTTTAAATGTTCTCACCAAACACACACACAAAAATAAGTATTGATTGGCCAGGCACAGTGGCTCATGCCTGTAATCCCAGCACTTTGGGAGGCCGAGGTGGGTGCATCACGAGGTCAGAAGCTTGCCAAGATGGTGAAACCCCATCTCTACTAAAAATACAAAAATTAGTCGAGCGTGGTGGCAGGCGCCTGTTATCCCAGCCACTCAGGAGGCTGAGACAGGAGAATCGCTTGAACCTGGGAGGCAGAGGTTGCAGTGAGCCGAGATTGCACCATTGCACTCTAGCCTGGGTGACAGTGGGAGACTCCATCTAAAAATAAAAAAATTAAAAAAAAAATATAAGTATCTAAGCTAACTGATATGCTATGTCAGTTGATTTAGCCATTCTATAATGTATGTCTGTGGCTATATATATATACACAGATTTAACTATTCTACAAGGCGTGTCTCTGTGTGTGTATATATGTATAATGTGGTACACCACAAATACACACAATTTATCAATTAATTTTTTTAATTCCAAAGATTTTTTTGACTAATATACAACCCAACCACAAGTTTAAGAGCATTCTAATTAGATGTCCTTTCCAATACCTGATTTTGTCAGTCTTTCTTTTATATATTCTGGTTAGTGGGTAATGTTATTACATTTTTATTGATTTTGGTCTTCTAATTATTAAAATGCCTGAGACCATTTTCATATATGTTTATTGAAAATGTATATAATCAGGCTGGGCACGGTGGCTCATGCTTGCAATCCCAGCACTTTGGGAGGCCAAGGCGGGCAGATCACTTGAGGTCAGGAGTTTGAGACCAGCCTGGCTAACATCATGAAAACCTGTCTCTACTAAAAATACAAAAAAATTAGCCGGGCTTGCTGGTGGGAGCCTGTAATCCCAGCTACTCGGGAGGCTGAGGCGGGAGAATCGCTTGAAGCCTGGAGTCGGATGTTGCAGTGAGCCGAGAACTTACCATTGCACTCCCGCCTGGGCGACAAGAGCAAAGCTCTGTCTCAACAACCAACCAACCAACCAACCAACCAACCAACCAACCAACCAAACAAACAAACAAAAAGTAGCTTCTTGGTTGAAAGGCTGAGGTGGGAGAATCCACCCGGGAGGTGGATGTTGCAGTGAGCCGAGAACGCGCCACTGCTCCAGGCTGGGCGCAAGAGCGAAACTTCATCTCAAAAAACCAAGCCAAAACAAAACAAAACAAAAAAGAATATCTATATAATTGTATTTTCAGGGATCTGTGCAATATTTTTTTTTTTGAGACAGTCTAGTAGCTCTGTTGCCAGGCTGGAGTGCAGTGGTGCGATCTGGGCCCACTGCAACCTCCACCTCCCGAGTTCAAGCAATTCTCTTGCCTCAGCCTCCCGAATAGCTGGGATTACAGGCACGTGCCGCCATGCCCAGCTAATTATTTTATTTTTTTTTTTTTTTTGAGACGGAGTCTCACTCTGTCGCCCAGGCTAGAGTGCAATGGCACCATCTCGGCTCACTGCAAGCTCCGCTTCCCGGGTTCACGCCATTCTCTTGCCTCAGCCTCCCGAGTAGCTGGGACTATAGGGGCCCGCCACCACGCCCAGCTAAATTGTTTGTATTTTTAGCAGAGACGGGGTTTCTCCACGTTGGCCAGGTTGGTCTTGATCTCCTGACCTCATGATCCGCCCACCTCGGCCTCCCAAAATGCTGGGATTACAGTCATGAGCCACCATGCCTGGCCAAGACTACTCTTTAATTCCCAAGGCCAGCCACTGTGGTTTGAGCATGTGCAACAGCCTGTGCTCGGGTTGATGCCCCACATTCCCATGGTTATCCAAAAGAGGCCCTCAGACTCACAGTGGCCATTATTAATACTCTGAGGTTCAGCAGCGGTGGCAACTGAAAATCTACAAGCATCAGAAGAAAGAAGTGCTGCAGAGAGGAACCACAACCATCACAAACCTGGAAGGCTGGGTGGGCCACCCCCTGGATCCCATCGGCTGCCTGTTTCTCACTTTGACTGAGGCCTGCCTCCTGAATGATGACAGGTATCTAGAGACGAATGAAAGCAGACCCCCTGTGTACCAACATGTACCTGTGGCTGTAAGCTCCCCAAACAGCAGTGAGTCCTACTTGTCATTGGCCCTGGAGGCTGCATCGATGGGCCTGGGTCACAGAGGGTAATGCCTGAAGGCTCCTATGCACAGGACAAGGTGTGCCGTAATGAGGAGCAGCTCCTCAGCCAACTCCAAGAGCTGCAATTGGATGATGACCCAGTGCAAACACTCCAAAAATAGCGCATCTTGCTGCTGGAAGGGGGCCCTTTCAGGGATCTGGGAGAAGTCATCCACCGAGAGAGCGTTTCCATGCATACCTCTGCCAAGTATTTGTTCTCAGCTCTGCTGTCTCGTGATCCAGACCCTGCCTATAAATTAGGCTTACGTGTATAAGGTTACCTGTTTTAGAAAATTCAGGTTGTGCAGGCCACACATCCCTCACTCACTGTATGGTGTCTCTGGTGCCCAGCCATTATCCTCCCTGGTTCTCGCTTGGACACTTGGAATCACAGCGGTGGGAACTGGCCTCCACCATGCTGACTGCTGCCAAAGGAGACACTCTGAGGCTCTGAACAATTCTGGAAGCAATGCAGAAGCACATTCGTTCTTCCCCGCTCATCTTCAAACTGGCCCAAAATGCGTTCAAGATTGCTACTCCCACTAACAGTAGTACTGACAGCACCCTGCTCAACGTGGCGCTGGAAACTGGGTTACAGGTGATGCGATGACCTTATCATCCCTTAACTGGAGACGCGGAGAGATGGTACGATGGTTGGTGACCTGTGCTACAGAAGTGGGTATCGCCCACCTCCCTCTACTCCCACGGGAAAGGAGTTTCTATACCCTACTCTTGGGACAGGACAACGAATCCTTGGAGCTCTCATATTCCTATTCCTGATGGCCTAAGAAAGGATGCGGCTGCTGGTGGGAGAAGATAGCCTCTGTTCAGCCAGCCCAAGTTCTGTCCTCACTGCTTAAACCAACCACATGCGATGTCAGCAGCACTTTGACCCTCTCATCAGAGACATGTCTAAGAGAATGAATTTTCAGCTGCCAATACTCAAGTGTGCCCTTGGGAGGTAGTGGGCCTGGTGGTTTGGTCCCTGTCCCTGTCCATGCTTGTGAGAAACTCCAGACACCTTGGAGGCTCAGGACCCTTTCTAAAGCCCAAAGCCCCAGCACAAGACTCTACCCTGACAGGCCCCACTTCAGCTAGAACCCCTGGCAGATCTGCAACCCTGGCCTCGGGTTAAGCAAACCCCAGGATCTACTGCTCCATCCTTGTGAGGGGCTGAGAGCACCTGCAGAAACCTTCAACCCTCTGACCTGGGTAAGGAAGGGATAGGAAGAGACCCCAAACAAGGTTTGGCCATCTGGGATGCTTCTCTTGCCCTGGTTTGCCTCAGATCGTGTCAAGGTTGCTGAGGAGGAGGGAGAACTCATCTCTGCAGGCCAAGTTCAAACCCCACACGGTAATCTGGGCTGACCTGAATCAGGACTGAGATGGCCACGGCTGAGCTCAGGCTCTCCCCGACAGGTGTGTGGGCCTCAGGGAGCATCTTGCAGAGCTGGCACACACTCTTCACCCCTACTGAGGCTGCTAGTATTGTAGCTGCCACAGCCGTATCCCACACCACTATCCTGCGCCTCAGTCTTGACTATCCACAGCGGGAGGAACTGGCTAGCTGTGCTTGCACACTGGCCCTGCAGTGTGCTACGAAGCATCCACAGAGCTGTGCCCTGTCAGCCCTTACACTCTGTGAGAAAGACCACATTGCCTTTGAGGCAGCCTGCCAGATTGCCACCGAGGCTGCTGCCGGTGGCATGACCCATTCACAGCTGTTCACCATTGCCTGCTACGTGGAGCTCCGGGGCTACATGCTCCACGCCTTCCAGCTGGTCTCATTGGCCATGAGCCATCTTCACCTGGCTCATAACCAGGATACCCACCCAGCCATCAGTGATGTGCTCTGGGTTTGTGCCCTCAGCCACTCTCTGGGCAAGAATGAGCTGGCAGTTCTCATCCCCCTGGTGGTGAAGAGTGCGCACATTGCCATGGTGCTTTCAGACATCCTGTGTGCGAGGCTGCACGGTGACTGCACCTGGCCTGGCCGGCACCCCGGGCCACCACAGCTCTGGAAAGCTCATCTCCACTGACAGAGCTCCATGGCACCAGTTGCTGATGCAATGCTTACATCAACACCACACACTACACCTAACACACATTAGCCATTGCCAGTGTGGACAGTTCATTGAGTTTCTAAGCAAGGCTCGGGAGACCCTCCTGCTGCCTTAGGATGGCTACCTGCAATTTGCCCTGTTCATCAACAACCACAAACGATCTACAAAGGCAAGAAAAAGCTGATGCTGCTGGTTCGAGAGCCCTTTGGCTGAGAAAGCAGATAGCTCACTGGCCCGGCAGCCTGGGTCCCCAGGTAGTATCAGGTCAGGCCAAAAACACTGAAACATTTGTCCACCCTGGGAGGATCTGAGCACCTGTGGCTGAGGCCAAAGGACCACAGGGCTAAGGATGGGGAGAGTCCAACTCCAGTCGATATGCATACCTTGGCAAGCTTCTCACTACAGCCCACTGTTTGTGGAGAAGCTGGGCCTTGCAGATCCACCAGAAACCCCCACGATATGCCACCTTCTGCCCCTACGTCCTGAGTGTCCTGGGCATTGGCCCTGTCTCCCTTGGCAAACACAGAACACTGTTCCATCTCAGAGATTGCTTCACCAGAGAAACAGATGCATTTATGGTACTGTAAGTACTATAGTATATGTGTTGCCAATTACTGTAAAGTCGTAAGTATTTATAATTTTGGTTCTGATTTGCTGGGCACTTGAGGTAGCTGTGGGTGGGAGGGTATGCTTATTGTCCGAGGAGACTCACAACCATTTCTCAGGTTTCCCTTGCAGAGTGTGTGCCGTTACCAGCGGGATAGTGGGTGTGCCAAGGAGAAAAATGGCCAGTTAGAAAAAAATCCCAAGACTAGTCTATGCAGAATCTCTCGCCTACAGACAGGGCATTAATAGCCCAGTGGTGGGTGAGCGGCAGAGGCCAGGACTGGACTCAGACTTTTGCCTCACAAAGCTGTGAGGACTCTGAAGGTCCTGCCCCTGCCTCACACAGCCTCGCCAGGAGTCTGCTGAGCACCTTTGAAACAAGAGCAGGGAAAAGATGAAGGTCTGGGAAGCCACTGAGCTCACAATATTCATCTACACTGGTCACCTTTGTGTTAGAGAGTGTGTGTATGTGCATGACTGAGTACATGTGTCTATGTGCATAGATATATCTGCGCGTGCCTGTCTGTATGTGCACATTATATGTTGATGTGTACGTATGTCAGTTCTATGGCTGTGTACCTGTGTGGATATGTGCACACTGGAATGTGGGTCTCTGTGTGAGGATGTAACATTTGCACACATGTGAGGGTGCATATCTATGTGTAAATGCTGTCATGTTTTGCATGTCTAGTGTGTGTGTATCTGGGCACACAGGAGTGCATGTGTAGAGATATGTGTCTGTGTGTATGCTTGCTCTCCATGCATCTGTGTTTTTATATGTGTAACTGAGCATATTTCTACATGTAGGGATGACTGCGTGTCCATCTTTGAGGATCTGCATGAATGTGTCCTTTTTGCGAGATTTCTCTTCCCATTCGTCTTAAATCTCTCTCACTAGTTAAATGTTTGTTCCCCATTTCTGTGCCTCCTCTATTCATTCCCTCTCACCAAACAAGCTTCTAAGCACCGGTCTCCCTCTGCCATCAGATTGGCTGCTTTCACTGCACATTTCCCTTCTCGCCCCGTACTTGCTTTCTTCCCCTGCCTTTCTACGTCAAGCTTCCTCTGCCTGCTTTTGTCACAGTCTCATTGCATGCTGACTTGGAGGCTAGGGCTGGTCTGCACTTAGCCTCTCCCTTCTTAATTTCTAGCCCTAATGAGCAGCCCTGTCTTAGCCCTGGCTGACCTCCACAGTGTATCATCATGTTCCTGCTACCTTCCTGACCCCTATGCTCAGCCTGGAATTGTTGTAGGAGATAGCAAGGGCATTCAGAAGAGTCAGTTGGTTACCAGTGCCTTTGTGTTTACTCTTTTACATGTTAGATCCTGAGGTGGGGGTGGGCTTTGATAAGGAAGAGGTGGTATAGCTAGAATGCGAACTAAGAACTTCTCCATCTGCTTTACTTTTTCTTTTGTTGACAAACTGTCACCTTTTCTACTCCAAACTGAGCAAGAAGTTGTATTTGCCGTATGTAGCTACTCAAGTCCTACTGCCCAGCCAAGGGTCCCTACAATGTCTCAGCCCAGTTGGTTGGTTAAAAAGAGAGAGAGAGAGAGAGGGAGGTCACTCTCATTTTTGTATCGCAATTGTCCTTCTTTTTAGCAAGTGTGTGAACTCACAGTGCTTTCTATGAATAAACCATGGATCACATGAAAGAGCATTTTTCTTAAAGAAAACAAAAATTGTCTAAATTTTTGTTTAGACAATTCTGTTTAGACAATCCCCAGAGGGGACCAGCAAATACTTAATAGAAGATTATAGATTTCCTGTGAGTGCATATGGCTCGGGGTGACCTGATTCTATAAAGCAAATGTTATTGTCCTCCTCAAATTCATGCATTGGATTCTATGTGATGGTATTTGGGGGTGGGGCCTTGGAAGGTGATTCAGTTCATGAAGGCAGGGACCTCATGAATGGAATTGGTGTCCCTATCAAAGGGACTGCAGAGAGCTCCCTCACCCCTTCTGTCATGTAAAGACACAGTAAAAAGATGGCTGTCTATGAACCAGGAAGCCAGCCCTCTGCAGACACGGAATCTGCTGACCATTTGACCTTGGATTTTACCATCTCCAGAACTGTGAGAAATCAATTTTCTATGCTACACCTAGTCTATGGCATTCTGTTTTGACACCCAGATTAGCTAAAGTACCAGCATGTCAATTTGCACACATAATTCTTGGAAACTCTGATGCCAAATCCTTGATGGCAAAAGGTGATTGATCTGCCGGAGACATGAGCCTACATCATCCCTCTTTCCACAATAAACCAGAGAGTCAAAACAGGCAAGAGTGGGTCAAGGTCTTCTAAAAGCCATACCTGAAAAGTTTCCAATAACAGATGACTCGATGGTAATTCAGCCACACAAACAACCACAACAAAAGACACAACTATCCGAGATTTTCAGGATAGCCTCAAAAACACCATCTAACATTAGGGAGTTCAAAAAGGTGAGAAGTTTCAGAAATCAAACTTTATTTATATTTCATTTCATAAACTTGTAATTCTAACACTATTAATAAATGCTAGGGCAGGTGGTGGCATGGAGAGCCTGGAGCACAACAGCTGTCTTTAAAAGCTTTCCTTGCTGTACCCTTTGGAGCCACCTCCTGGTCCCCTCAACCCCTGCCCACCTGTTAAGAGCCCGTTCGGGGCAGCACATTAGGGGGCAAACAGCCTGGATGCCCAGTTGCAGACACACATCCATGCCTGGAGGAGAAGATTGCGTCTGAGAGCAGGAGGAGCTGCTGGAACTCTTCTTCCCAGCCTTGTTTTAATGCTCTTGAGCACCACCTGCACAGAGATATACCCCACCAGCATTAGCACAATAAACAGGCCCTGCAGCAGCAGGGCTGTGGTTCTAGTGAATGAGAGAAGCCTCTCTCCAGCGAGGTACAGGAGTCCAGTCTGAATGCCCTGGTCTCCGCCTCCATGTTTGCCACCATGCCCAGGACTAGGGGCAGCATGGGATCTGCTGGCTGGGGCTGTGCTTGTCACCCCCTCCCTCCCACTTCTCTCTCCAGCCACGTTTTCAGCTCCAGCATTAAGGCCAGTGGCTACAGTAGGTGCCATGATTTCAGGCAGCTCCTGGCTGGGCTGGTCCTTGGCTGGAGCTCCCTCCACCTCCAGCGCTCTCTCTGGAGGGGGCTCTTCCCATGCTGGCTTTGGCTCGACAGCCGGTGCCGCAAGTGCTGCTATGTCTGCGTATGGACCAGGAGCTGAAAAAGGAGAAAGGGTCACCAGCATCAGTCACTTTCCACTGGAATTTCCAAACACAGAGACAACCTCACTGAATTCAAAGGAATTCCACCCCAAAAGCACTGCCCCCGCAAAGTCTTCCAGGCTGCAGCCACCTCACCATGTGTCTGTGCCTCCATGGGCTCCCGAATCTCCTCCTGGACAAGGACAATGTACAGAGGCAGCCCCGATGGGATCTATGGTGTGGCCTGGCCAGCTAGGGCCTGCCCCGGGCTGTCCTGTGGTACCTGGGTGCGCCTTCTTACAAAGGGCCACAGGCGTCTGGGGTGAGGGATGAGCCTTCTTCGGCATTGTCGGAAAAGGCTCTCACTCCCTCCATTCCTGAAGCAGCAACCTCTCGAAGTGGGGAAGCAACACGAGAACATCTTGCTCTCTTGAGCGTCTCCCACAAAGTGAGCTGGTTACAGCGCTGACTCTAGGATATGGGTGCCTGGTTACCAGAGTTCTAAGTTCTGTTCGTGTGTGTCATCATCGAGGAAGTGAGGTCGCTTCTTTACGGTTCTGTCCCCTAGGCCCCTTCCTTCCATAAGACCTACTCAGGACTCCACTGGGCTGCTGACTACTCACCCTCCCCTCAGGTCATCTCCTGACCCGTACACAGTTATGTCCACCCAGGGTCTGCTTGGACACCTGTGCCTGATGTTCACCAGGGGCCAGATGTCGTCCTCAGGCCTGATGTCCACCTAGGGCCTGATGACTGCCTTGGCCTATGTCCCTCTGGGGGCCTTGTGTTCACCTGGGGACTGTATCCAGCTGGGGCCTGATGGCCTACTGGGTCTTGTTGTTCACCTAAGGCCTTGTGTCCACCTGGGGACTGGTGATCACCTGGGGCCTGGGTGTCCACCTGAGGCCAGAGGTGCACCTAAGGCCTGAGTTTTCACCTGGGCCTGATGATCACCTGGGGACTGGGTGTGTGCCTTGGGTCTTTTCCCTTTTCCTGAACAGGGCTTGCAGTTTCCAAACCAGACACAATCTCCCAGTTGGAGAAAGAAAAAGGATCCTAGATGATAGTGAGACAAATTTCAGGAAACTCCATCCAAATAAGTAAATGAGAATGAGGACAGGATTCATTGTAAGTAACATTCTCAGGTGGTGTTCCAAAGTTATCTTTTGCCTGGGTACAGTGGCTCACACCTGTAATCCCAGCTCTTTGGGAGCCCAAGGTGGGAGGATCACTAGAGGCTAACAGTTTGAGACCAGCTTGGGCAATGGAGTGAGACCCCCATTCTGAAAAAAAAAATTAAAAAATTTAACAGGCATGGTGGCATGTGCCTGCAGTCCCAGCTACTCAAGAGGCTGAGGTGGGAGGATCGCTTGAACTCAGGAGTTGAAGGCTGCAGTGGGTGAGGATCACAACACTGAATTCCAGCTGAGGTGACAGAATGAGACCCTGTCTCTCTAAAAAACAAGCAAGCAAACAAACCAAAAACCACAGACAAACCAGACCCCTCTTAGCAGAATACTTCCATGAGGTAATAAAAGGTATGTACCAAATGCCTACAACAAACATATGTCATGATGAAATGTTAAATGCTTCCCATGGAATTAGGTTCAGGACAAGGTTCCATCCACCATCGCATTTGAATTCCACATTGCACAGTGTAAACGGGCCTGCCCAAGGTCATAACATTGCACACTGGGTAAGTCAAGAGAACCCAGTACAGCACTTTAGATCCTTCATTATAGTTTTGTTCTAAAACTGCTCCTGTTATCTTTTGGACATGAGTCTCTTAAGTATTATCATTTGAATTCACGTATACTAGTTCATTTTCACACTGCTCTAAAGAATACCTGAGACTGGGTGATATATAAGCAAAAGAGGTTTAATTGGCTCACAGTTCTGCATGGCTACGAAGGCCTCAGGAAACTTACAATCATGATGGAAGGCAAAGGGGAAGCAGGCAATTTCTTCACAAGGCAGCAGGAGAGAGGGGAGAGCAGGGGAAACTGCCACTTATGAATCCATCAGACCTCATGAAAACTCACTTACTATCATGAGAAGAGCATGAGGCAAACCACCCCCATGATCCAATCACCTCCCACCAGGTCCCTCCCTTGACACATGGGGATTAAAATTCAAGATGAGATTTGGTTGGGGACACAGAGCCAAACCATATCATTCTGACACTGGTCCCTCCCAAATCTCATGCCCTTTTCACATTTCAAAACCAATTATGTCTTCCCAACAGTCCCCCAAAGTCTTAACTCATTCCAGCATTAACCCAAAAGTCCAAGTTCAAAGTCTCATCTGAGACAAGGCAAGTCCCTTCCACTTACGAGCCTGTAAAATCAAAAGCAAGTTAGTGACTTCCAAGATGCAATGCGGGTACAGGCATTGGGTAAATGTTCCCATTCCAAACGGGAGAAATTGGCCAAAACAAAGGGGCCAATGGGCCTCATGCAAGTCCAGAATCTGGTAGGGGAGTCATTAAATCTTAAAGCTCCAACATTATCTCCTTTGACTCCATATCTCACATCCAGGGCATTCTGATGTGTGCTCCCAAGGCCTTGGGCAGCTCTGTCCCTGCGGCACTGCTGGCATAGCCCCTTTGGCTGTTTTTACAGGCTGGCACTGAGTGACTGCAGCTTTTCCAGGCACATGGTACAGCTGTTGATGGATCTACCATTCAGGAGTCTGGAGGATGGTGGCCCTCTTCTCACAGCTCTGCTAGGCAGTGCCCCAGCGGAGACCCTGTATGGGGGCTCCAACCCCACATTTCACTTCTACCCTGCTCTAGCAGAGGTTCTCCATGAGGACTCTGTCCCTGTGGCAGACCCAAAATTATATATATCATTATAGTTGATATTCTGAGGTAGAGATAAAAGAAGCTATCAGTTTGATTAGGAGGTTTGGGTTTTGCATTTTCTATGGTAATGTAAAAAGGCAGGAGGGTTAGTATGTTACAAGTTCACTGCAATTACAAATCAGTTTCTGTGCATATAAGAAAGCACAAAATCACAGACCTAAGGTCTTGATAGATATGAAAGCAACCCTATGTGATATCATGCCCACATCTTTACCTCAAACTCTCACCTAAAATTACTAGTGAGGACTTTTTTGTCCTGCTGTTAGTATTTGATAATTCTAGCTAGCATGCAATAAGATATTGATATATGAATAGTAACTTGATTTTATAATATTAATAACAGCTTAATTTTAAACATTTATGTTGTGCCTTGTACTCTATGGAAAATGTACACTTTCCTTTTTTCTCTAAATTAGGTTTAATTTATTTCAGAAGTTTCTAGATTTTATTGTCTCTATTTAGCCAAAGCCACAAGAAAAGTCAAATTCATATCTTTAAATGCTTTCATTATCAATCAAGAAAGAAGAAAGTGAAACGAACAAACAATTTTACTCAAGAAACTAGTGAGAAATCAAAGAAATGTCCAAGAAGTAGGAGACAAGAATTAATCAAAACAGATTAACAGTGGAATAAATAAATGAATCCAACTGGTTCTTTGTAATGGAATGTAGAAAGACATACTCTATTCTTCTGGATAGGAAGATGAAATATCATAATCATATCAATGCAAGTTTTATGCATGCTCAAACATGTATAAACTAAGAAAAAATCTGAAAGGACAGACAGCAAAATGTTTGCAGTTTTTTTCCTCCAAGTGGTAAGATTAAAGGTAATACTTTTCTTTTTTATACTTTTCTGTATTTTCTAAATCTTCTGTAATGAACATGTAATTTTATGATGAGGAAAAAATAAGACATTTTTAAGATGCAAAATTACTTCTCGTTAATACATATAATGCAAATGCCAATCAAAATAATTAATAAATGAATATAATAAATATATAAATATAATAAAAGAGAGAGATGAGTGACTAGGGAAGAACTTCAAAAAGGGCCACATGGGAGATTAAACATAATGCAAAAGAGTAATGAGGAATCTAGGCCGGGCGCAGTGGCTCACGCCTGTAATCCCAGCACTTTGGGAGGAGGGGCATGGTGGCGGGTGCCTGTAGTCCCAGCTACTCAGGAGGCTGAGGCAGGAGAATGGCGTGAACCTGGGAGGCGGAGCTTGCAGTGGGCTGAGATGGTGCCACTGCACTCCAGCCTGGGTGACAGAGCGAGACTCCGTCTCAAAAAAAAAAAAAAAAAAAGTGTAATGAGGAATCTTAAAGCAAAAAAAGAGAAAATAATCTTATTCTTATTCTACAAGATATTAAAACCTAATGCAAAGCCTGGCTAGTAACTTCTATTAAAATTACTTTTATACTTTCAATAAAATACCTGCAAATTTAGAACACAGACAAAAATAGAAACTCCTCACATGACCCACCACGAAGCCCATCAGATGGCAGAATGCAGAATCAGGTTGCAATGGACTGATCTTAAAACAGATGAAGCAGTGGAGAAAATCTTCCTGGAGCTGATGGTATAATTTGCTTCTTGAAACAATGACAGTCCATGAAATAAGGTGGGGAAGATGTTTTGAACCTCTCTCAGCAGCAGATCCCTAAATCACAGACCCAGAACTTGGAGGAAACAGGAAACAGGAGGCCATCTCTGCACCTCTCCAGCACTGCTCTGGTTGGTGGGCAGAATATCATACAATCATCACGATTCTTATATCAAAAACCAAATTCTAGACTGATTAAATAATTATTTTTTTAAATGAGAAAAGTTATCGTTTATTTGATCTTGGGCTAGGGAAGATATTTCCAAGCAAAAAGGGTAAAAAGAAGGAAAAAGAAATGATTAACAGATTGGAAGGCAATAACAATATAATATCAAGTGCTGGCAAGAGCTCAGAGAAGTGTGTGTTCTCATGACTGCTGGAACAAATTGGTATAATATTTCTGAAGGGCAATCTGGCTGAATATGTTAGAAGTCTTTAAAATATTTATACTCTGACTCAGTAATTCAACATCTAGAAATTTTTCCTAAGTAAGTAATAAGAAAGAGTTGAAAAAAGTATTTGAATATTGAAAGACTGGAAAGAACATAAAGGTTCAATAATACATATATGTTCAACAACAGGGGACTAGTAAATATGAATTATTTATATGATAAAATACTATCTAACCTTAAAATAATGTTTTAAATAATATTTAATGATGAGAATATGCTGAGAAAAGTTTAATCATTTTAAAAAAGTTACATGCAAAATTAAAGTTAATAACATGTACAAGATTATTCTAATTTTTTTTTTTTTTGAGATGCAGTCTCACTGTTGTCACCTGGGCTGGAGTGCAATGGAGTGATCTCGGCTCACTGCAGCCTCCACCTCCCAGGTTCCAGCAATTCTCCTGCCTCAGTCTCCTGAGCAGCTGAGATTGTAGGCACCCGCCACCATGCCCGGCTAATTTTTGCATTTTTAGTAGACACGGGGTTTCACCATGTTGGTCAGGCTGGTCTCGAATGCTGGCCTTGCTGGGGTGCCGTGGAGTGGGGCCCCGCCCTGGTGAGTTGTTCACTGGGACCACCTTTCTGGAATGCTGGAAGGCGGCGTGGCAGGACCCACCGAATGCCTTCAAAAGCCAGTGGTCCATGCCTCTGTCTCCTTCGTTAGACTCTTCCAGAAGAGACTGGTCAGAGGTGCAGCACAGATGAACCTACAAAGCTGTTCATCAAAGCATCACTTACAATGGTGAAAAGGCAGAAGAATCACTGAATTCCACCAAGGTGGAGCAGCCGAGGAAATCGTGGGTAGAACACTAGGGAGTCACAAGAAACAACATATTTGAGGGGACATTTATAGCAGAGGAAAATGCTCATGATCTAATGCTACACAAAAAGGGCAGGATACAAAATAAGGTGTATTTGAAGAAAGAGGGTGGCATGGTTGTCCATCCACTGCTTTCAGGGACTGGACTAAGTGACCTGGATCAGAGGGAGGGCAAGAGATCTGCTTCCTGCCTGAGCCCTGTGAACAGCTGAAATCACTCGTGTGTCTGCAGGAATCATTCTTATATTTGCTATTCTGAGGTAACGTCAAACCTACACAAAATTTGCAAGAAGAAAAAACACCCTGCCACATACTCTTACCTACATTCACCCATTGTTAACATTTTGTCACATTAATTTTCTCTCTCATTTTTTTTTTTACACGGAGTCTCACTCTGTCGCCCAGGCTGGAGTGCAGCGGCGCGATCTCAGCTCACTGCAACTTCTATCTCCTGGATGCAAATGATTCTCCTGCCTCAGCCTCCCAGGTAACTGGGACTGCAGGTGTGGACCACCATGCTTGGCTTATTTACTTGTATTTTTAGTAGAGACAGGGTCTCACTGTGTTGGCCAGGTTGGTCTCAAACTCCTGATCTCAAATGATCTGCCCGCCTCAGCCTCCCAAAGTGCTGGGAATACAGGTGTGAGCCACCATGCCCAGCCTGTTTTTCACATTTCTATTTGATGCTCCAGAATTCAGGAGCTCTAAGAGGAGGCTGCCTGGGCGACCTGCCTGTGGTAAGAGTGGACAGGCTGCCTCCCGGCTGCTCCGAGGATGGCCCTGGGTCTGAGGGAGGGCATTGCACTCTGGCGTGTTTGGGACTGGCCTTTGGAGATGTAAACATGGAGCCTCCCTCAGGAACCCAGGGCAGGCGCCCCTGGGAAGAGGAATGGCTCCTTCTTTCCTCCCTCAGTCCCTTTTTCTGAATGCCTATGTCACTTCTGGGCACACAGGGGCTGAGCTTGCAGGGAGCCACTCTCCAGGTGAGGCTAAGGTTTGGGGGCTCTCTGTGTGCCCCATCTGCTCCAGCACTCTCTCCTCAGATGGGCCTCCTCTGTTCTCTGCTTTGCGCTCCCTGCAAGGAGTCCAATCCTCGAAGGTGGGAGAGTCCAGAGAAGAAAAGAGCCAAATGGAGGAAGAGGACCCTGGGAACCCTTGGGTGCAGCAGAGCTTGGGAGGTGACGCGTCTGGCCCAGCTCTGCTCCTCTCTGCCAGTTCCCGAAGCCAGAAGTAGGCAGCTCCCTTATGCTGTCTCTTCAGAGGAAGTGTTGAGTCCAACAGGATGGGGTTCAAATACCAGCCTCACCACTGATTCTGGACAAGTTTATTCTCCTTTCTTAGCCTCCGTTTCCTCATCTGGAAAGTGGGGCTGTCTGAGAACTAAACCTGAGAAGGCACAGGAAGGGATTCCCGTGGCTTCTGCAAAGAGCTCCATGAACACTCGCTCTCCTTCATCCGAGCAGCAATCCTCGCTGGGCCTCAGGTGCAGGGGGTAGCGGGGAACAAAACACCATCCTTGTGCTTTTACAGCTTACAATCCAGTGATTCTCATCATCAGTACATGTGGCCAAAGGCCCCTGGCTGACTTGTAGGCTGTGGGGTTGAATATGAGCCTCTGGGTGGTGTGGAAAATCCGGGAAACAGGTGGAAAGGGCAGCTATTCAAACCCTGCGAGGGTGCCAGGGCCATCAGGTTACACGTGGCAGCGCAGGTGAACTCAGGTCTTCTCACCTGGGGCTTGTCAGGTACTAGGGACAGAAGGCACCCAGATTCCTCTAAGGAGCCACAGGGCTGGCCAGGCCTTGAGAAGAACAGAGTGTCAAAGTTCAGGGGACTCTTTCTCTCATCCCTTCAGGAGCCGATGTCCCTGCAGGGCCCCCACAAAGCACAGCCGAGTTTCTCCCACTTTCTCTGCATCTCTTTCTGCCTTCAGCTTCCTTTGTGGTGGCCTTTGTTTTTCCTGCCCATCTTTGGTGGCTCTCAAATGTCATCCCTGCTCCACAGAGAAAAGGGTGCCGAGTGGCCAACCATCCAGCATGAGGGTCCCCTGCAGCAGCTCGCTCAGGCCAGGGTCCTCCCAGGATGCTGGTCCTGTGAACGGATGGAGGCTTCTGCCTCCTGGTCACCGTGGCCCCGGTGGGGAGGGGCGGTCAAGGAGCACAGGTGGGATTTGTGCAAAAGATCTGGCCCGTGGCTCCTTTCTCAGTAGGGGCTGTGGGCTTCCAACCTTCCCAAGATTCCCCATGCAGAGCCAGGGCCTAAGTCTCAGACCCCTTGGTCATCCAGGCCCCTCCAAGGCCCTGGGCCCGCCAAGACCTCTAGCCTTGAAGCACATGGTCCCCAGCTTATGTAAAACTTGGCATGAGTGAGAAACTCAACCACAGCAGGTGAAGACTGCCGCCTCTTTCCGGCCTGTCTTTCCTTCACCACACTTCGGGGAGGTGAGGGGGCTCCGGCTTGATCATCAGCGGGTGCTCAGGAACCTCCTTGCATAGGAAAGTTGTTTCTCACCATCCCAGCATGGGCTTGGCTTCCGGGAGCCCTGCCTCCTCCTAGGCTGACTCGCCTGCTTGGCGCCAGGACATGGGAGATTCAGGGCCAGGGGTGGGGTCCTGCGGTTGTGGGCTGCACGTAGATGGTGAAGGAGAATCAGAGTTGAAATGCATAGAGGCTCTCTAGGACACAGTGCAAACGTACTGGCAATCCACCCACCGATTCCAACACCTGACCAAGATCCCTGGATGCAGAGCAGGCAGGCTTTGCCCGTGGCCATGGAGAAACCAAAATCAGTGGGAGGGTCACTTCCCATCTCTGCAAACGTGCTGTTCCCAGGAGCTCTGTCTACCTTGAATGCCCCATTTCTAGCTCTAGGATTTGCATCTGACAGTGGGATGTGTGTCTATGAAGGGAAGACCACAGAATAGAATCTTTTGGGAAAATAAATGGTCTTCCCTGCTTAGCCTGCTTTGATAATGCAGATTTTCCTTGCACTTGGAGCTTTCCTTCTCTAGGCTATTTTCTATATAACAGTGGATGAGTTTGGCCACAACATAATGAAACACTGTCTCTACTAAAAATACAAAATTAGCCGGGCGTGGTGGCGGGCACCTGTATTCCCAGCTACTTGGGAGGCTGAGGCAGGAGAGTTGCTTGAACCCAGGAGGCGGAGGTTGTGGTGAGCCGATATCGCGCCATTGCACTCTAGGCAGGGCAAAAAGAGCGAAACTCCGTCTCAAAAAAAAAAAAATGACTTTTTGATACATGTATTAAATGTAAGCGAATAACAAACAGCATGAAAAATGAACTTTTGGGGGGATATTATGGGATGCAAACAAGTACTGAGAGCAGTATGAGGAATAAAACTCTCATCATGGCTTGGTGTGGGCAGAATCTCACAGTCTGAGAACAGCCCCAGTAAGCGGCAGTGGTAGGGCCCCTCCGTACAAAAACTGTTCTCAAATTGAAGTCTCAGTAAAAAAAAAATATATAAATAAATAAAAAATAAATAAATACTACCAAACCTCAACACAAAATGATTGGTTCATCATTTGATGATATACCCTGTGACCTTATAACATGTACAATTGTGTTATCATTCTATAAGGTTTATCATTTGTTAATTTTAAAACCAGAATAATTTCAAACTTGAAATAAGTCCCTTGAAGAAATAAATTTCAAAATGCAACCCCCTATCTATCTATATCTTTATCATCTATATCTGTGTTAGGCCATTTTTTGTATTGCAAAAGCAAAGGCATCCTTCTAGACATTCTAAATTTTATAGAATCACACAAATATTGACTCAATGGTGATAGGCGAAGGTAGACATTAATATTATTTGGAAAACAGTTTCATTTATACTATTATGAGCAAATTATTAGAATTGGGCTAGAGAAATATGAAGTCATCTAGGGAATGATTGTATACACAGTGCTTTTCACTGACGAAACCATCTCATAATTTCTGTTGTATATTTTTACTACAATGATAAATTATTGGTTTGAGTTTTGATGTGTTCATTAAATATAGGTTAATGTTACTGTCTTTTGCCAGGTTATACAAATTGTTTCCATTTTGCGTTTGTTTTGTTTCTCACTTTTATTGTTCTAATAGGAATTTATTTTAGGTAAACACAAGTATTTCATTAGAGAAATTTTGACATGTCCCAGGTTTGTTTTTTTTGAGACGGAGTTTTGCTCTTCTCCCCCAGGCTAGAGTGCAATGGCGCAATCTTGGCTCACTGCAACCTCCACCTCTCAGGTTCAAGCCATTCTCCTGCCTCAGCCTCCCGAATAGCTGGGATTACAGGCATGAGCCACCGTGCCTGGACAACATGTCCCAGGTTTATCTGATCTACAAAACATACACATAAAATCAGAGGAAAGAAAATGTGCAATTGATGTCACACATCAGGGATACCAATAAGGGTCACAGTGACATATTTTACCTCCAATTTGTGGGCAAAGGTGCCAGTAAATTCTGATAAGAGGCAGCAATACTTTGTCTACATTCCTATTAAAAATCATTAAGTTCTTTTAAAAGCTGGGAAGTGGCATGGTGGGGGGATGTGTAATACAAAACTGTAACTCATGAAAATTAGCTATAAATCTAGGCTGTGACAGGAGCAGCAAGAGTAGATGTAGCTTTTTTAAAAACTGTACTTGAAAATTATTTCATCATCATCTATAGCTCCTTTAAAATAATATTTAGTTGGCATATGTCTTAATAAAGGGCAGAAGTACAGTCAAAATAATTTTTATATAAGGTAATATATGTTAATACATATGGTTTATTCTTGTTCATTTTGCTTCAGGCTGTCTCAGAATTGTGAAATAGGTAAGTGAATGATAGAAATATTCTCATAGTTAAAACTTAGAATGATTATCCCTTCAAAAGTTAGAATATTACCTTACTTTCAGTTTCAAAGGTAAAGATAATACACTTGAATTTTACTTTGAAGAGTAGGGACCAATATGTCTCCACACATATTTTATTAATCATGGGCGTTTTGCCAGACTGATGGGATGCATCTGGTAAATTCACTCTGTGTGTGTAAGTGTGTGTGTGTGTGTGTGTGTGTGTGTGTGTCACTGACTTACCACATGTAATGATTAAATGATACATGTAATTACATTATTTATTTATGGTAATTGAAAAGAAAGTACTACTAAGGTAATTATTGACTTTCCTAATATCAGACCACTTATGCTCAGAGCAGGACACAGAACTTACGAATAATGCCTATTTTGTAACCCAGTATTTTCTTCTCAAATTTTGAATAACAATTTGAATAATTTAAATGATATCTTAAATCCTCATTTTAATGTAACCCTTTAATAAACAAAGAGGTAATGATAGGCCGGGCATGGTTGCTCACACCTGTAAACCCAGCACATTGGGAGGCCAAGGTGGCAGATCACCTGAGGTCACGAGTTTGAGACTAGCCTGGCCAACATGGCAAAACCCCATCTCTACTAAAAATACAAAAATTAGGTAGGCGTGGTGGTGGGCGCCTGTAATCCCAGCTACTCGGGAGGCTGAGGCAGGAGAATCGCTTGAACCCAGGAGGTGGAGGTTGTAGTGAGTTGAGATCGTGCCACTGCACTCCAACCGGGTGACAGAGCGAGACTGTGTCTCAAAAAAAAAAAAAAAAGTGATGATATAAATATTTTGTATTATTTAAAATAGTTCTTTTAAAATTTCCCCTTCACATTAAATGCAAACATAAACATTTTTGTAAAAATGAAAACATTGCAAATAATTCAAGGATCATTTTATCTTCTGTTCCAAGTGTTGCTCTTCTTACCAAAAGTAACTGTTTCCAGCATGATTTCACCTCTGAGCTCATGCTCTTAACCACCTTATTATCCTGACTTTATGCTTTATAAAACATGATATGGTATGCTGTATGCATTACTTCAGTTGCCTAATTTAAAATTATAGAGGGCGGGGGACGATGGCTCACATTTGTAATCCCGGCACTTTTGGAGGCCAAGGTGGGCAGATCTCTTGAGCTCAGGAATTGGAGATCAGCCTGGACACCATGGCGAAACCCTGTCTCTATAAAACAATCTAAAAATTAGCCGGGCTTGGTGGCACCCAGCCGTAGTCCCAACTCCTTGGGAGGCTGAGATGGGAGTATCACTGCAACCTGAAAGGTTGAGGCTGCAGTGAGCCCTGTTAGGACCAATGCACTCCAGCCTGGGTGCCAGAGTGGGACCATGTCTTAAAAAAAAAAAATAATATGAAGTAGGTCTTCCTAGCGTTATCATTTTAAAGATAATAAAATCAACATATAGAGATCATAGTAAAAACACAAGATTATGTAATCCCAGCTACTCGGGAGGCTGAGGCAGGAGAATCATCTGAACCCAGGAGGCAGAGGTTGCAGTGAACCAAGATCACGCCATTGCACTCCAGCCTGGGTGACAGAGCCAGACTCTGTCCAAAAAAAAAAAAAAAAAAAAAGCAAAAAACAAACAAAAAACCCCACAAGATTATTTACTGGACCACATCGAAGAGTTCAAGGAAAACTGCTAAGTTACTGATTTTGTCACTAGTTTTCTTTTTTCTTTACTTTTTTATTTTTGAGACAGCATCTCACTCTGTCATCCAGGCTGGAGTGCAGTGGCGTGATCTCAGCTCACTGCAACCTCTGCCTCCCAGGTTCAAGGGATTCTCCTGCCTCAGCCTCCAGAGTAGCTGGGATTACAGGTGGACACCATCACGCCCGGCTAATTTTTGTATTTTTAGTAGAAACGGAGTTTCACCATGTTGGTCAGGTGGGTCTCGAACTCCTGACCTCGTGATCCACCCACCTCAGCCTCCCAAAGTGCTGGGATTACAGCCACCAGGCCTGGCCTGTCACTACTTTTCTGTAATTTTTGGCATAATATCTACCTTGACTTATGTTAGGGTAAAAAATGAGTGATAATTCAAAAGTGTAGAGAGATGAAGTAGCAGGCCCCATGCTTTGACATTAAGAAGAATGGGGTTAAGTGTGAGGCTTCTGTGAATTGTCTCATCTATCTAGATACCAGTGATAATGACCTAGAGGCACGTTGTCCAATAGCCACACATGGCTACTACATTTAAATTTAAATTAATTACAATAATATAAAAATTTGGTTAGTCACACTAGCTACCTTTCAACTTCTCAAAAGCCACATGTGGGTAGTGGTTAACACATTTCGTAGCAGAGAGAACATTTCCAACATCAGAAAAAGCATTGGTGAATGCTTGTCTGGACACTTAAGCACACACAGAAATGTCAAATTGGGTTAAGATGCTATCAAAAGCTAATGCTTGGACTTGCCATTAGACAAATACACGTTATCAATGCCCTGCTGATATGAGAACTGAGAATAAAATGTGTGTTCCGGGTGGACTGTAATTAAACAGTTGAATGCCTGACTACAAACATTTAAATCTAAGTTCATGTATTTGGTGATTTGGACCTGGAATGTATCCTTAGTTTGGTTGAAGATGGAAAACATTCTTCTCTTTCTGACCAACTTATTAAAGATGTTTGAATGATAGCATTACATATATTATGCAAAATCTTTCTGAAATATCGCAAGATATATATAGTATAGGAAGCAACTACTATATGACTTTATTAGCATTTTCACTGCTTAATAAATGCATTTTGTATTACAAAATTAATAAGTACCCATATTATAATTAGGGTATTCCTCCAAAATATTATAAATAATAACACTAAACAACTACGGAAATGGAAACAAAGGGTCAGCAGTGTGTGTTATGGCATGAACATTTGTTTCCCCCAGAATTTATGTGCTGAAGATCTAACTCTCAGTGTGATGGGATTTGGAAATAGGGCCTTTGAAGGTAATTAGGTTTACATGAGGTCATGAGAGTGGGGTCCTTATGATGGAATTAATGCCCTTATAAGAAGAGGACAGAAAGCCTGTTCAAGAACCAAATCAGCCATTGTCTTGGTCACAGACTTCCCAGCCTCCAGGGCTGTGAAAAATAAATGTCTGTTGTTGAAAGCACTGTTTATAGTATTTTGTTATAACAGCCTGAGCAGACTAATACAGCGTGTAAATATTATATAATGACAACAGAATAAACAATGTGGCTAAAAAACAGATAACAAAAGAATCTGGGACCATTACATCCTAAAGTCTGTTACAACTAAATTAAAAAATTAAAAAATTTAAAATGCACTTTCATTATGTCAAAAGCAGGTAGAAAAAATAAACAATTATTTAAGAGTGTTTGTGTCCAAGCACATAGTATAAAATCTCTACACGATATATCATTAAATCTTTGTAATAAAGTAGTTTTATGCCCATCTGTCATAAATAAATGAATAAATCATAAACAATTGAAGCTTAGGGAAAATTATCAGCATTCCAGTTTATAATTAGTAGGTCTAGAATTAGGAAAATAATCCTAAATATGGTATAAGTGACTGAAGTATATTTAATAGAAAAATACATTAAAATACTGAAGACAAAGAATGTTGCTCCGTAAGCTCGTAACACAGCAATAATCAATTTACATAAATTATTCCAAATATTAATGAACGTGGAGAAATCAGTGAATAACACACTGAAAAATGAATGCCTAGGAGATGAAGTAAAACTTCGGTCTTTTTGGAATATTTAATAAATTCCTGCTTTAAACTAATGATTAAAAAAAAAAAGACAATTCCAAATATGACAAACGAAAAGAGACATACAAAGAGATATACGAGACATTTTTTTATGTCGCAAAATGGTGCATGTTAACTCTAAGTTGGAAAACACGGATCACTAAGTGATTTTGCGAAACAAACAACAAAATCATTAACACAGAAGTGATACCAAAAATGCAAAGGAGTCTTCCCACCTCTGCACAAAACAACAAAAGCACAAAAGTTGTTAGGCTGAGACATTTCAAAGTAAATTATTTTATTACCTCAAGAAAAAGATCATATAAAAGCTATTTATCAGTTCCAGGAAAGTTTCCAAAATGTTTAATCAAGTCAGCGTAAAAATGATACCAAAATCTAGGAGAAAACGCGTAATAAAACAAAATGCTGCAAAACACAGTTCATCCTCAGTTATATCAGTAAAATATCCTAAATAACATTCTTGCCAATAGAATGCAAAAACAGAGACAGAGTAAGAAAGGACACCGAGCAGGAGCCCACGAGGTTCACAGTGAGAAAACAGCCCAGACAGAAAGCAGCCCGGGGCATTCGGCCACGTGACGTGCGGTGGACCCTGCGGCAGGGACCGGTGGACCCTGCGGCAGGGACCGGCCAGGCTGCCCGCCCCTCAGCCCCTCAGCCCCTCAGCCGCCTCAGCCCCTCAGCCCCTCAGCCGCCTCAGCCCCTCAGCCCCTCAGCCCCTCAGCCGCCTCAGCCCCTCAGCCCCTCAGCCGCCTCAGCCCCTCAGCCCCTCAGCCGCCTCAGGCCCTCAGCCCCTCAGCCTCCTCAGCCTCCTCAGCCCCTCAGCCCCTCAGCCTCCTCAGCCCCTCAGCCCCTCAGCCTCCTCAGCCCCTCAGCCGCCTCAGGCCCTCAGCCTTTCAGCCCCTCAGCCGCCCACGCCTCTGCTCGCTCACCCGCCCGGCTGCCTTAGGGGTCGGCGCTGCCCAGCGGGCTCCAGGGCAGCCTCCTACCCGGCATCCCACCGGCCGCGCCTGCCACTGACTCCTGGCCGCCCGCTACTAGTCGCGCGCGGTGGGCAGGGCCAGTCCGGGGGAGCGGACCCCGAGAGGCGCCGCGGGATGGCAGGCGGTGTCTTCCAAACCCAAGCCTCCGAAAGCCGCAGCCGGGCTCGGGCCGCTGACCGACCCGGAGGCCCCGCTCTGTCCCAGCCAAGGCCTCCCGGAGCCATCACCCACCAGGAGTCCTGGGCAGGGGCACCACCTGCTCCACGCTGTCGCGGGCTTCTGCGAGGCCATGATCCGTGCCCAACGCCAGCAAAGGGCAGCTTGTGCCCAAGAGTGGGGGAAATGCATCCTTCCCGGGAATCTGAAAGCTCCAGGTTCTCCTGCCAGGAGCCCACGGCCTCAGATGGCGCCCAGGACGCGCCCGCGCTGGGGAAGCGCCCCCTGCACCTGAGCCCGAAATTGTCCCCAACAAACCCAACACCCGCAGGGCTGACGTTTGGACTCCGGGGTGCGGTGTCGATGAAATGGGCACCGCGTGCTTTCCATGCAAAAGACACGAAGTCTGGAGTTTATGGAATTATTGAAGGAAAGCCGCGCCAGTGCCAAGAGATCATGGCCCAGAGCTGGCAGAACTGATCAGACCAATGCTGAGCAAAAGGCCTGAAGAAGACCATCTGGAGGAGCATCCCGAGGGCCTTCCCCAAAGCACCAGATCGCCTTCCTTTCCGAGGCCACAAAGGCGAGAACTTCCAGAAATAGCATGAAACACGGTGGCTTGGTGACATCCAAGCCTGCTGCCACCGTGGTTTCCGGGAAGGCAGAATCAAGGCATGAAGTAATCCACGCCAACCACGCTCCTCTGAGGGCTGAGCAAGACATCGATAGTGGGTGAAGGCAAGTGTTTGTCCCAGGAGAGGCCCAGGGTGGTTGGTCCCTTGAAGTCACCCGCCAGTCTGAAGGCCCAGGGGACTTGAGCAATACCAAGAACTGGCCACGGTCAGTAGGGTAAATATTGGCATCTTACCTGCAGAAGGGAGGGATGCAGCGAGCGAGGGCAGAGGCTGCAGTGAGCTGAGATCGCACCACTGCCCTCCAGCCTGGGCGACAAGAGCAAAAAAAAAAAAAAAAAAAGAAAAGAAAGAAAGAAAGAAACAGAAAAGAGGAAGAAAACAAATTTATTGTCTTCAGTGGTTCGAAATAGCAAAAGCTGATTGCCAAATACAGTATGTGAAATAACTCCTGCTTAAATTGTTTAAGAAAGAAATGATATAGGGCGAACATAATAAATTCGTCTTGTGTGACATATTTTGAGTACCTGAAAATGCTTCTATTTAAAAAAGGAAAAGAAGTTTTGACTCATTTTGGCCAGCATTTAAAACACGAGCATGGCAGACACGGTTCTGCAGCCTCTTCCCCGTGAGGGTCTTCAGTGGCATTTACTGCAGTTGTCAGCTGATGCTGTGTCTCTCCTGGGCCTGGGTAACTTCAGGGACCTCCACTGACAGCTTCTCCTCTCCTCAGGCTTTCAGAAAAGTAACAGCCAACCAGGGAAATAGAAATTCTCATTTTAAACAATCTTGACAAATGGTAGAACTTTTACTGGTATTGCTCACATCTCTAGGTTTTTGAGCATTTTTTTTCCACAAAGATTAGATTATAAACATTGAGTCTATGTGTTCATGACCCAATTGGCCTCTTTGATACTTGAGTTGTAACACTATTCTGAGGAAGTGAAACTGTTGAAATATATTTATAAATACATGTATTCTTATCTATAATTTATTAACATACATGTTCCAGAAACTGAAATCTTTACATTTTGGCAAACATCAGTGATGACCAGTATAATATTCAATGAAATAGCTTCTTTAATTTTTAATCTCTTTCAATTTATGGCTCATTTGTTAATTTGTGAACATATTGTGTGTGTGTGTGTGTCTATGTGTATATATATATATATATATATATATATATATATATATTTTTTTTTTTTTTTTTTTTTACACGGAGTTTTGCTCTTGTTACCCAGGCTGGAGTGCAATGGCGTGATCTTGGCTCACTGCAACCTTTGCCTCCCAGGTTCAAGCAGTTCTCCTGCCTCAGCCTCCATGTACCACCACGCCTGGCTAATTTTGTATCTTCAGTAGAGACGGGGTTTCTCCATGTTGCTCAGGCTGCTCTCAAACTCCTGACCTCAGGTGATCCACCCACCTTGACCTCCCAAAGTGCTGGGATTACAGGCGTGAGCCACCAAGCCCAGCCTCCTCCACCTATCTTTATCCAGATGCACATAACTGTTATCCTCTGCCTGTCCAGTAATGTATATTAGAATTGTGTTGGTAGAAGGGCTGAGGCAGGGCTTGCTTGTCTGACATAATGTAAAAGAGTCTTGGAACATGTCCTGGGTCCATGGTCTAAAACCCCTCGTGGCCTAGGGAACACCAAGCTTTGTGCCAAAGGGTGGAAGGCTGCCCTGCTGCACTACAATCTAAGCCCAGTGCATAAAACCCCTTGTGGTTTGGAGAGCACCCAGGGCTCAGGGAATAAAACCCCTCGTAGCCTCTGGAATGTGTCCAGACTCGCTGGCCCCTTGCTTCTTGCTCTCCCAAGATCATAAATTGATTGTATCTTGAATTAGAAGAATCTATTCTCCCTTACCTCAAGTAGCAGAGCATATGCTAAACCGTCACAGCTACGCTTGATGCACTGCTACCTTTCTACCCCCACATCCTCATGTCATCATCTGTCTACCCCCACATCTGCATGTCCTCACCACCTGCTTCTTTGTTCGATTACCAATAAATAGTGTGGGCTCCCGGAGATCAGAGCCTTTGCAGCCTCCATACTAGCATTGGCCCCCTGGACCCAACCTATGTACTCTTGTCTCATTCCTTTAACTCTGCCAGACTTTGTAGCCCTAACCCCCAAGATCTGGTGTTGGGTCTGCTCACCCAAACAGATTGTCAGAGAAAATAACTTGTTTCTTTAGCTTCACAGGTCCACAAGTTGAAAGTGTACCCCCAGGAGCTGCACTAAATGATTTGTACCCATCTGCACCTGATTTAGAACGTTTAGAAGGTAAGATTTTGAACTTCAAGTTTATGATGTTTAGGGGCCATTTTGGACTTTGAGGTGATTAGATGATATGATTTAGATAATAATACTTTGGATTTGAGCTGATGATGAGATGAAATCTTTGAGAGGGAGTAAATATATTTTGCCTTTAGGGAAAATATGAACATTTGAAATTTAGAGGGAACTGTATGGTAGGTGATATGAAGATTTCTTCTAAGATTTTCTTCCATGGTAAACAATTACCATGCTGTGGGGAAGGCTGCGTGCCATAGAATGGTGGGCAGCCTCTAGGAGTTGAGAACAACTCTCCATTGACAGGCAAAAAGAAACCAGAATCTTCAGTCCTGTAACTACAGGAACTGAATTCTGACAAAAACCATTGAGCTTGGAAAATGGCCTGAAATAAAATAACAGCCCTGCATCCAACTTGGAAAGGAAAACCTCAAATTCTCTTTGTTTGCAGATGATACAATCTTCTATTTGGAGAAACCTAAAGACTCCACCAGAAAACTATTAGAATAGTTAAACAAATTTAGTTAAGTTGCAGGATACAAAATTAACATACGAAAATCAGTAGTATTCCTCTATGCCAACAGTGAACAATCTAAAAAAAGAAATTAAAAAAGAAATCCCATTAATAATAGATATAAATAAAACAAAACACTTAGGAATAAACTTAACCAAAGAAGTGAAAAATCTCTACAAAGAAAACCATAAAGCACTGATGCAGGAAATTGAAGAGAACACACACAATTGACATATATTCCATGTTCATAGATCGGAAGAATCAATATTGTTAAAATGTCTATACTACCCAAAGCAATCTACAGATTCAATGCAATCCCTGTCAAAATACCAATGATATTCTTCACAGAAGTAGAAAAAATAATCCAAACAAACCACAAAAGACCCAAAATAGCCAAAGCTACCGTAAGCAAAAGGAACAAAATTGGAGGCATCACATTACCTGACTTCAAGTTATACTACAGAACTATAGCAATCAAAACAGCAATGGACTGGCATAAAAACAGACACACAGACCAGTGGAAATTAATAAAGAAACCAGGAATAAATCCCCACACCCCTGGGCCCTTTCCTGTCTCCCCTTGTGTTCAGGGGTGGCTGCTGCTCTGAGAACATTAGAACTGGGAAGAGAGATGGAGCCACGTGCGTTCTTGGTGGGCATTATCCTACACTTTTGGATCCAAGTTAATCCCCCTTATTCACTGTGGCATTGCCTTTCTAAGCATTGCCCTGTGACTGCTGCTAAAGAACTTCTCACCGGAGGCAGGCAGTGGCCCTGGGCACTGCCCCTTGCATTAGGTTTTGTGTTTGATGTGCTCTTGTGAATTTACTTTGTTAAAATATTTCCATGATGGGCTTGGGAATCTCTTCCTTTAGCTCCCAATCTGCTATGAAATTCAGGAAAACATTTTTCCTGTTTCCTAGTAACCTCCTGTGTATGTGTTGATTGTTTCAAAGTGTGTCTGACCACTGCGGGACCCCCTGGGTGCCCCAGACTCATTCACACCAGTGTATGAAAAATCGCCTGCATTTCTGAGATGCCAGCTGCCCATTCAGTGCTTCACAGGAAGACACATGGGCTTTCCCTCTTCAGGTGCCTGAAGGGAGTGCTTTGAGCTGAGTGGTTTGCTGGCCTCCCTCCAGCCCCAGGGCCCTCCATGGGCCTGGGCTCCCTGGAGGGTCACTACAAACTCCCTGGAGGTTTCCTCTGGCACTAGGACCACTGCAACATATAGACCTGAGTGCTATTGTATTCTGGCTTGGTGTGTATGCTTTTCATTGTGCAAAACTGCTGCTCTTTTGACAATTCAAGTGACTGTTTTGTTTACTATAACCTTGAGAACAAAAATTGTAACAAAAACATTCCCATGACTATGCTGTGGTTGGAGATTTTATTACCAACATATTTACACCTTCCTTTTCCCTCTCATTTTCAGGAGCTGTTTCAGGCCTCCTCCTCCTCCCGTAATAACTTGCAGTCTTTCCTATGTTATAATAAAGCTACATTTTCTTCTGAAAACTGGCAGGTTCTCCCTTCCTAACGCAGGCAGCCGAAGAGAGGGTGTCAGGAGCCAGAGGGTGTCAAGAGCAGCCAGGGCACACCGGCCTGCATGGGGGCATCCCTGGTCCAAGTCAGTGGCCAGAGCTGCAGCCTGGCTTTGTGCCCAAAGTTTTGTCTGGGTGTCAGGAAGGCCATGCACTCACATTTCATCTCTTTTTGTGACTGGTCTGCTGCTGGTTGACCCTCGTTCCTCCTTTTTTGGGCAGGAAGGTGACATCCAGGATTCAGGAGAGCCTTCTGACTTGGGTGTGCATGAAAGTCACCTGAGGCCCTTGACGTGCAGGAATCCTTGCCAGCCTTGGATTGCAAGCCCCAGGCTATGGTATAGCAATGTGCATTTTGTAGCAAGCTCCCTGCGTGATTGGAGAGTCACAAATGGAAAGAAATACTATAATCAGTGGAGAGAAGATGTGCACAGCTATACAAGTGTATGGTTCTGTGACATACCACGAGGTGGGGGTGGACCTTTATGACATCTTCTCCCAGCAACCCCACATATTTCCCTTGCCCTCAGTGGGTCAGGAGTCTCCTGCTTGGCCTCATCTTCGAATCTGAAGCCTCTGAGTTCTGAATAGTTCAGCCCCCTACTTTTTTAGATGCCTCTGTGGCAAACCTTTGTTATCTGACTTTTCTTTTATTTGACAGAGCCTCGCTCTGTCGCCCAGGTTGGAGTGCAGTGGTGTGATCTCGGCTGACTGCAAGTCCCGCCTCCTGGGTTCACGCCATTCTCCTGCCTCAGCCTCCTGAGTAGCTGGGGACTACAGGCGCCTGCTACCACGCCCAGCTAATTTTTTGTACTTTTAGTAGAGACGGGGTTTCACCGTGTTAGCCAGGATTGTCTGGATCTCCTGACCTCGTAATCCACCCACCTGGCCTCCCAAAGTGCTAGGATTACAGGTGTGAGCCACGGCGCCCTGAGGACTGGCAGACCCATCTGACTTTCTTGGAGTAGAGGAGGAAGAGGAGGAAGAAGAGGTGCAGGAGGAAGACCAGGTAGGAGGGCTGGCGGGGCCACGGCACTCCCCACCATTGACTGCCCCAGAGGGTGACTCCAGAGGGTACCTGGTGCTAGAGCCCACCTGGGGGTGGCAGGTCCCAGTGTTTTTTTGTGAGTTCCTTCATAGAGGTTTGAAGGTTCCTGAGGACCGCGTTGTCCTCCAGGGCCCAGCTCTGAGAGAGTCGCTCCTGAAACTCCCAGACAGTGCTCCAGGAAAGCTTCATGAGGTGCTCTAGGGAGAGGGCGGGCATCAGGCCAGGAGGGTTCCCTGGGAGGGGACAGTGCCTGCACCCCATTTCTACCAGGCCCACCTCCCACTGGGTGGTGTCTGGTCCTTTTTGGCCACCCTGGGGTTCAGCTGTGCACAGGAGGCTACAGTTGGGGAAGGCAGGGCAGGGAAGTGCTCACCACACTCCTGATTTTCATCTGGGTCATGTGGGGGATGGACTCAGTGTCATCATGACTTGCCCAGCCCAGCAGGCCAGACCCCCCAACCCGGATGGAGCAGGCAGTGTAAGGACACTTCCCTCAGGCCAGCCGGGGTCTGTCCCACATGTTCCCCCAAGCACCCTCGGGCACACGGGACTTACTCCTGTGTATTTTGAATGATGCATGCACCATGGCTGTCAGTACCCGCGCGCCCTCCAAGATGAACACATCCCACAGTCTCAGGGTGAGCCCGAAGGATTTCTGTGGGGACAGCAAGTGTGGGAGAACCTGGCCTTTCCAAGCTGGGGCCAGTGGCCTGAGCAGAGCCCACTGGGGTTTCAGGCCCCTGGAGTGCTGGGGACCCCTCTCCATGGGATGAGACCCCCAAAAGACTGAGTCAGACAAGGTCCTGTAGCTCCTTGTGAGGGACTCATCTCAACTGCGCTGTGGCTTCTGGAAAGAGGGCTTCCTGAGGACTTGGGCTTCCCTGGGCCCTCGCAAGTCGGGTCCTGCCCCAGTCTGCCCATGAGGCTGGGCCTGAGCCCTGGCCTCTGCCATGGGATGCCCCCTCTTGGGCAGAGCCTGGCTTGTGAGCCTGTCCTCCTGGGGGAGCTGGACCCCTGAGCTGAGGAAGCTGGGCACTGCAGGGCAGGAGAGTCCCAGGGCTGGGGTCTCCCTGTGCCTCCTTACCCCATCAAGGAAACACCGGAGGAGCCTCGTCAGCATGGAACCCTCAATGCACAGCCCTTCCTTGCCCTGAAGGGAGGAGCACACGTGCTCAGGGCCCCCTGGGCTGCCCTGAAATCCTCCCACTTCCAGGCCCCTCTGCAGACCTTCCTTAATGGCACAACCCAGGGCGGTGGCCAGGGCTCCAACACCTGCCCCATGCACGGACGCCCGGTGGACACACTTCTTTTAGCCCTGCTCAGCTGCAGCTCGGCCCTGGTCCCAGCGCCTCTGCCTTTGCCAGGGCAGGAAAAGGAAACCCAACGCTGAATCCATGGGGAATCCCCATCCCAGGTCAGGCCGTGGCTGGGACTCAGCCTCTTGCCAGCCCCATGAGGGACTTGAGCCTCCCCTGGCCTATGGGGGCCAGGGCGTCTGGTTAGGAGCTGAGGGTGTCATCCACTCACCAGGTGTCTCATGATCTTTGGGAAGGACTTGTGCAGCACCTGCTCCTGGTGCGATAGGAGCCTCTCGAGCCAGGCAGTATTTGGGCTGTAGAATACTGAGAAGCCCGCGACCCATCACCCCATCAGACCCCACGCCCAAAATGTGGAGGCATCAGCTGGAAGAGCTGGGCAGGGCAGGGGACCCCAGACCCCGAGGCCTCCCTCCCTCCCATGTGGTGACCCCAGCATGTAGCCTCAGCCCTGGGGAGGAGGTCCCTGGCTGGAGGCACTGCCTAGCGGCCTCCTGGGTCCAGGTGCCAGGAGGGCAGCCTGCATTTGACACCACAAGGCAGGCGCCAGCGGGGAGAACAGGGTGGGAGCTGGGGGCTATGTGGCTATCTCTTGGATGTGGGGGTCAGGCTGGGGGACATGGGATGGGCAGACACTTCCATCTTGGCTTTGTTGGCCCATCTGTAGGGAGGGAGGGTGGCTGGGAGCACAGCCAGCTGGGAGGCAGGAAGACACTCAGGGAGGTGAGTGGTGCCTGCACAAAGTTGGGGCTGGCTTCGGACGACAGAGGGCAGCCAGGGGGAGGTATCCATGCCCTCTGATGTTAGGGATGAAAGCCGTCTGACTTGAGGTGAGGGGGTTCCTGTCCAGACCCAGGCTGCTGTAGGACCTCAGCAGGGACATCCTGGAGGCTCCAAACAAGCTGGGATACAAGGCAGGCACCTTGCCTGGAAGTCAGGGTCACCGGCCAGGGTGGCTGTCCCCTGGCATGGCTGTGTAAGGCCCCGGGGGCAGCTGTCCACCTACCCACAGGGAGTGCCTCTCACCAGCGAGCAACTGGGTAAGCGCCCAGAAAGCATCTTCCTCTGGCAGACACAGGAGGAGGATGGCAGTGATGCGGCTCAGGTCCCTGTGGTAGCCCACCTCCTGCAAGAGCCAGAGTCACCGTGGAAAGATGTCACCTAGGAGGACTGAGGCCACCTGGGAGGACTTATGTCACCAGAGGTGGCACAGGTCTTTGGGGACACCTGCCTCAGGCCCCAGGGGATTTGAGGTGCAGCCTCTGCACCCCTCCCCTGGCACTGGACATGAGGACTGAGCAGGTCACGCACAACTCAGTTGACAAGGAGCATGGGGGGACTCCTGCAGCAAGTGTCCAAGCTCACATGGCCCGAAAGGGCACAGTCAGGGATTGTTCATGCTCCCTCCCCTGGGCCAGGCTGGGGAGGCCACTGTGCCAGGCCTGGGGCAGCACCTGTGAACTGCACCTGCCACGAGGGCAGGCAGCGGGGCGCTGACCACCACACAAAAGGTCCTGCAACAGCCCAAGGGCTGCCTGCCGGACATAAGGGGTGGCTGGGTCCTCCATGTGGGCAGCTCATGCAGTCAGCTCAGCAGCTCTCCCTGCCTGGAATGGTCTGGAAAGTGGGGGCCAAGCAGGAACAGCCACCTGGGTGACCCCCCTCCCTATCTGCTATGCTCCTATGGGGTTCAGGCAAAGGGGAAATTGGATCCTTGCCAGGTTTCCAGTGAAGAAGAGGCTCCCCCAGGATGCAAACTCATTTCATGACAAGTGCCTGGCCCATCAGGCACCTCAGCAACTTGTCAAACCTGTCTCCTACAAGGACCATCCTGTGTGGGACCCTGCCAAGCTCCTAGGCTTTGGGGCAACACCAGGAGGGGAAGGTCGTTTCTTCATCTGAGACGTGGTGATTGGGTCCATGTGACACCAGGAGTCTGGGCTTCAGCCCTTTTCTGCCAGCAGCGAGCTGAAGTCCTGCCTACTACGTCCTGGTGGACAAACACTGAATTTTCAAGAAGTTGCAACACCCCCAAGAGACACCCATGCCTGTGAATATGGGCACATGTCCCAGGAATATCGCTGCCCGGGAATACTCACAGGGTTATATGCAGAATAGGCCACGAGGATGTCACATAATTCCTGCTGCCTAGAAAAGAGGGGAAAGAGGGTTTTTTTTTTGTGTGTGTGCAGACGCTGTCAATTTCATTTTGTCTACAAACCCAAATAACGAACACAATTCTGGGTTCAGATGATCCCCCCAAATAAGCAGTGAGCTCTTTAGGACACCTGAGTTTTTAGGAATTTTTTTTCAGTAAAATCCACATTCCTTGCAATGCAATGTCGTAGGTGTACAGTTGGATCAGTGATCATTTTTCACTCTGGTTGATTTTTTCTTCCCCTTTTTCTCAGTTTGCACACACAGAAGTCCAGTCTTTGGGACGTGCAGTTCCACGGTTCTGAACTAATGTGCAGAGCCTCCCGTCCACCACTGCAGCCCCTCCCAGAGCGGCTCCTTCATCTTCCAAGTCCCCAGCACGTCCCCTTTGCAGCCAACGTCTCCCGGCTCTGTCAGCCCCTGGCCATCCTGATCTGTTCTCTGTCTCTATGGTTTGCCCTTTCCCAGAATGGCCAATGAATTGGAATCCCATGGTGGTAGCCTGTTGGGTCTGGCGTCATTCCCTCAGCAATACTCATCTAAGATCCACCCATGTTCCTGCGGGCATTGGGGGTTCGTTCCTTTTCCTCACTGAGTCGCCTCTGTCTGAAGAGTGGAACCCCCTTCCTCCCTAGTTCCCATGTTGAAGATCATCTCCGTAGCCTCCGGGTGTGAGTTACAATCAATCAAGCGGTGAACGTCACATGCGGGTTTTACTTGGACGTCAGTTTTCAAATCAGTGTGGCCAATATCTGTCACACTTTGGGGATGTGTGGTACGAGGCCACTGAGCTTTGTGAGCCACAGCCCATGTGACTTACAAAATGGCTGTGCCCTGTCACGTTCCCACCAGCCATGGATGAGAGTTTCCGGGGCCCCGCATCCTTTCTAGTATTTTGGGCAGTCAGTGTTGCCTGGGAAGGCTCCCAAGCCCTGCCATCGTGCCACCTTCCCATGGGTCCCTATCCTGGATAGTTGTGGGTCATGGAGAGCACTTTTCACCATCTGCATGACTCTTTTTTTTTCTGCCTTCCGTCTCCTTGGGAGTCACCTGGGTTCTGGCCCTACATGTCCCAGCCCGGCCCAGAGCTTAGAGCCGGGAGATGCTCAGTCCATGGTGCCGGCTGCTCCCTGGGCCAGGAGAGCCCTTGGTGGCTCTGTCACCTCTCCTGGGTGACCCTGGCCTCTGCCCTGGGGACAACCTCATTCCTCTGGATTGCCCCATCTTCCCTGGGACCCCTGCAAGCCCCATTGGCCTTACTTGACTCCGAATCTTTGTATGAACATCATGTGTTTCTGCAGGGTGTGGCTGACATCTAGCTGGATGCAGTGGATGATTCTGGAGGACCTCTTGCCCTTCTCCTTCATGACCTGTAGGGCAGGGCCAAGAGGAGGAAGCAGCCTCAGAACAGACAAAAGACTCCCTGCCCCAAACGGCAGTCATCCCACAGTCAGCACTTCTGGAAGGAAGGAAGGAAGGTTTCCTTCTGCAGAAAGCTCCTTTTTACCTTGTTTCTGACACCAGGGAGGGTCAGCAGAGCCCAGCGCACCTGTGGTGCCTGAGTTACCATCTATGCCCAGGATGTGCGTCTGACCACAGCCCCCACTCCCAACCCAGGCTCAACGTTCCCTCCAGCTGGAGTCCTGGGCTCCTGATACAGTCTAGCTTGTTTGTACTCCTAGCTGAGTGTGGGAGGGACTTACCTTATATTTGCCTGGGTTCTGGGACTTGATTCTGTCAATATCTAGCAAAAGTGACCACGCCCGGCCCCGTACCGCCAGGGGAATGACTTTGTATACTCTTTGAGACAGCTACAGACAGAAGAACACTCCAGTGAGAAAGGACATGGGGCGACCCCGCAGAGCAAAGCTGGCGAACAGGCCTGCAGTCCTATGGCAAGGATGGGGTACCACCCACCCACTGAGAGGCAGACGGTGCCAGGTCACAACCATGGGTGCCTGTCTCCTGGCTCTGCAGAGAGCAGTCACGCGGGCCACTTCCTCCCCATGTTACCTTCTTGGTGCTCCTATATTTTGTCCAGTCTGCAAGCATCTTTTGCCACTTGTTGGTACGTTTACTTTCCTTGCGTCTTTGCTGTCAAATGAGCCATGATGGAGTTAGCGGAGCTGCCAGGCGTCTGACAGTGGCCCGTGGATGCTGGGTCCAGGGCTTTGGGGCCCTGAAGGGACCCAACTTGAAGAAGCCAGGAAAGGGCAGGCCCCAGGGGCTGAGACCCTCTGAAGGAACTGGAGCTGGTAGTCTGGAATGGTGATGCCATGACATGCCATCCTCAGGCCATAAATGCCCCAAGTTTTGGTCAGGTCCAGCCTTCAGCTGGGGTCTTGGTTCAAACAGGCAGTGGACTCTGAGCCAGGACTGCAGTTCTTGGTTTGGGTTTTGGTCAAGTCCTCATGGGAACAGAGTCCAGCAGGAAAGGCCACCCCTCCCAGTGACAGCCGTGGCCCACTCACCACCACACAGGCCCACAGGCCACCCCCTCTGCCTTACCGACCACCCGATTCCCAGTCCCTGAAGCAGCCTCCCACGCAGCAGGCACAGGCTCTTACCTTCACCTCCAGGGCACTGACGTGGGGCAGCTCCATCTCACTGTAAGGCAACCCAGGCAGAGCTGAGGACCTGCCCAGGCCAGGAGCCATCCCTCTCCCTGAGAGGGCCCCAGGGAAGGACCAGCCTACCCCCATCCACCCTAAGTCTCAGCCTGGGACAAGGCACAGAGAAGGAAGGCAAGGGCCTCCCTGCGGATCTGACACTAGCAAGGCACTGGGACCTTGGAGAAGAAGAAGCTCAAAGCTGGCCCTGGGTGGGGGGGACACTTGAAGCCCGTGGGGTGCCTTGGGCTGCACAATGGTGCTGCTCCACCTGGGCTGGAGGTGACACCCTCTGTGGACGCTAAGAAAGTCCAGTTCTGAGATGGGATGGGTGCCACCCAGGGTGGGTGGCCAAGCCCTGACTAACAGCAGTACCTCAGGAGTGACCACATCACCCACCAGAGTCCAGGGAGCCTGGCCTGAGAGCTGCCCAGTGCCCTGAGGATGCACCTGGAGCCCATCCCATCTGACACTCCCCATGGGCCTTGCAAGGTCTGACCTCCCAGCGTGCACCTGCCTCTCCCTGCATCCTGGCCGCTCACCCTGCCTGCTCCCCATCTTCCCCCATCCTGCCCAGCCCAGACACTATGACCCTCTCTCCGGCCACCCTGGCCCTTCTGTGACCCTTGTCCTTTCAGAACCTCTGAGTGAGACCTCCCAGATCCGTCCACACCCACGCCTTGGCCACTCTCTGACTGGGCTGCCCAGCACTGCTGGGGAGACACCCAGGGCAGCAAGGATGACCAAGGGCCCTGCAGGCAGTGGGGCTGGCCCCAGCACTCCTGCTCCAGCCTCAGCTGGCTCTCAGGGTCATTGGCCTTCAGCCCTCAGCCTCCTCCCAGCCACTGCAAAAACCAGGACATGGGATGCTTGGCTGTCCTCCCCTACTGTCCTGCCTGCCCTGACTTGGCCCCTCCATCCACCCTGCGCAGTGTTGATTGAGCCAGCGGGAAGCAGAATCTCTGGAGGGCCATGCAGAGCCTTGGGGACTGACCAAGTTCCCCCACTGAGGGGTCCCAGGTGAGCCACTGTTCCCTGCCCACCCCATCTGTTGTCCTCCCCAGGCTGTCAGCTCCACCCGGGTCTGGCTTGGTTCAGGTGCCTTCCAGAAGTGGCAGGTCTCAGGGGCTCACCCTGCCCCCCTCCCCCAGGCTCCTCCCTCTCTCCATCCTGTGAGTCCTGAGGGGCCGGCTTCAGGCTGGGCTCCCATTACCAGGCCCAGGTCCCTTCCCTGCACCACTCCCGGGGCCTTCAGTTGCATGCTCTGTTGTCCCCCTGGCCTCAGTGAGAAGCCCAGGCCAGGGCCCTGCCCTTCTTCCACAACCTACCAGGGCCAGGGCCAAGGCCCTCACTGTCCCTATGCCCCTTCCTCATGGCTGAGCCCCCTGAGCCCTCAGAGATCTGCTATACAACTGCCCAGAGGCCAGGCCAGGTGCCCTCTTGCCCTGTGGCCACAACCCTCAGATCTCACCAAGGCAGGCCCCAAGGGAACAGGGCCAGATCCTCAGGCTGCCCCTCCTCTCCAGCTTACTTGGAGACCACAGTGCTGAGAGCCCACGGGCCTGCTCTAGTCCCCTCTCTGTCCCTACCCCCTCTCCTGAGCTCCCTAAATGTGTCATGAGGCTGTGCCCTAACCCTGACCACAGGCTGGACCGACAGGAGAGCCTGGGAGGAGTTCTGACCCTGGAGAGGAGGTTGGCCCAGCCAGGGAGACATGTCCTGCTTCAGAGAGGCCTTTCTAAAAACAAAACCCATCCCTGAGGTGAGATTGGTGGCTGGGGTCGGGGGGACAGAGGACTTACTGCACAATCCCGAGGTTATTGGTGTATTTTCTGACATCAACCTGCTCATGCCCCAAGTCCACTGCTGCCCCAGCTCGGTGTCCCTGAAACCCAGAGGAGGCCAGGATAGTGGGGGTAAGGTGAGAGGTGTGGGAGGCCCAGGGAGGTGGGCAGCCCCTCCCCACCCTGTGATCTTAGGAAGCCCAGGACCCTGTGACCAGGGCACAGCGGGAGAGGCGAGGCCCTGCTTCCCTTGAGGGAGCGGCCCAACTTGTACCTGCTCATACTTAGTAATGATGATATTGCCTTGCCCCTGGGCAGGCAGGTTATACGGGTCCCCATCCATCTCCATCCTGCAAGACAAAGTCATCCCAAGGCTCTCCCGCACCCAAGAGCTCCAGAGAACAGCCAAACCACACGCACTGCACTCCCAGACACACTCCAGTCTGGTGAGCCCCATTCCACTACCCCTCCCAGATGACAGGGGCCAGACTCAGTGGTCCCACCCCTGACTAGATCTCTGAAGTCCTTGCCTCCAACCAGTGGTGGGCTCCTTCCTGAGGATTTGAGCACACGGGAACCTGGACAGAGAGGCCTATTGTCCCTGAACACCCCAAGGCAGACACACACCTGCCCTGGCAGGACAAACGGCGTCCACTTGCTGAGGGTGAAGTCCCCACGATGGGCTGTTCTGGGCACCTGGAGGCAGGTGGAGTCAGGGACTGGATGTCTCTATAGGATCGTTCAGGGACCAGGAATATAATCAGTTTTCTGTAGGAAGCAAGACATCTGGTGACTGCTCCGTTCTACCCCAATTCTCACTCACTCTGGCCAGTGAAGCCGCTTCAGGAACAACGCCAGCCAAGCAGTTTGGTTTGGGGAAAAGATGATCTATTGACTCCAGAGCAGCCTCTGTGCTCATGGAGACCCCGTCGCAGGTCGAGGACGGTGGACACCACAATTCCCAGCTGTCAATACAGGAGGGGACTTTGTTTTCCTGGGTCACCAAGAAAGAACAAGAGAACGCTGGGGCCTTAGTCCTAGAGAACACCTGGGGGAACCGTCCCCCCCCAGGAATACTCGGGGCAAACGGAAGGCAAGGCCTCTAGAGGACCAGACAGAGAGAATGGGACGCTGCAGGAGGGTTCCAGTCCCCAAGGCTCTTTGACCAGGAGAGACGATTGTCACCCTCCAGGCAGCCCTCCAGGGCTCCTTCATTTTCCACAACTGCCTGAGGGCAGAGGGCTCCCCACCGCACTCCTAGATGAAGGACCCCATGTGTCCAGTGGGTCCCACAGCAACCATCAGTGATCGCACTTTAGGTCTGAGTTGGTGAGACCTCCTCCTGTGGGGACCAAGCTTAGGGCACAGACTTGGACCAAGAATTTCACCCTCCACCCCACCCACAGGGGCTCTGTCCCAGTGGCTCTTCCAGGACCAGACCCTGCCTCATTGAATTCCAGAACTCAAGGAAGATTTGGAATCTAGGGTAGAGAGGCCTCAGCGGTCAAAGCTCAAGTCCAGCATGGCAAAGGGTAGGGCTGAGTGCACGGCCCGGGTCACATCTGGGTCTCTGGGCCAGTCACCGCCTCTCTGACTCTACACATCTCACCTGTGGAATGGCTACATTTGGGGACAGCACCCATCGCCACAGAGTTTCTGTGAGGACAAAGGAGAGGATGGTCCACGCCGTCAGTGCAGAACATGCACCCGGTGAGTGCTCAGGGGTGACCCTCCTCGGCATCTGCCCAGAGGTCACTCACCTGAGTCTGCTCAGGCTGCTGTGTCTCTCACTTAGAAAAGTCGTTCATGCACCACAGAACCAGACACCTGTGTGCGTCTTATGTGCAAGTGCTGCACAACACAGAGGTGAGTGGGTGGGCAGGTGGGCGGTCACTCAGCACCAGTGACATTTTGAGGTCATGGCACCCATCATAATGGGCCATTGCCCAGGTCAAGTGGGCCCAGAGTCGGTGTCCTCCAGCCCCTAAGGTGTCAAAATGTGTTTGTGCAGGTGAGCATGTACGTTTATGTGGGTGAACATGTGTGTGCACGAGCAGCGTCTCTGGCCAGGGCTGGCTGTCCCACTTACATGTGCACCCAAGTGCTCATCAAGTCTTAATCAGCGTCACCTTCCCTTGAGGCCTGTGGCCAGCATCAGAGCATCCATGGGTCCTCCCCAACCTCAGAACTCCCCACACGGGGCAGTCCTGAAGATGCAGATGGGGGCTAGGGGGTAGAGGGCACAGGACAGGGCCCCTCATTAGGGGGAACTCAGCTAGACTGTAAAATGCTGGGTGTGAGTGGCAAGGTCGGATTCCACACATTTTTTCACCTCCTCCTCCCAGTAGCCTTCCAGGGTGCCATGACTCATTTCTGCTATGGATGGAGGCAAGGAGGCTCTAAGGACAAACCCCGTGCCTGAGGTCACCAAGCAACCATCTGGCCAGGCCCCCACTAACCAGACCCCTGCCGGCCAGGCTTTCACTGACCGTTTTCCCAGTGACCAGGCCTTCTGACTAGGTCCTCACTGATCAGGCCCCTGATGACCAGGCTCCAACTGACCATGTCCCCACTGACCAGTTTTTCACTGACTAAGCCCCAGTGGCCAAGCCTCTGCTGACCAGGCCCCTGATGACCAATTCCCCACTGACCATGTCCTCGCTGACCAGTCCCCCAGTGACCAGGCCTTCCTGACCAGGTCCCCACTGTCCAAGTCCTCCCTGCCCAGGCCCCAGAGCAGCAGTGTTCAAGGTCCTCTACCACAACTGCCCACAGGCGGAGGGCTCCCTACTCCCAGACAAGGGACCCCATGTGTCCACTGGGTCCCACGGAGACCCTCAGTGACCGCACGTGAAGTCTGAGTTGGTGAGACCTCCTCCTGCAGACACCCAGCTTAGGGCACAGACTTGGACCGAGCACCACCTCCCTCCACCACACCCATAGGAGTTCCATCCCAGTGGCTCTTTCAGGGCCAGACTCTGCCCCATCAGGGGCCAGAAAACCCTGGGCAGATTTGGAATCTAGGGCCACAGAGACCAGGGCATGCACAGGGCAGGGCTGAGAGCACAGCCCAGGATCACATCTGGGTCTCTTGGCCAGTCACCTCCTCTCTGACCCTAGACATCTCACTTGTGGAATGGGTACATTCGGGGACAGCACCCACCCCACAGAGTCCACCAGGTCAGTGCAGAACAGGCACCTGGTGAGTGCTCAGGGATGACCCTCCTCGGCACCTGCCCAGAGGCTAGCCCTGCCCACCAGGTAATGACTGTACCCAGGTCAGCAGGGAAGGAACAGAGCAGGTCACACTCACCTGAGTCAGTTGAGTCAGTTGTGTCTCTCACTTAGCAAAACTTCCTTTTCTCAGAACCAGACACCTCTATGTCTTATCTCTAAGAGCTCCAGACATAGAGACGGCAAGTGGACAGGTGGGCGAGTGCTCAGCACCAGTGACATTGTGAGGTCATGACACCCATCACAATGGGCCCCTGCCTGGGTCAGCCGGGACCAGAGCCAGCACCCTCCACCCCTTGAAGTGTCAACGTGCGTGTGTGCAGTGTTTGTGCATGTAAGCATGCACGTGTATGTGGGTGAACCCATGTGTGCATGCGTTTGTCACTGCTCTGGCTAGGCCCGGCTGCCCCACTCATATGTGCACCCAGGACACTGGGTCACCCTTGTCACTTTCTCCCCCCTCGGGACCCATGGCCATCATCAGAGCATCCACGGGTGCTCCCTAAACTCAGACCTCCCCATCCAGGGCATTCCTGGGATTGCAGATGGAAGATAGGGGGCAGAAGGTTGAGGGTTGGGGGCAAAAGGCAAAGGGCAGGTCCCCTCCCTAGCAGGGGACTCAGCTAGGCTGTAAAGTGCTAGATCTGTTTGGCAGGGCTGGATTCCACACACCTGCTCACCTCCTCTTCCCAGCAGCCCTCCGGAGTGCCATGACTCATTCCCACTACAGATGGCGGCAAGGAGGCTCCAAGGACAAACCCTGCCTGAAGTCACCTAGCCGCCACCTGGCCAGGCTTCTGCCAGCCAGACCCCCACTGACCAGGCCCCCACTGACCAGGCCTTCACTGACCACGTTCCCACTGACCCCACTGAGCAGAACCCTGAGCCGCGGTGCTCAATGTCCCCTGCCAATGACCCCCCTCAGTCCACAGACCTCCCCTCCCCGCATCAGCACCCACAGGCCATCCCCTGGGGGTCTTCTCGGGTCAAGGCCCCCACTCCAGGACACAGGGAGGGACAGTCGGCCTCAGGCTCTGGGTGCCCAGCTTCATGCTCGCCCCCAAAAGCCCTCTGTGCTCACCTCAAAGGGGGCAGTGAGGTGGCCTGGCACTGCCTGGACATGATGTCTCGGCCTATTCCTGAGCCGCAGAGCCAGAGGAACGGGGGGACGTTTGTCAGACCAGGCACCCCGTTTTGCTGGGTCTCCCAGGGTTCTTCCTGCGGAGGCTGGATCCAGAGGCGCAGCACCGAGGCTGCAGGGTGACCGGCCCAGAACCCTCGAGACTGGGCTGGGGACCACATGAGAACTGTCCCCAGATGGCCAGAAGACCCTTTGCTAATTTCCCGGTACCTCATTTCCCACCAGCTACCCTTGCCCCACCAGGAATCCCCTTCTGGCAGAGTCAATGAGGAGAGGAAGATGGTCACAGAATCCATGGAAAGAAAGAAAACAAAATGACAATGGAACATCATCTATTTCCTGTCCATCTGAAAGGAAAGCCTAAGGAAGCCTATTGGGTTCCATCACCCTGAGGGCCCCGAGGATGGCATCACACAGTGCAATACCCAATGGCAGGGGCGGTGCTCCATCCCTGCAGACGTCATCGAGAGCACACCTGGGGTCGTCTAGGGTCATGGACCTGGCCACAGAGCAGAAACTGGGTCAACAGGAGTGCACACACGCACACAGGTGCACACTCACACACTGGAATAAAACGAATTTCGTAGCAAGTGGTCACGTGCGCGTGGGAGCGCGCGCACACACACACACACACACACACACACCACACTTGTTGCTGATCTGCTGACTTATCTCACTGCCATGAAACAGCAGCTAAGCCTGTAATTGCTCTGCCTTTCCTTGGATTTTTCCTTTAGTTTCTCTGACTGCTGGGTTACTGGCCTGTGTTTAGCTTCATGAACATGGGTTTCACTTTATTTTTATGGGGTTCCAGCTCTTGCTCATGGAATCCCTCCCTGCCTGTTCTGCAGTCTTCCCTTGTTTACTGCCTGTGGACTTCAAGTATCAGACACAGAGAAAGATTTGTAGATACTGTTTACTCAGCCCCCACAATTTCCATAGCAGGTCTCTTAATTCCCATCACCTCCAGGGAGGGTCATTGCTGGGATCCTAGGAATCAAGTGCCTTGTCTTGATGGCCACAGTGGTAACCATAATAGTCAGGTTTTCCCTCTGTGCAATTCTGGAACATAAAAATCTTCTCTGGTAACAAGACTACAGAAAGCAATGAAAGCAACACTAAACTGGGAGTTTGCTGGCCTGTGTTTCTAAGAAATTTAATGTTTTTACATAAATAATGAAGAAGAAACGACTTTTCTAAAGTTCCTGTCATTTATGCCATGGATTGGACTCTTCTGTGAAAGCAGTTTTATTGATGGATGTGGATAATTAGCTTAACTTCAAGTAAAAGATTAGAGAGCAAATTGTAAACATAACTGTGCTTTTTTACACTCAAATGACATTAATCAGACAGTTTTGGATCTCTAGAAATATATATTAGAACATGTAAGTTCTATATTGAAATACGCAAGTTTGGAATCCTTCAGGTGGCTTATTTTTCATCAACTAGAAATAATACTAAAATTGCAAAGATTTATTATGATTTATATTATTTGTCCTAATGGAAAAAGGAATTCAAATATGTTTATTAAAGTATAATATACACAGGAATCCTATTATTCTACTACTCAGTGATTTATCACAAAGAGGACACATGCTTGGAGCTACCACACAGTCCAAGAAAATGAAATAAAAATAACAATCTGGAAATCCCTCTCCTGAAGGTCTGCTCCCTAACCACTGCCCACCTGTCTTGTCAAAGCAAAGAGTCACCTGGTTTTTAGCAGCCCCAATTAGTGTTGTCTGTTTCATAAATGGAAGCATGGAGGGCCATTCAGTAGGAATGGTTTTGTGTGTGGCTTCTTTGGCCCAGCATTACATTTGTGACACTCCTTCAAGTGGTTTCATGAAGCAGTTCATTTTTTTTTTTTTTTTTTGAGATGGAGTTTCGCTCTGTCGGCCAGGCTGGAGTGCAGTGATGCGATCTCGGCTCACTGCAAGCTCTGCCTCCCAGGTTCACACCATTCTCCTGCCTCAGCCTCCCGAGTAGCTGGGACTTACAGGCGCTTGCCACCATGCCCAGGTAATTTTTTTGTATTTGTAGCAGAGATGAGGTTTCACTGTGTTAGCCAGGATGGTCTCAATCTCCTGACCTAGTGATCCATCCGCCTCAGCCTCCCAAAGTGCTGGGATTACAGGCGTGAGCCACCGTGCCCGGCCCAAGCAGTTCATTTCTTTTCCCTGCTCGGTGGTGCTCTGCATGAATATGGCACATCTATCAATTCTACTGTTGATGGACATTGGTTTGTTTCCATTTTGGGACTACTAGCAATAAAGCCACTATGAACATTCTTGTTAATTTCTTTTGGTACACATGTATAGATATTTTAGTTAAGTACAGCCCTACAAATAAAATAGCTTGGTCATGGTAACTGCATATGTTCAAATGCAACGCATGTCACTAAAAATGTCAGCTAGGAGGAAAAGCTCAAGAGCTCTATTGTACAACATGTTGACTACAGTTAATAACAATGTGGTAATACTTGAAATTTTTGAGACAGCAGATTTTAAATGTTCTCACCACAAAAAAAAAAGATAAGTATCTGAGGTAACTGATATGCTAGGTAGCTTGATTTAGCCATTCTACAATGTCTGTCTGTTGCTATACATATATATACACAGATTTAGCTATTCTACAATGTGTGTGTGTGTGTGTGTATGTAAAATGTGGTATAGCATAAATACATACAATTTATCAATTAAATTTTAATTCCAAAGATTTTTTTGACTAATATATAACCCAACCACAAGTTTGAGAGTTCTAATTAGATGTCCTTTCCAACACCTGATTTTGTCAGTCTTCCTTTTACATATTCTGGTTAGTGGATAATGTTATTTCGTTTTCATTTATTTTGGTCTTCTGATTATTAAAAGGCCTGATACCACTTTCATAAATGTTTATTGAAAATGTATATAATCAGGCTGGGCACGGTGGCTCATGCTTGTAATCCCAGTACTTTGGGAGGCCGAGGTGGGCGGATCTCTTGAGGTCCGGAGTTCGAGACCAGCCTGGCTAACATGATGAAACCCCGTCTCTATTAAAAATACAAAAAAAAATTAGCTCGCCATGGTGGCAGGCGCCTGTAATCCCAGCTACTCGGGAGGTTGAGGTGGGAGAATTGCTGGAAACCGGGAGGCAGATGTTGCAGTGAGCCAAGAACGTGCCACTGCACTCCAGCGCGGGGGACAAGAGCGAAACTCGCATGGTGGTGCGTACGCCTGTAATCCCAGCTACCCAGGAGGCTGAGGCAGGAGAATCGCTTGAACCCGGTAGGCAGGTTGCAGTGAGCCGAGATTGCGCCATTGCACTCCAGCCTGTGCTTCAAGAGCGAAACTCCGTCTCAAAAAAACAACAAAAAAAGAAAATGTATATAATCATATTTTCAGGGGTCTATGCAATTTTTTATACTTTTTCCAATGTGGTTATCAATCTTTCTAAATGATCTTCGAGAAGTTTTTAAAAATAAATTCTTGACATAAATTTTTGGGATTTTGTCAGTTAAAGGTGGAAATATCTTCTCTTTAAGAAAGAGCTTGGCTGGGCGTGGTGGCTCACGCCTGTAATCCCAGCATTTTGGGAGGCCGAGGCGGGCTGATCACGAGGTCAGATCGAGACCATCGTGGCAAACACGGTGAAACTCCATCTCTACTAAAAACTACAAAAAAAAATTAGCCGGGCATGGTGGCGGGCGCCTGTAGACCCAGCTACAGGCTGAGACAGGAGGCAGGAGAGGAGGCTGAGACAGGAGAATGACGTGAGCCCGGGAGGCGGAGCTTGCAGTGAGCGGAGATCGCACTCCAGCCTGGGCGACAGAGCCAGACTCAGTCTCAAAAAAAAAAAAAAAAAGAAAGAAAGAAAGAAAAGGAAAAAACAAAGAGCTTATTAGGCCGGGCACGGTGGCTCACGCCTATAATCCTAGCACTTTGGGAGGCCGAGGCCGGCGGATCACGAGGGCAGGAGATTGAGACCATCCTGGCTAACATGGTGAAACTCTGTCTCTGCTAAAAATACAAAAAATCAGCCGGGCGTGGTGGCAGGCGCCTGTAATCGCAGCTACTAGGGAGGCTGGGGCAGGAGAATCGCTTGAACCCAGGAGTTGGAGGTTGCACTGAGCCGAGATGGTGCCACTGCACTCCAGCCTGGACTACAGAGCAAGACTCCGTCTCAAAAAAAAAAAAATAAATAAAATAAAATAAAAAGAGCTTATTAATGGATAATCATTGGAGATGTTAAGTTTTAGGTAAGATAGAAAAAAGGGTCTTTTAACATAGTTGTATTATATATATTTTTGCCTTGTATTTTCATGTTACAGAATGGGTCTAACTTTGGGTCAATATATGTGTTCACTTAATTTTTTTCTAAATTTGGAAGTAACCTGAAATTTACACAAAGACTGCAATAGAATTACAAAGGATAGCCAGGTTCCTCTTAGACTGACACACAGTTAACGTTTAATCCTGCTTGTTTTATCATTTGCTCTTTCTATACACAAATTTTTCTTGAATCATTTCAATTTCATACATTACTCTTCTTTACCTCTAAATACTTCAATATGCATTTCTCAATAATGAGGATATTATTAATACTTTACACAACCATGATACAGTTATCAACTGCAGTAAATTTAACATCAATACATTACTTTTATCTATTCTGTTGCTTGTATTCCAGTTTTGAAAAATTGAACCAATAATGTCTTTAGGAGATTTTCTCTCACACAAGACCTAGTCAAAGATCCTGTATTGTATTTGGTTGTCATGATGCTTTAGTCTCTTTTAATTTGGAAGTTATTCAGCTTTTCCTTGTCTTATGTGACATTAATATTTTTGAAGAATGCAGTCCTTTTAATAGTCCTCATTTTGGAGTTTGTCAAATATTTCCTCATGATTAGATTCCCATTATGCATTCCCAGCCAGAATAGTACACACATTATGCTGTGTCCTTCTCATGGTATCACATCTGAGGCACAGAATGGCCATGTGCTGCTTACTCATATTAATTTTGATCATGTAATCAAAGTTTTTGCCAGTTCTTCCACTATATAATTATTTTTTGCCTTGCAATTGCTAATCATAACAAGCAATCTCTGGAAAAGATACTTCAATTCTATGCAAATATCCTGTTCCTCATCAAAATTTCCCCTTAGATTTAGCATCCATTGATTCTTGCTTGAATCAGTCTTTACTGTTATGGCTACAAAATGATAGTTTTCCAGCTCCAACATTCCCTTCGCATTTACCCATTGGCATAGGATATTCTGCGGTAAGCAAGTGTCCTCTGTTATCGCTCATTTATTTACTTATTATCAATGTGAACTCATGGACTACTACTTCTTCAATGGTTTACAATTCATCATTTTCTTGTTTTGCTGCTCAAATTGTTCCGGATTTAGTCAGTGAGGGCTACTTCCTGTGTCTTTGTGACCTACCCTCATCATTTTTTTGAGTGCTACTTTTTTTTTTTTCTGGAATAAGATGTTCCAGGATCTTCTTGGAGTTTCCTTCCCTCAGACCTGCAATCAGCCATTTTTCTGAGGAGCCTTAGTTCCTTTTAGCAGAGAACGGTATCAGAAACCAAGATCTGGGCTCATTGCAACTGAGATGTCATTGCTTTTAGCCCGTTTCAGTAGACAGAGCTAGGAAATGTGTGTGCTAAGAAGGTATAAAAGGGATGTGTGGCTGCAGGAGGTCATTTTATGTGTGTTTGTGAGTTTTGCTCATCTGCTAAGTTGCCTGTCTAATGTAGAGAGTTCTGATTATCTACATCCCAGTTAATTTCTTTGGTTAGCAAATTTGTGATTAATATGAGTGGCTGGGAGGCTGTATGAAAACAATAGCGGCAACGAAACTGTGCAGAAAAGTTAACATAGCAAGTCCGAGCCTGCTATCTTTAGAAAGACTTGCCTACGAGGTTGGCCACAGGCGGGCATCTGGGAAGGATAACTTTGGGATCGTTCCCGCTAATTCCAGAATTAAAGTGGATCACTGCTCCTAAACTGTCTGTAAAAACAATGAAGCTTATGCTGAACACCTGCTTTCCTTCTGGAAGTCTGGAGTTTTGGTACATGCTAGACAGAGACTGCCTATGTGACTAGCACCCAGTACAAACCTTAGGATTTGAATCTCTACTGAGCTTCCCTGATAGATCACATTTCACACATGCTGTCACAACTCCTTGCTGTGGGAAATGAGCAAGTCTTGTGTGACTTCGCTGGGAGGGGACTCGGGGAAGCTTGTTCCTTGTTTCCTCCAGACCTTGCCGCCCCATGAGCCTTTTCTCTTTACTGGTTTTGCTGTGTGTCCTTTTACTATAATAAACCACAGCCAAGAAAATGACAACATGCTGAGTCCTGGGAATCCTTCTAGTGAATCATTGAACCTGGGGGTGGTCTTGGGGATCCCTAAACATGTAGAAAGAAAATGTTATGTTTTTGTTTATCAAAAGAAAACAGGACTATTTTTCTCTTAGAGTGAAATGTGTGGTTGTTGCAGAATGCAAAAGATAGTTAAAGCATAAAACTGGAGAGGATGCTGTAAGTTTTGGAAGGTTTGGGGGAAAGTGAACTTTACTTGTGCTTTATAATAGCTGCGAATTCTGAAAAGAAGAAATAAAATGTATTAAAATTTTGACAAAAGTTGGCTTGATTTTGATGAGTTCATTAAAATCTATAAATCTTTAATTCAAAATATTATATTTAAAAAGATTAAACTTCGGTTATCTTTGCTTAAATGATAGTTTGTTCAACAAGAGAAAGGGAAAGATCATTCTTTACCTTCTGTGTAATCTGCCCAATAGTAGAAATTGTCTCTCATCAGAACTACAGTTTTGTGCTTTGTTCTGTGTTATGCTTTTCATTTTATATATATATATATATATATATATATATATATATATATATATATATATATGAACAAAGCCAAAACAGACCCTTATCTTGGAGCTTATGATATGGCATTCATAAACAGGAAAATGTAAGAAATACTTGGGTTTGTTTGGTATGTCCTATAGTTATTAATTAGTTCAAAATGATTGTAAGAGCTGCTCTGTTTATGGGAAGAGGTGTCAGACCAAAGAGAAGGGAAACCTTCCCTAGTTTAATTTTGTATAGATATGTTACTAAAACAAATGTTTCAGAAACTGTATACTTACTTATGTTTGGAAGGCCCTGGAGATGTCCACACTGTATATAATGCATTCTTACTCTCAGGGGAACACTGATCAACTCCTCTTTGAAATAATCATGTCTTATACTCCAATAAAGGATTTTACTCTCCTTCATTCTGATAGTTATTATAATAAATTATAAAGCGTTAATTATAAATTCAGATGGAATTAAATGGTGCTGAGATAGCAAGAGAATGAGCTGATGACATCTTCTGAATATCTGAATCCAGTCATATCTGAAGCCAGATCTCACCATGGGTTTTTAAAAATTATAGTCCTGGGCCGGGCGTGGTGGCTCACGCCTGTAATCCCAGCACTTTGGGAGGCTTAGGCGGGCGGATCACGAAGTCAGGAGATCGAGACCATCCTGGCTAGCACGGTGAAACCCCATCTCTACTAAAAATGCAAAAAATCAGCCAGGCGTGGTGGCGGGCGCCTGTAGTCACAGTTACTTGGGAGGCTGAGGCAGGAGAATAGCATGAACCTGGGAGGTGGAGCTTGCAGTGAGCCAAGATCGCGCCACTGCACTCCAGCCTGGGTGACAGAGCGAGACTCTGTCTCAAAAAAAAAAAAAAAAAAAAAATTACAGTCCTGGATAACCCAGCAGGTTTGAGTCACTACAACATGAGATGCATAGGTCACGAGACTGGGAATTGAATCAACCATACATAAAACTATGTTTTTGATATGGCAAAAGTAATATTTATGGTGGTGGCTGCCCTATACCATCTCGGGTCCCTAAGTGACTACTGATGAGCAAAGATTCCCTGCCAGGCCACAAAGGACAGGTAGCACAAGTTAGCATTAAGAAATGGCACCCTGGTGAGAGGTCCATGCTTTTTGTATACTAGAGCCTGGTCTCAAAGAATAGAAAATTATCATCAAAATATAACTCAGCAATGTGCAACAAAGCCCTTTCACATATATAATTTCACATAACCCTCACAGAAACTCTATGAAATCAATGTTGGAAATACTTTCTTAGTTTTTTTTTTTTTTTTTTTTTTTGAGATGGAGTCTCGCTGTGTCACCCAGTCTGGAGTGCAGTGGCACGATCTTGGCTCACTGCAAGCTCTGCCTCCCAGGTTCACGTCATTCTCCTGCCTCAGCCTCCCGAGTAGCTGGGACTACAGGCGCCCGCCACCATGCCTGGCTAATTTTTTTGTTATTTTTAGTAGAGACGGGGTTTCACCGTGTTGCCAGGATGGTCTCAATCTCCTGACCTCGTGATCTGTCCGCCTTGGCCTCCCAAAGTGCTGAGATTACAGGCATGAGCTACTGCACCCAACTTTCTTAGGTTTTAAACTTCTGTCAATGTTATCACTGTTTGATCTTTGAAAAACTGCTCTTGTGGGGGGGAATAGATGGGGAGCAGGAGGCCAGATAGTCTTATTCATGCTGAAGTTAACTTCCAATAGCAGTGTTTGTTTTACCTGCACAGCATCTTTGGATTTATTTGAGGGAAGCACCCTGTCCCCACCCACAGTGCAAGTTGCATCAATGGGATGGACTCCACCCTCTCTTCCTCCAGGGTTTTACACAGACTCAAGCCTGGTCGATGAGAGGACCCCATTTCCAGGGTGGTATTATAAAAGGTTCAGTGATCAGCACGACTCAAGCAAAGTGGAGAAGTAGCCTCAGGGATTTTGCTGGAGCTATTTGGAAAGAGGTACTTTCCTTGGAATTGTGAATGCCAAGAACCGTAATATAACTTCCAAGTGCCAGTAGGCTATTTGTCGCTGCAAGAGACTAAGAAAAGCACATCCAACAGAGAGGAAGCCAGAGCAGAGATGGAGGCGGACAGTCCTCGATCTATTAATAGCAAAGCATTTATCTCTAGTTTGACTCCATGGATTGCCCCAGATATGTGAACTTTGCTGACATGATGATTACGTGTTTCATGAATTGGTGGGAGTGGGAGGGAGGTGAAGCATGCACCTTTTTTGTATAGTTCACTCAATCTAAGGGATTTATAAACAGAGGTTACATCATGAAAAAAATAAAAAACAATTCAGTAAAAACATCTAATTTTTTGAGGTTTATAAGTGGAAACTACACAGTAGGACCAGATGCCACATTTTATATATATTACTACAGGGAATAGCCTTCTACCTTGTCAATGAAACTTATGGAGAGGGACAGCTCATATGGCTATGGGTCCCAAGACTGCCTAGTTGGGGCCCAGAAAGAATTACACAAGGAAGGGAAGAAAGCAGGCTTCCAACTTGAGTCATCTTCTGATAAACACATTTTTTTTTTTTGAGACAGAGTCTTGGTCTGTCATCAGGCTGGAGTGCAGTGACTCAATCTCGGCTCACTGCAACCTGCATCTCCTGGGTTCAAGCGATTCTCCTGCCTCAGCCTCCCTAGTAGCCACCACGCCCAGCTAATTTTTGTATGTTTAGTAGAGACAGGGTTTCACCATGTTGGCCAGGATGGTCTCGATCTCTTGACCTCATGATCCACCCGCCTCAGCCTCCCAAAGTGCTGGGATTACAGGCGTGAGCCACCGCGCCCAACCGATAAACACATATTTTTAAAAGTGAGAACACATCTAAGAAAATAAAAACTATGACAAATTTTCAATAGATAATTGATCTAGTTAATTGCCAATCAATTTGAATATTTAGTATTCTTACATTATCACTTTTATACTTTTGGGTGATATTACATTGTCTTCCCCCAAACCAGATATAATTGAAAAGTTACACAAAATAAGATTTTTATGACATTTTACCTAATTTTTTTTTTTTTTTTTTTTGAGATGGAGTTTCGCTCTTGTTGTCCAGGCTGGAGTGCAATGGCACTATCTTGGCTCACTGCAACCTCTGCCTCCCGGGTTCAAGTGATTCTCCTGACTCAGCCTCCCGAGTAGCTGGGATTACAGCCATGTGTCACCATGCCTGGCTAATTTTGTATTTTTAGTAGAGATGGGGTTTCTCCATGTTGGTCAGGCTGGTCTCGAGCTCCTGACCTCAGGTGATCTGCCTCCCTCAGCCTCCCAAAGTGCTGGGATTACAGGCTTGAACCACCGCACCTGGCCCATTTTGCCTAATTTTAACTGTGCTTTTTATACGAAGTTATTCCCTCCCTTTCACCCCAATTAGCCCTACTGAGTAGTGCCTATACCTGGCCTGGGGACTCAGTACTACTTGTTAGAAACTATCTTCCTCTACTCCTTAACCTTCTTGCAGATACTTGGGTTGCTGACGGTATCTCCCATCCCATCTCTCCAGAAGTTGTGAAGCCAGATGACCAGCTAGAAATGGGATTGGTATCCTGAATGATATGGAGATATTTTTTGGTTGGTCCTTCATTACATCTTAAAATATGCTTTAAAAAAGGAAGAATTTAAAAGCAATTTACAAAAGTTTCTGACAATACATATACAAACATCTTTATTGACAAGTGAGCCAATAAGGGCACATTTAGTTTACAGATAACCAAAAACATTTGAAATGCATAACATTAAAATTTCCAAGATTCATGTTGCAGTACAAACATGTGGCAGGTTAAACATCAGGCATAAAAAGGACAAATACTGAAACGCAAAGGGCCAGAGATCCCAAGTCGCTTAACACTATTTAAAATGTTATTCAACTGCAAACTTCAGCCTCTGGAACCATCCCAGATAGCTACTGGTTAAGTGATATGAAGTAGGAAAAAAGAAGGTTCTGGAAGGTCTCAAGGAGGCTGTGCAGAAAACAGCACCAGATGGAAGCAAGAGCAGAAAGAAGTCACGTCCCATCTTTATGACAAGACACAGAACAAGATGGTCACAGTTCTTCATGGGTAAACAAAAGATGTGGAAGACACAGCCAACCTTAAGTAACTTCTACTGACGGATGCTCTGGCACTTCTCTATGTAGAGAAGGAGAGAGAAAGAGAGCACCAAGCAGGAGTGGGGGACTCTATATTTATTGTCTGCCAGTTCTTTTATATGCATTGTCTTATTTAATCCTTATGACAACCTCATGAGAAGCCAATGATTTATTCCCTTTGTTGAAACCTAATACAGATAAAGAAACTGAGACTCAGAGTAGGGAGTTTTTCCAAGGTCACATGACTGCTTAGTGGGGATGGCAGAATTCAAACTCAACTTTGGAAAGCCCATGTTGGTCTTCTTTCCTTAGTCAAATTTTGGCTCTCAAATGAATTCCTCTTCACTCAAGAATTTGGCAAGTTTCAATAACTTGAATTCTCCTAACAATATATAGTAACATCCTAGAGGTAGGAGTATTTTGATGCAGCATTTCCCATCTCTTTTATTTTTCTGTCCCCAATTATCTCTCAGTACTTTTCCATTCCACCTAGTTTCTCTGACTGGTTTAAACCCTTTATCTGACTTGATGAATGCTCTGGAACAGGGGCCAAGAAAATATTTTCTGTAAAGAGCCAAACAGTAAATATTTTAGGCTTTCAGGGACATACAACCTACTATGGGCTATATCCCCATCAAAGTCATATAATGAAACTTAACTGACGGTATTACGAAATGGGGCCTTTTGGAGGTGATTAGGTCGTGAGGGTGGAGCTCTCATGAATGGGATTAGTGCCCTTATAAGGGGCTGAAGATACCAGAGCTCTCCCCTTCTACCATGTGAAGACACAGTGAAAGGTGCTTTCTATTAACCAAGAAGCAGACCTTCCCTAGACCCTAAATATGTTGACACCTTGATCTTGGACTTCCCAGCCTCCAAAACTGTGAGAAGTAAGTTTCTGTTGCTTATAAGCTGCTCTGTTTGTGATATTAAAGCCCAGAGGCACAACCTCCGCTGCAGCTACTCAGTTCTGACACTGGACACAAAGGCAGTCAAGGACAACATGTAAATGAGTAAGTGTGGCTGAGTTCCAATAAAATTTTCTTCTGAGAAACAGGTGGTGGGCCAGAGTTGGTCCATGAGTCCAGGCCACAGTTTGTCAATTCCTGCTCTAAACCATTAGTACTAAATACTAAGATGATAAAAGAGGTGAGTTCCTTTTCCTGTGTTTTCTTTTCTTTCTTTTTTTTTTTTTTTTTGAGTAATGATACAGTTTAGATCTGTATCCCCACCCAAATCTCATGTTTAATTGTAATCCCCAATGTGGGAGGTGGGGCCTGGTGCAAGGTGACTGGACCACGCAGGTAGTTTCTCATGAATGATTTAGCACTGTCCCCCTACTGCTGTCTCGTGATAGAGTTCTCATGAGATTTGGTTGCATAAAAAGTGTGTAGCACCTCCCCTCTCTCTTTTCCTCTTGCTCTAGCCCTGTGAAGATACCTGCTCTGGCTTTGCCTTTTGCCATGAGTAAAAGCTCCCTGAGACCTCCCCAGTCATACTTCCTGTACAGCCCATGGAACCATGAGCCAATTAAACCTTTTTTCTTTATAAGTTACCCAGTCTCAGGCATTTCTTTATAGCAGTGTGAGATTGAACCGATACAGACAACAATAACAAAAAGTAGATAAATATGAAGGCCAGAGAAATGGCAACTTCTTCACGAAGGGAAGCTGCTTATCCTCAAGCAAGTCAGTTGAGGACTATCCTGTGAGCTATTTTCCGTGCCTTGTTTTCCACTCATACAGGGAAGTATGCCCTGGTGTCTCACAGTTGCTTCAGTTCTTCTTTACTGGGACCCTAAATATAATAACACACTGAACCACTCAACTTCTCAGACCTTCAATATCCCTGGGGCTTTTTCTCAAATGGACACAGCATAGCTTTCAGAAAGCTGAATAATGTAGACAAAAGAAGTCTCCCTCACCCTTTGATTATGGAAAACCAAAGATTTATTCAGTGCCAAGGATAAGAAAGGAAGGACTTGATCAACAACCACTGTTAAGATTTTGACCCATTCACTACTTCACGTGAACTCCCAGGGAAATGGAAAATGAAAGAAGGTCTCCGCGGTAGAGGGATAACAATGACATAAATCAATGATGATGCCAGGCATGGTGGCTCATGCCTGTAATCCCAGCACTTTGGGAGGCCGAGGCAGGCAGATCACGAGGTCAGGAGATCAAGACCATCCTGGCTAACATGGTGAAACCCCATCTCTACTAAAAATACAAAAAAAATTAGCCAGGCGTACTGGCAGGTGCCTGTAGTCCCAGCTACTTGGGAGGCTGAGACAAGAGAATGGCATGAACCTGGGAGGTGGAGGTTGCAGTGAGCCGAGATCGCGCCACTGCACTCCAGCCCGGGCAACAGAGCAAGACTCTGTCTCAAAAAAAAAAAAAAAAAAAAATCAATGATGTACATAATCCATGTGAACGTAACTTAGAGTTGTCTGTAAATATTATACATCCCAGTTATGGTCATCAACATAGACAGCAGCTTGTTGAGGGAGGAAGGGAATTCTAAGGACTTTGAACCCAGCATTTTTGGTTTTTAAGGCTAATATAAAAGAAATTACACTCTAGATGAATTATACCATATGTGTATCTAGATCTCAAGGAGTAATAAATAACAACATTGTGTCTTCCTGATGATAAGGATGTAAGCCCTCAGCCTAACCTACCCAATAAGAATTTCCTTACAAAGTGAGAGGCTTACAACAAAGCTCTGACATAAACAAGAGAGGGGAAAACTGGATTTCACAATGTTCGTACTGCTACCTACTCTCAGGGACTTCTTGAATTTCCACAGATAGCTATTTGGGACGTTGGAGATTAAAATTTTGAAATCGCTGGCTAGATTTCATAATTATCAAATTAACGGACATAAAGAACCTGCTTATGGCTCAAAACTATGTATTACGCAAATGAAATTAGATGCATACAGAATTGGTCCTCACATGCATATTATGGATGCGCCTTCCACCTAAACACTCAAGTATTTAATACAGTGATAAAACCAACTTACATTTCTTCACATTCAGTAATTTTTCAGGGTTGCTCTTCAGTGTGAACTCTTTGATGTCTGATGAGAGATGAACTGCACTTAAAGCTTTTCCCACACTCATTACATCTAAAGGGTTTCTCTCCGGTATGAGTTCTCTGATGTTGAATGAGAGCTGATGAATGAATGAAGGCTTTTCCACACTCGCTACATTTGTACGGTTTCTTTCCAATATGAATTCTTTGATGTTTAGCAAAATTGGAGCTCCGGCTGAAGGTTTTCCCACATTCATTACACTCATAGGGTTTCTCTCCAGTGTGAATTCTCTGATGTTGAACAAGATGTGTGCTCTGACTAAAAGTTTTTCCACATTCACTGCATTCATATGGCTTTTCTCCAGTATGAACTCTCTGATGCTTAGTTAGGGATGAGCAATGGCTAAAGGCTTTCCCACATTCTTGACATTTATAAGGTTTCTCTCCAGTATGAGTTCTTTGATGTTTAATGAGTGCTGATGAATGAATAAAAGCTTTATCACATTCATTACATTCATAAGGCTTCACTCCAGTATGAATCAACTGATGCTGCACAAGATGTGTACTTCGATTAAAACCTTTCCCACATTCATTGCATTCATAAGGTCTCTCTCCAACGTGAATTCTCTGATGTGTTGCAAGGGATGAGCTTTCTGTGAAGGTTTTCTTGCATTCACTGCATTCAAAGAGAATTCTAGTATGAGTTCTCTGGTGTTTAGTTAAATTAGCTCTGTGGCTAAAAGATTTCCCACATTCATTGCAGGTATAGGGTTTCTCTCCAGTATGGACTCTCTGGTGTCGAATAAGCACTGAATGGTAGGTGAAGAGTTCACCACAATCATTACATTTATGAGGTTTTTTCTCTTTATAAGTTCTCTGCTTTTTCATTAAGTTTGATTTTTGTTTCAAGCTTTTTTCAAGTGTATGGAAGGCATAAGATCCTTTGGGAACTCTGTCTTCAGTGATAAGGACAGATTTCTGATTGAAGCTTTTCCAGTATACATCATGCTTATGGTCTGTTTCCTCAGAGAGTGAATTCATGTGAGTGAACATTTCTCTCAAATGTCTCTCCTGATTTCCTTGCTGATTCTCTAACCAATTTTCACATTCAAGGGCTGCTTCCAAGTTAGAGTCATAGACACTATTCCGTGTCAGTCTGTCTATTATTGCAACTTTGCATGATTCTGCTTTGGAAAAATCTTGCACTGAAGTTGAATCCTTGCTCTGTGGTCTAGTCTCCATGTCTGAAAGACATTGGAAATGCAAATTTCCTTCGTTTTCTGTGCTCAACAAAAAGGCAGTTCTGTAATAGGTAAGAGTTAATGAAAGTGAAAAGCATGCCTTCAAGGAGCAAGTGGATTTGACTCTTTCAGATGATTTGCAAAGAGAAACAAATGGAGGGAAACAAATGCTCAGACTATGCAGAGAAAATAAGTACATCCTATCCAGGAGAGTCGGAAGAGGAGAAAGATGACAAAAAATATAAGAGTAGAGATGCCAATGAAGCAATATATCCACAGATGAGCAGACAATGAGTACACAGATCAGGATGGGAAGAAATAACTTTTTATAGAATACCTACTTATTGTAATAAATTTCTAGGCACATAACCATCTTAATGTACAGTACAGTTATGGCTTCTAAATTTTCACTATTCCAATCCTACTCACATCCAAATATGTATTCCATTGCCAGTTTAATCTTCCTAACAATGCTTTTATAACATTTTGCTGATCAAAAACCTCCTATGATCTCCCAAAGGCATAATGACAAATATATGAAATGATATATGCATAAGGCTATTTGTTGAAGCACTAATTCAGGTAGCAAAAGACTGATAACATTTCACATATCCTACTATACAGAAATGATTGAACATATAGTGGATACAAACAATGGAGTACTATCCATCTCCTGAAAAAATAACAAAGATCTTTACATATTGCTATAAGGTGACCACCAGGATATATTAAGTTTAAAAGGAAAAAGCAAGCTATAAATAAGCACACACAGTTTGCTACTTTTTTATAAAGAAAAAAAAGGGGTACAAATACCTATACTGTTTGCTTACATTTAAAAAAAAATAAAAAAAGGATAAATGGAAAACCAATAAAAATTTGTACCTATAGGGAAAACATCAGAACATGGGAGAGAGGGCAGAGATGGAAGCTTAACCTCTCTAAATATATCTAATATAAATATAGTAGAATTTTTATATCCAATATAAAGCTAATTTATATAGAGAAAATATTTTAAGCACTGTAGTTCAAAGAAATAAACAGGAGTAAAATAGAAGAGCAAATACAGAAATAAAGTATATGTAAGAATTAAAGATAATATGAAGGTGGTATTTCAGTCAGTGAACAAAACATAGATTTGTTTTTCCAATGATGCCATGGCAACTGATTAACTATTAGAAGAAAATTAAGTTAGATGAGTCACTCATTTCATACACTCAAATAAATTATATTCATTCATCTATCTATTCATCTTCTATCCATTTTTTTCAACAAATATTTATAGAATATCCTCCATGTGCTAGGCTCTGAACTAGTCACTGGGAAAAAACAGTCACTATACATATAGAGGAAGAGAAAATTTAATCTAACATTCACGAGCAAAATCTGAATTGCAGTTTTGCCACTTACTAGCTGTGTGATACTGGATAAGTTATTTAACCTCTTTACTTCGGTTTCCTTATGTGTAAGAGAGGGCAATAACAGTATCCATCTTGCAAGGAATGATAGCAATAGCTACCTTAATGAGCATTAATGCAAATATCTATGAAGCATTTAAAACTCTGACACAGCATAAGTGCTACATTAAGTGCTTGTTAAATAAATAAAACATAAATTGACATAAGGCTTGTATAGGTAGGTAGAGGTAAAGATCCTCAAGTATGGTCCATGAATCCCTGGGAAACTATAAGTTCAAAACTGCTTCCAAAATAACATTTAGATGTTATTTGCCTTTTTCATTGTCTCAACATTTTCCATGATGTTGTAAAAGTAATGGTAAAATTGCTTACAACTTCGCACAAATCAACACAATGATACTAAACTTACTAGTAGTCCTTGTATTCTTCCCCATCATGTACTCTTGGTTTAAAAAAAAAAAAAAAGCCAGTTTTATTCAAAAATGTCTAAGGAAGCATAAACATTAATTTCATTGAATTTTAATCCTTGAAGTGCCTTTTTAATATTCAGGGTTAATGAAATAGGAAATATTCGTAAAGCAATTCTGTTTATACCAAAGAACAATGGTCATCTTGAGGAAATATACCATGCAATCATTTGAGTTGTGAGCTGAACCAGCCACTTGTTTCACAGACCACCATTTTACCTGAAAGGATGACTGAATGGCAAACTATGTTATCTAACTTGGGTATCTGGCAGACAGTTTCTCAAAAATGAACAAAGTGAACCTGTCATATCAAGGACAACAAATGAGTTTTTTATAAAATTTGAGCTTTCAGGCAGAAATTACAAGTTTTGGAAAACTTCTATTTACCACCGAGAGCTTGATGGCTTCCTAAAACTTAAAGGCTTTTCTGATAAGGTCAGTTGTGATACTAAAAGTTATAATATTCAAAAATATTGCACAATATAAAGTGTCAACAAAGAAGATCTGCACTTAGTGAACCAATATTGTCCAAAAGATTGATAGATTTCAATATATGAAAAATTTATGGATGTGGTTTCAGATTCTACATTGTACCTAATCTTTCAGAAAGTATCACTTGTTCAGTTTTGGAGCTGTTTCAAAGAAGAATAGCCATAATTACCTGAAAAGACTATAAAATACTCCTTCCTTTTCCAACTTGTATCTGTGTGATGCTGGATTTTCTCCATGCATGGCAACCAAAACAACATGTCATATCAAGTTGCATTCAGAAGCAGTTGTAAGAATATAGCTACCTTCTATAATGTCATACATTAAAGAGATTGGCAAAAGTGTAAAACAATGCCATACTTCTTAATAACATTTTTTGGTTAAAGAAAATAGATGTTTTTTAACAAAAAAATATACTGTGCTAACACGACATGTTTATAATTTTTTATTTCTATTTTTCTTTTAAGAGATGGGGTCTCACTTTATTGCTCAGGCTGGTCTCTAACTCCTGGGCTCAATCAACCCACCCACCTTGGCCTCCCAAGGCACTGGGATTACAAGTGTGGACCACCACACCCGGCCAATTATTTTTAAATGAATTAGCTAATAGCTTAAAATTTTTCTGTTTTAACTTGTAGTATAGTAACTATTGGTAGATGTAACCTACATAAATCAAACATCTTTAGGGTCTTTAACAATTTTTATAGTTACAGTAGGTCCTCTGATGCCAAAGCATTCAGAACTGCTACACTAGAGCACAGAGATGGAAGAAGAGTAGCTGTGAAATGAGGTTGGGATAATGAGTAAAAGCCAGATTTCACAAGATTTTGTAGACCTCCAGGATTTTGTCTGTTACCGTGAAGGCAGCGAGAAGCCATTCAAATGTTCCAAGCAGAGTGATGACAAGATGAGATTTGATTATGAAAATATCAGTCTCACTACAATGTTGAGAATGAAGTATATGAGGGCAAAGGCGGAATCACAAAGATTATCACAGTAATCCAGGAAAACAAAAAATATATGAAGGAAAATTAACAGTGAAGAAATACTTAGAATATAATTAGGTAAATACAGTGATTAATTGGATAAAGGAGAGAGGGGGTGATGTAAAGACTGTGCGTAGATTTCCACCACGTACAATTTGATGACAGTAAGTACCATTAAAACAATTACTGGAAAAGGATGCTGTTGGGGAGATGGGAAATTTAGACTTATTTTAGACATTCAGTTTTAAACATGTTGTATTGAAGTATCTTTGACATAAGCAAACAAAGGAATCAAATAGTTAAGATGTTGAGAACAGCCCTGAGGAGAGCTCTAGGATGGAAATACCAATTTGGGACTCATCTTGATAGAAGGTAACTGGTTGTGGGAATGATGAGACTAATGAAGTAGTAAGTAGAGGCTGCAAACAGTTGATCAGTTGGCCAAATCAGACCTTAGACACATTTTCTCTGGGCCACACTTTTTATACAAACTTTTAAAACTAGTTATACACAGTTAAAAATAGGGAGATTATTGCTGGACGCAGTGGCTCACGCCTGTAATCCCAGCACTTTGGGAGGCCAAGGAGGGCGGATCATGAGGTCAGGAGACTGAGATCATCCCGGCTAACACGGTGAAACCCCATCTCTACTAAAAATACAAAAAAATTAGCCGGGTGTGGTGGCGGGCACCTGTAGTCCCAGCTACTCAGGAGGCCGAGGCAGGAGAATGGCGTGAACCCAGGAGGCAGAGCTTGCAGTGAGCCAAGATCGCACCACTGCACTCCAGCCTGGGCAATAGAGCGAGACTCCATCTCAAAAAAAAAAAAAAAAGCCGGGGGGGGGGCAGATTACAGATAAATGCAAATTTAGAGTTTCTCTCTTGAAAAAAACTGGAAGCGTACTGAACAACAACCACCATTTAGAGCAGGGATTGGCAACTACAGCCTGCTGCCTACTTTGCTAAATAATTTTTTACTGGAACATACCCATTCATGTATGCATTTTCTAGGGCTGCTTTCATACTACTGTGGAAGATCGAATGGCTGCAGAGACACCATGTCCCACAAAGGGTAATTATTTATTGTCTAGCCATTTACATAAAAAGCTTGCCAGCCCTTGAGCTAGAGCCACTCCTTTCAGTTGAGGCCTGTACTCCTCTGGTTCACCAGTTTCCACCTTGCTTGCTTAACTCAGTGTTATTACCTCCTGGCCCATGTAAGTACTCAAGTTTATGACTCCAGGTATACAAAAGGAAGGGAGATTAAAATCAAATTTTGAGTAATTAGAATATTTAATTGTTCAAAAAAGAAGGCTAAGAAGATACACTCAGAGAAGTAAGAAGCAATTCCAAATGGATTAAGAATCTAAAGAAAAAATTAAAGAATATACTAGTAAACAGAGGCAAATATATATGTAACCTTGGATTAATGAAACACATTTTAAGCAGCACTGAAAAGGCAGAAAAAAAAAGATTATAAAAAATTAAACTTGAGGGCCGGGCGCAGTGGCTCACGCCTGTAATCCCAGCACTTTGGGAGGCCTAGGCGGGCGGATCATGAGGTCAGGAGATCGAGACCACCCTGGCTAACACGGTGAAACCTCATCTCTACTAAAAATAAAAAAAAATTAGCCGGGTTTGGTGGCGTATGCCTGTAATCCCAGCTACTCGGGAGGCTGAGGCAGGAGAATTGCTTGAACCTAGGAGGTGGAGGCCGCAGTGAGCCAAGATCGTGCCACTGCACTCCAGCCTGAGAGACAGAGCAAGACTCCGTCAAAAAAAAAAAAAATTAAACTTGTACATCAAAATGCATAGCAAAACTGAAAGTCAAAAACTAGAAAAAATATCTGTAACATAAGAAAAGGTAAAAACCTCATATATAAGGACCTCTTAACAGATCACTATGAAAACTGCAATACCCCAAAAAAGGGAGATGGGTGGTGAGTGGGTAAGTCACAGAAACTAATAGGTCTCTGGGGTGAAACAGATATATCCATAATCACGGAAAGATTTTTAAACTCTTTCAATATTCAAAAGTATAACTTTTTTAAAAATAATAATATCCAGGAAGGATTTTCTTTATGAGCTATATATAATACTAAGTATAGTAAATAAAACAGTCTGGTATTAGACATAGACAGACAAGTAAACCAGAGAGACAAGAAATAGAACTAAGTATGCTGAGGAACTGGGTTTACCACAGGTAGCATTACAAATCAGTAACATAAGATTATTCCATGAACAATGCTGGACTTATTGGCTTTCAGCATGGAAAAAGACAAAATTAGTTTTCCCATTTCATCATATACAAAAATAAATACCTGTAAAACAAAATTGAACATTTTGGAATAAAATAATCTTTCTGACACTGGGATAAAGTAGATAGACAATTCACAAAAAGCACTATTTAAAAAAAAAGTTTGTTATTAAAAATGTTTAATTCTATATGCCTAACACACCAGAAAATAAAATAAGCCAAAGATTAGAAGAACCAATTTCTTCTCACTGACTTGCAATGCTACTTCTGTCATAGATTAGTACCTAAAATATATGAAGAACTCCACCAAATCAAGAGAAAAGATATAAACAGCCCAATCTCAAAAAACAGGCAAAGGGTATCAACAGGTAACTCACAAGAAACTTGAATAGCCAAGTAACATGAAATGCTCAAACTTGTATTTATCACTCAGAGAAATGAAAATTTTAAAACATCATTTTGCATCCGTCAGATTGACAAAAATTAACAAGTCTGATAACTCAACTGTTGGCAGTTCCTAGTAAAGCTAAACATGTGATGATTTAAGACCTACTAATTCTTCTTCCAGTTATCTCCCTAAACCAGCTCTCAAGATGAACATAAGGAATCAAAAAAAGGATGATCACTGCAACTGCTAACAGAAAAAAAATAAACTGTTCAGTTTATTCATACAGTGGACTTATGACTCCACAGTAGTTAAAATGAATAACATAATTCATATATATTAACATAGATTAATATCGAAATACAATGTGAACTTTAAGAAATCAGACTACATAAGAAAAAGTGTAACAATAAAACATACAGATTGTTTTACATACATATGTATATATCTCTGTGTATACACACACATACAAAAACACCGAAATGATTCACACCAATTTCAAGATATAATGGTTACTTCTAGGGGAGAAAGAGAATAAAAGGGTTTCTTTTCTTTGCTTTTTGTTTTTTTTTTGAGACACAGTCTCCCTCTGTCACCCAGGCTGGAGTGCAATGGCATGATCTCGGCTCACTGCAACCTCTGCCTCCTGGGTTCAAGCAATTCTCCTGCCTCAGCCTCCCAAGTAGCTAGGATTACAGGTGCCTGTCACCATGCCCGGCTAATTTTTTTGTATTTGTAGTAGAGACGGGGTTTCACCATGTTGGCCAGGCTGGTCTCAAATTTCTGACCTCAGGTGATCCACCCACCTTGGCCTCCCGAAGTGCTGGGATTACAGGCGTGAGTCACCACACCCAGCTGAGAATAAAAGGGCTTTAACTGAATATGTAATATTTTTATTTCTTAAAAAATAAAAGACATCACACACCTCAAAAGGATGGCTAAAATGAAAACAAGCAATATTAAGTGTTGACAAGCATGTGGAACAACTAGAACGCACATACTCTGCTGCTAGGAATGTAATTGGTACAATGACTCTAGAAACCTCTTTGGCACTATCTACCAAAAGTGAGTATGTATCTATCCTCTGATAAAACAAGTCTACTTGTATGTATATATCCAGAAGAAATGCATATATTTGTTCACCAAAAGGCATTTAAAAAGTGTACATAGTGGCATTATTCAGACAGCTAAAAACTGGAAACTATCCAAATACTCATCTTCAGAAGAATAAACTGGGTATATTAACAAAACAAAAAATTATACAATGATAATGAATAAATTATGATGATATGCAGCAACAAAGATGTATCTCACAGCTAATGTGCAGTGAAGGAAGCCAGACACAAGAGTATATACAATATGATTCCATTTATAGAAAGTTCAAGAACCGTCAAAACTTGGTGCTATAAGTTAGGATAAGGTGACCCTTGGGAGAAGGGAGGGTCCTGAAACAGGGCACACCGGTGCTTCTAGAGGCGCTGGTAAGGCTATTTTCTTGATTTGGGCAATCGTTACATGAATGTGCTAAATTAGTGAAAATTCATCCAACTGTATAATTATTAGTTTTATATTGTAAGAAAAAGAAAGGAAGAAAGAAAAGAGGCAAACGAAGCAAAATATTAGTACGTGTCTAATCTCAGTGATGGATACATGAATGTTATTTTATTTTCTGGACTTCTGTATATATTTTAAATGCTTTAGAATTTTAAAAAAATTTAAAAATAAGGGCACACAGGCACTTTCTTAAGCACTGAAAAGTATTTCTTCATTGTCCTGCTGGGCTATCATTTATGAAGACTCCCATCTATCTGGCTCACCTGAATAGCTGCTTTTGGGGGCTTTTCTCTCAAGCTTCAATGGTTCTTTTCCATTCTCCAAGTTGTAGCTCTCAGGTTTGGAAACTGGAAGCCCTATTCATTTAAAAAAAGAAAAAGACAGAAAGAAGAAAGTAATGGGAGTAAGTTATTTGTGGAAGTTTTCTTCAAGCCAGTTGAATTGTTACATATTCCTTAGTGAATTCCAACTTTCTTTCTTTTTTTTTAATTTATAAAAATTTACTTTTTATTTTTTATTTTTAAAGTTAATGGGATCTCACTATATTGCCCAGGCAGGTCTCGAACTCCGGGGCTCAAGCTATCCTCCCACCTCTGCCTCCCTAAGTGCTGGGATTACAGGTGTGAGCCACCACGACCAACTTTCATGGCCACCGTCCTGCTGGACTTAGTTATTTGTAATGGGTATAAAGATCTAAACCGGAATATGGTCTCAACCTCTTGATCTACAAAGTATTACAGGAAGAGCTGAAGTAAGGGAGGGTGGACCTCTAAATGAAGCTTAAATATCTGCAGCAAGAGTCTGGGCCTGGTAAGGAGTTCAATTGGATTTGGAAAATACAAATATTTTCAACTGTCAGAAAAGAAAGGAATTTCTCTTTATTTCCTTATTGTGTGAGGAAACTTCAGAGAGATGTTGCAAATTAGTCCTTACCTCAGGAAAGGAGGAAAAAGCGGGACCTCAATGGCAGCACCACATAACTGTAACGGTGGTAACTGAAGTTTTATCTTCTAATGTTTTTCCTTTCCTTCTTCAGTTATTAGAAGTCACTTTCTTTTTTAATTTTTTTTTTTTTTTTAGACAGAGTCTTACAAAAAGGCTGGAGTGCAGTGGCGCAATCTCGGCTCACTGCAAGCTCCGCCTCCCGGGGTCATGCCATTCTCCTGCCTCAGCCTCCCGAGTAGCTGGGACTACAGGCGCCCGCCACCGCACCCGGCTAATTTTTTGTGTTTTTAGTAGAGATGGGGTTTCACCGTGTTAGCCAGGATGGTCTCGATCTCCTGACCTCGTGATCCACCCGCCTCGGCCTCCCAAAGTGCTGGGATTACAGGCGTGAGCCACCGCGCCCGGCCTCAGAAGTCACTTTCTTAGGGGATTTTTTTACATAAGGTTTGGGAGGGGCTAACAGTCCCCTCCACCCCTCATACAATCATATGCATGCATGTGTGTATGCGTGCATGCTAGTAAGCCCAGGATCTAAAACTGGCCACAGAGTACTCAATCTCGCTGGCTCTAGAGATTGTTTCACTGATGGGCCTGTGACCTTATTTGCTGAAACTCCCAGGAAAGAAGCATTTTCTTTTTTAGCTTTGCTATCTAACTGGAAGAATAACGTAACCCTGGGACTGCCACTGGCCATCTTTGCCACATGGGGAAATCCTAGGAATAAAGCTAATACAGAGCAAAACCAAGCTAATTGATTAAAAATAAATCAATGAATAAAGGAAATTCTTGATAATATATTTGGATCTCTGAAAAATCAAAATTTTTTTCCCCTTTAAGAGTGTGAGTTAAGTTTCTGTCACTTAAACCCAAAGAATACTGATACAAAACAAGCACAGACATTTCATCAAGAATCTAGAGCAAAAACAGATTTTCTACACAGGCCAAAAAGAATTAACACTTTTTGACTCCTGAATGCAAAGGTGAAGGCTTTGTTAAGCTATTTCACTTTCATTAAAGTAATGATGCTCCTATAAGCAGATTCCAGAATCACAATCCATTCTTACAAAGTGAGACTAGGTTCCTATAGTTCTCCAGCATCACATCCCTTTGTGCAGGATCCAGCTTCCCCCACTCCTCTGGTGTAAAGTCCATGGCCACATCCTTGAATGTCACTGTTTCCTAAAACATAAAATATTTTTTTCAACATCTTTCCCTTAATTACTTCTCTTTCATCCCCCAGTTTCTGCTGGCCCTGGAGCAAAAGCCTGAGATGCACTTAAGAGGGGAACTGACTATGATAAATGACAAGTATTCTAATGGTCGTCAGATTCGGAGTATTTTATGTAAAGGGTAACTATCAATTATGTACCAGGCATATTATGCTAGATTCAATATGAGAACCAAAAGATGACCCTGGTTTCTCCATTGAGAGACTACAATTTTTCTGGGGAATAAAGTATTAAAATATGAACCAATAAGTCAACAATGTAGTTTGATTAAAGTAAAATATCAGCAGAGGGAAAAAAAGTCACGTCTACATAATGCTTCTCTGAGTCCTCAATAAAAAATTGAAGAGTCAATCTAGCCAATCACAAGACGAACTGCAATACAGAACTTGTAAATGGAGAAGTCACGGAAAGAAAAGACAGCAAAAAACCAATCCAGTTAAACATGAATTAATTCAAGGCAAAGAGCATTAAATTGGAAAATGGCTCCAATTTATGAGATACAATTCATAAATATTTAGGTATAAAATATCGTAAGATTATACTTCTATAAGACAAAAAATACAAAAACCATAAGGAGATAGATACATATCTGCATTGAACATGCACCTTTAAGTAAACCCATAGACAACAGGAATAATATTTCAAGGTTACTGAAATAAATATGAATCAAATGCTCTAACTGGATGGAAAACACCTACTGTTTAAACATTCATGTAGCATTTGCAAAAAGTAACAAAGTAAATTTCAATACATTCCAAAAATAGAACGGAATAATTTATAATAACTGAGAAAATATATCAAAATATGAAAATAATGAAATAAAATAGGAAAAAAAATGCCACATGGCTAAAACTGTACTCAGAGGAAATTTTGTAGCTTTAAACACTTCCATTTCATTTTTTTAAAATGTAAATAAATGACCAGAGCACAAAAATCAAGTTAGAACAAAAAACAAAGGAAAAGAGAAATATTTACAATATAAAAGCAGAAATTTTAAAAAGAGAAAAATAAGACAGCTGGAAAAATCTGAATAAGGTCAGTAGGTTATAGTATTATGCCAATGTGAATGTCCTGATTTTGAAAAAATAATAATAAAGCAAAGTAAAATATAAATTTTTGCAAAATCTGGGTGAAGCATATACAAGTTCTTTGTGCTATTTGCAACACTTCTTATGTCTAAAATTATCTCAAAGTAAAGCTACTATGCGGAAAATAATCTAAGATTTAAGAAATAAGAGAATTAAGTGCTGCCGGGCACCGGGGAGGCAGGTTGGTGTACGCTGTGCGCGGCGGACGTCAGAGGCAGCGGGGAGCGGAGCGGGGCCGCCGGGGCCTCTCCAGGGCCGCAGCGGCAGCAGTTGGGCCCCCGCCCCGGCCGGCGGACCGAAGAACGCAGGAAGGGGGCCGGGGGGACCCGCCCCCGGCCGGCCGCAGCCATGAACTCCAACGTGGAGAAACTGCCCCCGCACATCATCCGCCTGGTGTACAAGGAGGTGACGACACTGACCGCAGACCCACCCGATGGCATCAAGGTCTTTCCCAACGAGGAGGACCTCACCGACCTCCAGGTCACCATCGAGGGCCCTGAAGGGACCCCATATGCTGGAGGTCTGTTCCGCATGAAACTCCTGCTGGGGAAGGACTTCCCTGCCTCCCCACCCAAGGGCTACTTCCTGACCAAGATCTTCCACCCGAACGTGGGCGCCAATGGCGAGATCTGCGTCAACGTGCTCAAGAGGGACTGGACGGCTGAGCTGGGCATCCGACACGTACTGCTGACCATCAGGTGCCTGCTGATCCACCCTAACCCCGAGTCTGCACTCAACGAGGAGGCGGGCCGCCTGCTCTTGGAGAACTCCGAGGAGTATGCGGCTCGGGCCCGTCTGCTCACAGAGATCCACGGGGGCGCCGGCGGGCCCAGCGGCAGGGCCGAAGCCGGGCGGGCCCTGGCCAGTGGCACTGCAGCTTCCTCCACCGACCCTGGGGCCCCAGGGGGCCTGGGAGGGGCTGAGGGTCCCATGGCCAAGAAGCATGCTGGCGAGCGCGATAAGAAGCTGGCGGCCAAGAAAAAGACGGACAAGAAGCGGGCGCTGCGGCGGCTGTAGTGGGCTCTCTTCCTCCTTCCACCGTGACCCCAACCTCTCCTGTCCCCTCCCTCCAACTCTGTCTCTAAGTTATTTAAATTATGGCTGGGGTCGGGGAGGGTACAGGGGGCACTGGGACCTGGATTTGTTTTTCTAAATAAAGTTGGAAAAGCAAAAAAAAAAAAATAATAATAATAATAAGAGAATTATTCCCTTAAGATAAAATAATATGTAAAAATCACTAAGTAGCCCCTAAGTAGAAAAGACATTATGAGGAAAAATGAACCTTAGCCTAGAATCTGCATATACATAACTAAATCCACATTCAGTGGAGATTAAGTGCCCAAAAATTAGAAGAAAAAGCCAGAACAACAAAAATGCAAACCATTGCACAAACAGCAGGAAAACTACAAAAGAGGAAACAATAAAGCACAGGAAACAGAATTATAAAAATCACATGGCAATAAAAGTTTGAAACACATGTATTATATGTGAATGAGCAAATTTCCCTTATAAAAAGGTTTTTTTAAAAAGCCACATCCTATATACAGAATAGGCCATCCAAACAAAATATTATTGCTGGGTTGGGTACTGGTAGGTAGATGGAAGGAAATATAGTATACCATATGTCTGAATACAGTAGTGCAAGTACAACAAAAAATGTGAAAAAATATACATAGTAGAGAGAGGCAGGGACTGAATTTGAGGGGGAAGTAGCATTACCTTTACATTTCTGTATGTCTGTGTTGTTCACTTTATTACATTGAAGAACTAAAACTTTTAATATTTTTAAAAATCTAACAAATCAAAGGTAAAAAATAGCCCAGGCAAATTCTAACAAGAAAAAAAGCTCCAATATTGCATTTTTAAAATCTAATAAAATGCACAAAGAACAAAGAGAGTTTTAAAAATTTTCCATAATAGGTTCAATCACCTTGATGCTGTTAACAGTGTTGAATCTGATATCAAAGTATTGAAATATATATTCACGCTTCTGGTACCAGTGCCCTAATTTTCCCCTAGCTACTATGCCTGGCCACTTTGAATCTGTGTAGCTCAGGTAGTACTGACGCCATCTCTGATTCATGGGTGGGATGTTTGTGCGTGCACGCGCATGTGTATGTGCGTGTGTGTGTAGGTATATTCTATAAAGAATTACACTTAAATTTGGCCAATATCTCATCCAGGAATGGGCCTAATACCCCATTAGAGTCAATCCCAGCACTTCTGCAAGAATGACTAGAAGAGAATCTGCCCTTTTTCTCTGGCCTTCAACACAGGAAGATGTAAGCCTAAACTCGTTAGAGGCCAACACTAGGAGAAAAACTTGTTTGGCCATAAAACCCATGGAGAGAAAAGGTCAGTAAAATGAAGAATTAGGTTTTAACATTCTTGTTTGAGCCCTATATGTAGCCAGACCTAGATTTTTCAGTTTGTTAGTCAATAGTTACTTCTTTTCACTTAGACCCATTTGAATTGACTTTATCAGCTGCAACTTAAAGCTTCTTGACTAATAAAGTCTTCAAGACTAATGTAAGACAGTTGAGAAGCCAATGGAGACAGGCAAGTACATAAAGGAAGTGACTTTTACAAACACTATGAACGTGCAGTATCTACTTTTTACACCTTGGATTACAGAAGCAAAGAGAAAGGCTGATTGAGGAATCTCTGGGTTGTGGTATGCCACACACATCATGGAAAGCTCCTTTTTTCCTCCTCAACTTCTTTTTTTTTTTTTTTTTGAGACAGTTTCACTCTCACCCAGGCTGGAGTGCAGTAGCCCTATCTGGGCTCACTGCAACCTCTGCCTCCTGGGTTCAAGTGATTCTCATGCCTCAGTCTCCGGAGTAGCTGGGATTACAAGTGCGCACCACCAAGCCCAGCTAATTTTTGTATTTTAAGTAAAGACGAGGTTTCACCATGTTGGTCAGGCTGGTCTTGAACTCCTGACCTCAGGTGATCTGCCCGCCTCAGCCTCTCAAAGTGCTGGGATTACAGGCATGAGCCACCGTGCCCAGCCCTAACTTCTTTTAATAAAAGTTTCAAACATACAAAAGTTGAAAGATGAATGCAATAATCACTGATATAGTACAATCACCGCCTAAATTCAAAAATTCTTTTTTTTTTTTTTTGAGACAGAGTTTCCCTCATTGCCCAGGCTGGAATGCAGTGGTGCGATCTCGGATTACTGCAACCTCCACCTCCTAGGTTCAAGTGATTCTCCTGCCCCAGCCTCCAGACTAGCTGGGACTACAGGTGCGTGCCACCATGCCTGGCTAATTTTTTGTGTTTTTAGTAGAGACGGGGTTTCACCGTGTTAGCAAGGATGGTCTCAATCTCCTCACCTAGTCATCTACCTGCCTTGGCCTCCCAAAGTGCTGGAATTACAGGCATGAGCCACCACGCCCAGCCAAACATTCGTAATATTTGTCATATTTACCTTTTGGGAGAGAGGGGCCAACAATATAAAAGTAAGTTGCAGACATGATCATACCTTAGCTTTCATCATCTCAGAGGGCTGGATTCTAACTGTAACTCTTTAAATTACGCCTTCATAGGCTTTCCTTTTCCAGTATTTCTTTGAACTATGTGAGTATTTATTATTTTTACAATCACTTCAGCATTTAAGTGCTTTCTTAGATTGCCACTTAAGGTCACATACATGCTGTTTCCTCTAGAGAAACAAGTTTTAAGAGGTATGTACCACATTATATTTAAAATAGTTTCTCACATTACCAAGCACAGAAATGAGCATAGGAGGCTAAGAAAGGGAAATGCTGCTTACCTATCTGTTGAGGGACAATAAACACTAAATAGGGAAGAAATCCATCCAGTGTTATAAGTAGAAAACATTTTCTTCTGAGTCCATTAGTCTCCTGACTAGTCTCTTAGATTTAGAACTCAGCTCTGCAGATGGGCTTTAGTGGATAAAGAAACTCCACATCACAAAGAAGGGAGTGCATCTGTACTCTAAGAAACAAGGTGTAATTCCAATAATCAGCACTCACTCACCTGGGATCTGGCCGTGAGGCGCAGAGCAGCCACTTCTCCCTCTTCTGTGCTCTTCTCTTGGAAATGGGGAGAATCCTGGGAAGACAGAGCTAACGACAAGAAAGCAGTAATGATGAGACCTAGGCTTAACGTGCCACTCAGATTTAAAGTCTAAAAACCACTTCAACATACTATATGTGCTGCCTACAAACACTGAGACTGAAGGTACCCCCAAAACAACCGACCTCCTCCCAGGACCCTCTTCCCGGGATATGCGGGAATATTGCTACTCTGGGCTCGAATTCAGTTGCTATAATCATAACACATTCTGTAAGATGGCATCCTCTGATCTAGAAATTAGAATATGTCAGTAAATTTCCCAGTTTAATCTATACTCGTTGGTTCTCACTCTGAAAGCTTATTTATAATGTAGATTGCTGGACCCCACCTCAAAGTAATAAGCATTAGTTGAGCCTGGGGTACAATCCAGAAATCTAACAACCACCCCAGGGGGAATTCTGGTGTAGGAGGTCACAGCACAACCTTCATGAAACTGGTCAGGTAGAATGGAAGTCAGTCATTAACTACTACGCCTGTTTTCTCCTATGTAAAACAAAACATTTTTGACAACCAAAGAGGTGAATTCTTGCCATAGAAGTTAACATTTCACTCACATTTTGGGGGTAGCTTTGAAGGGTCCACTGTGTGCCCAGCTGCCATGGAAAGGGCGGTGCTCCCATACCAAGCCCTTCAGTCTCACTTAAAAAGCCCATCCATCCCCAAGACAATGGAGACAGCCAGCCAAGAGCCACCTCCCCTGAGCCAACCGTTTTCCCTTCAGGAGCAGGAATTTCGTCCTTCCACGCTACAAGTTCAACACGTCCGCAATTCTCACCTCCTTTCTCAGGCATTTCAGCCAAATCTGTCTCCATGATCACCACCTCCTCCTTGTTCTGGAGATTCTGCTCTTCACCCCAATTCAGATCTCCCTGGCCAGACGAGTTAGAAGCCCCCCGGGCCTCGTGGTCCCACTTCCTGCCTTCCCTCCTGGGCTCTGATGAAAGGCCTGGGTTAGATCGGGTCTCTTTCTCACCGTGGAGTCTGCCTCAGTCCTACGGCGCTGGAGCCTGGAAGCCCGGGGACAGCATCCCTGAGGCTGGGTCCTCAGATGTCTGTCCCTACCGCTTGAAGCTGTCCCTGGGGGAACCGGGCACCTGGAAGAGGTGACGCTGGGGCATCAGGAGTTTGGACAAATTCTGCCGCGCTCGGGGCACTGGCCCAGAACCCCGCGACCACCCCGCCCGTGGCACAACCGCGTCCCCCGAGGAGAGGATCAGGCCAGAGTGAGAAGGGACAGGGCTCATGGTCTGCCCTCGAGGCCCCTTTAACAAACGCGCACTCTAGCCCCGACTCGGCACAGAACGACCCGGGGAACCACCGCCGAGGCCGAGCCGAGACGAGCGACATCACCACAAGCAACTCACCTCCCATCCCGGGCCTCACAAAGGGGACGAACTTCTTTGGCCAGCTCGGAGTCGCGCATGCGTAAGAAGGAGCGGAGCCAGGCGTGCTGCCCTCATCCCGCCCGGAACTACAATTCCCAGAAGCGCCTTGGCATCGCCAGACTCCGGTTCTCCGCAGGTGGGAGCACCCGTGGTGCGGCTGGGAGAATCGGACGATCGAAGAGCTCCGTCCGTCTCGCGAGAGTATGAGGCAGCATCTCCTGTGTCTAATCCTCAGAGCAAGGGAGGGAGGGAGCAGCGGAGACGCGGACCGGAGTCAGGGTCCGTCCCCGCGCTTTGTCTGCACAAGTTCCTGCGGCACAGTGCTTAGGGCTGCTGAGTTCAACCCAAATTACTCCGGTGTAAGATACGTTAAAATACATAGCTTTTATCCATATTTTGTGCGCCCAGAACTCATCCTTTTGCTTTCAAAACATACGAAGGATGTTTTTAGGAAGAGCAGGTCCCTCTTTGTACACTCAGTCAGATGTTCCTGTATCCACAGACTACTTGTAATCCTAAAATTCATGTATTTAAAATGAGTTGAAAAGATTGAACCTGTTGTAACAAATTTAAGCAATAGGTTCTTTGCAGACATAAGCATTAGTTTAAACATATCATAAAAGGTGGTTCTTTCAAGGGAGAGTTATTCAGTCTCTCCAATTCTGTTAGAGGACTAACCCATCCACCTCCAGCTTCGTGTCTAGACTGCCCTCCTTTTCTCAGTGAATGACATTACTGCCCACTCACTCATTTGCACAAACCAGAGCCTGAATATTCTTAACTCTTTGATCTCACCATCTATTTATCACCAAGTCCTATTCATTGTATCTTAAATAACTCAATTGTTTCCATCTTTCTCTATTCTCAGTAGCATTACCTTAGTTGGGGCCACCACCATTTCACTAGGATTGCCGTTGCAGCCTGGTAACTGGATTCCCTAACTAAGGTTTTCTCTACCACCAATCTGTTCTCCACACTTTCTGGCTAGTGCTCTTTCTAAAACAAGAATATGCTATTACTTTAGTGCTTCAAACCGTTCAGTGGCTTTTAGAAACTTCAAGGAAAGATGATTTCCAGCTCCCAGAAGGGATTTGTAACTCCCATTATCTCAGCCACCTGGTAGTTACACCTTTGTGCAATCCCCTCTTGTGTATGGACTGGGACTTGCTTCTAACCAATACAGTGCAATAAAGGTGACATAAAAGTCTAACGTGTGTCTTGCTAGGAGACTCCTCTCTTGCTGGCTTTGATGAAGTGGTGGTGATGTTGGGGAGGCCCATATGACAAGGAACTGAGGATGGCCTCCAGCCAATAGCCTGCAAGAACCGAAGGCCCTTGGTCCCACAACCTGCAAGGAGCTGAACCCTTTGGACAGCTCTGTGTGCTTGGAAGTGAATCATTGTTTGTAGAGTCTTCCCATGAGAACCCTGTCTTGCCTGACATCTTGATAGCTGGCTGCAAAGGACTCACTTAAGCTGTGCTCAGACTCTCACCCATAGAAACTATGAGATAATAAACATGTGCTATTTTGGACCACTGAGTATGTGGTCATATTGTTATGCAGGAAAATTTAACTAATTCCACTTTCTAACATAAAACAGGATCTTCTTTGTCAAAATCCAATCTGGGAATTGTCTGGAAGAGGGAAATTGTTGGATTGAGCAACTATTGAAAAGTTTATTTGAAACCCACAGGAAGACAAATGGCTACAGTCGGTCCTAGGAGGTGTGTGGCCTGTACACATACTTTTAAAAAGCTATCCTAAGAATGATAAAGGAGGAGACAGGAAATATCAAGCAAGAACTTGTCATAAAAATAAAAACAACGAAACTGTGTGTCAAAATATGATGGTTAATACTAGATTGGATAGCAGAATGTGTAAAATTGAAAAGTGAATATCTACAATATTCTAGTGAAGCTACAATATCAGGCTAGGGAACTCTACACTTCCAGAAGATACCAGGAAGGGAGAAAAAGTTGAAAAATACGAAAGAAATATTAAGCAGTATGGAAGCTGACTAGACTTTATGAGAATCCATAAGGAAAGAAAAACAGAGAGGAGGAACTATTTTAAGAAATAATCAAGAATTATGGAAAAATAAAAAATTAAAGACTTCATATTGAAATTATTGATAGAGAGTCAAACAAAATTATGAAAAGACACCACATATTACGGTGAAATCTAACGAAGAAATTCTAAAGCCTACCAGAAACAAAACATAGATCACCTACAAAAGAAAACAATCACAATTAAAAAAAAAATCCTCAGTGTTAAAAACAGTGCCTGGAATAGTACCAGGTAGTGCCAGATCTCCATCAGCCTGGACAGTGGGAACTAACTGGTGCATTCCCCACACTTACCTTCCAGTGGGTTGCTGTTGAGAGAACCTGAAAAAACCTAAACCTCAGCCGGGTGCAGTGGCTCATGCCTGTAATCCCAGCACTTTGGGAGGCTGAGGCGGGCGGATCACAAGGTCAGGAGATCGAGACCATCCTGGCTAACACGGTGAAACCCCGTCTCTACTAAAAATACAAAATATTAGCCGGGTGTGGTGGCAGGCGCCTGTAGTCCCAGCTACTCAGGAGGCTGAGGCAGGAGAGTGGCGTGAACCTGGGAGGTAGAGCTTGCAGTGAGCTGAGATCGCGCCACTGCACTCCAGCCTGGGGACAGAGTGAGACCCCGTCTCAAAAAAAAAAACAAAAAAAAAACCCTACACCTCTACAGCAGGTCGAATTCATGACCTGAAGCTGAATACTTCCAGCATATTTTTCCCAGTAGATAGGAATAAAGTATCTTTGCAGTGCTCTGTTCCCTCCGTCTCCCTAAACATCTGACACCCTAAAAGCCATCCAGCAGCTATGGACCCTGAGCGACACGTTGATTTGTGTTGTCACCTGACCAAGCCTAAAGACCTCCAGCTCAGTCCCCGACCTTCATCCCACCCCCCAGATGATAAAATTCAGACCTCTCTCCTGAAAGGCAGAGGTTAAACATTCAGGACTGTTTCTGGCCGAGGACTTCTTCCAATTAAAACCCCCACCGTGGGCTGTCTCCCCTCATTTCATTTTTCTAAAGGGGCAGAGGCCTCTTTTAGAAAATAATAAAATTCAATGTGTGTGATTTACTTTTCTGATCTCTTTGAGAAATACAGGAATATAAAAGTATGTTCTTAATTCCAGAACACTCTTTTTGCATAAATACCTCATTGGGCAGCTTTCTAAGTGTGATTTTCCTGAGTCTCCCTTCGTTGGATCTGCCGGAAGACGAGTCAGGGAACCTTTAGTGAGGGTACTTCTTCCTATTTTTCTTCTGTTTTTGGAGGCATACACATTATGCATAACCAAAACAATGGCTCAATTGTGTTTAACTTTGTATTTTGATTGTTGAGAAGAAAAAAAGGTATCGACGTGAAAAAAAAAACAGTGCCTGGCATTTTGTGGCTTCTCAACAAATAATAATTACATAAATAAATCTGATTTGTCAATAGCAGGACTGATTACAAGAAGAAAATGTAATATTGATAAATAATATTTGTACATATTTATGGGGTACATGTGATATTTTGATACATGCAAAATACATGTAATAATCAAGTCAGGGCATTTGGGATATTCATCACCTTCAATATTTATCATTTCTTTGTGTTGGGGAAATTTGAAATGTTCTTTTCTAGTGATTTTAAAATATACGATATATTGTTGTTAACTGTGTTATTAAAGATTCTAACTTATTCTTTCTATCTAACTGTGTGTTTGTACCTGTTAATCAACCCCTTTTCATCACCCTCCACACCCTTCTCAGCCTCTGGTAATCATCATTCTATTCTCTACCTCCATAAGATGAACTTTATTGGCTGCCACATATGACTGAGAACATGCAGTACTTGTCTTTTTATGCCTGGCTTATTTCACTTAACATGATGACCTTCAGTTACATCCATCTTGCTGCAAATGATAGTATTTCATTTTTTATTATGGCCAAATAGTGTTGCATTATGTATATATATCACATTTTCTTTATCCAGTCATCCATTGATGGACACTTAAGTTGCTATTGTGAATATGGCTGCAATAAACATGGAAGTGCAGGTATCCCTGTGATATACTCATTTCCTTTCCTTTGGATAAACACTCAGTCATGGGATTGCTGAATCATATGGTAGTTCTATTTTCAGTTTTTAGGCCGGGTGTGGTGGCTCACGCCTATAATCCCAGCATTTTGGGAGGTTAAGGTGGGTGGATCACTTGAGGTCACGAGTTCAAGACCAGCCTGGCCAATATGGTGAAACTCCATCTCTACTAAAAATACAAAAAAGAAAACATTGGCCAGGTGCAGTGGCTCACATAATCCCAGCACTTTGGGAGGCTGAGGTGGGTGGATCACTTAAGGTCAGGAGTTTAAGATCAGCCTGACCAACGTGGCAAAACCCTGTCTCTACTAAAAATACAAAAATTAGCCAGGCATGGTGGCACATGCCTGTAATCCCAGCTACTCGGGAGGCTGAGGCAGGAGAATTGCTTGAACCCGGGAGGCAGAGGTTGCAGTGAGCCCGGATTGTGCCACTGCACTCCAGCCTGGGTGACAGAGTGAGACTCTGTCTCAAAATAATAATAATGATAATAAACAAACAAAAAACAGAACAAAAAAAACTATCTGGGCATAGTGGCATGCACCTGTAATCGCAGCTACTCAGGAGGCTGAGGCAGGAGAATCGCTTGAACCTGGGAGGGGGAGGCTGCAGAGAGCCAAGATCATGCCACTGCACTCCAGCCTGGGAGATAGAGCGAGACTCCATCTCAAAAGAAAAAAAAAGGCTGGGTGTGGTGGCTCACGCCTGTAATCCCAGCACTTTGGGAGGCCGAGGTAGGCGGATTACCTGAGGTCAAGAGTTTGAGACCAGCCTGGCCAACATGGTGAAACCCCATCTCTACTAAAAATACAAAAATTAGCCGGGCGTGGTGGCACACACCTGTAATCCCAGCTACTCGGGAGGCTGAGGCAGGAGAATTGCTTGAGCCCGGGAGGCGGAGGTTGCAGTGAGCTGAGATCATGCCACTGCACTCCATCCTGGCCAACAGAGTGAGACTCTGTCTCCAAAAAAAAAAAAAAGAAAAGAAAAGAAAGAAAAAAAATAGTTTTGCTGTATATAGTACCCTGGGCCGATCAGCATAAAAAAATACACGTTCACAACCATAAAAAATGGATGGGAGGTGGGGAAGAAACAGGTGTGGGTTTTAATAAATTAGGTACAAGCACCAGGAGAATAAAAATAGGATGTAAAATATTCAAAGTGACTGGCCGGTGCATGGCTCACGCCTGTAATCCCAGCACTTTGGGAGGCCAAGGCAGGTGTATCACCTGAGGTTGGGAGTTTGAGACCAGCCTGACCAACATGCAGAAACCCCGTCTCTACTAAAAATGCAAAACTAGCCAGGCATGGTGGTGCATGCCTGTAATCCCAGCTACTTGGAAGGCTGAGATAGGAGAATCACTTGAACCTGGGAGGCAGAGGTTGCAGTGAGCCAAGATCATGCCACTGCACTCCAGCCTGGGCAACAGAGTGAGACTCCATCTCCAAGAAAAAAAAAAAAAAAGAAAAATGAAAAGAAGTGATTATTCCATGGAAACTGAGAGAAGAGGAATAGAAGAAACAGAAAGTATGGAAAAGAGAAAACACAACCCTGTCTCAAAAAAAGAAAAGAAAACACAAAATAAGACCTATAATATAATTTATCACGATAAATGTAAATGGGTCAAACTTATCTATCAAAAGGCTGAGAATCTCCATTTGGATTAAAAACTAGTAAGTAGGGCCAGACACGGTGGCTCACACCTGTAACCCCAGCACTTTGGGAGGCCGAGGAGGGTGGATCACAAGATCAAGAGATCAAGACCATCCTGGCCAACATAGTGAAACCCTGTCTCTACTAAAAATACAAAAATTAGCCAGGCATGGTGGTGGGCGCCTGTAGTCCCAGCTACTCAGGAAGCTGAGGCAGGAGAATCACTTGAACCCGGGAGGTGGAGGTTGCAGTGAGCTGAGATGGTGCCACTGCACTCCAGCCTGGTGACAGAGCGAGACTCTGTCTCAAAAAAAAAAAAACAAAAAAACTAATAAGTAAAAAAAACAAAATGCAGCATTATTTTTTTTCAAAACATACATTGGAATTCAAGCAAAACAAAAATATTAAAATCCAAGTTATTACAAAATATAAACCAGGCTAATATGAACAAAAAATAGCCAGATAACAATGTTATTATTAATAAAATTAAATTTGGTTGGGTGCAGTGGCTCACAACTGTAATCCCAGCACTTTGAGAGGCTGAGGTGGGAGGATCACAAGGTCAGGAGTTTGAGACCAGCCTGGCCAACATAGTGAAACCCCATTTCTACTAAAAATACAAAAATTAGCTGGGCGTGGTGGTGGGTGCCTGTAGTCCCAGCTACTTGGGAGGCTAAGGCAGGAGAATTGCTTGAACCTGGGAGGCGGAGGTTGCAGTGAGCCGAGATTGCACCACTGCACTCCAGCCTAGGCAACAGAGCGAGACTCCATCTCAAAAAAAAAAAAAAATTAAACTCAAGATTAAAAAAACATTATAATGGACAAAAAATGGACATTATTTTGTAAAATTTGAGAAGAGGTATGACCTATTGTATTTGACCTTATTTTTACTTTTTCTATTGTTCCTTCCTTGCTTCCTGATACTCCATGATACTTTCATTTATTATATTCTTTTTGTTTAGAGAAATTCCTTTAACCATTCCTTAAGGCTAAATCTGATAGCGACAAATTCTTGTAGTTTACATACATTTGAGAATGATTGGATTTCCTCTTCATTCCTGAAGGATAATTTCACTGGATACAATTCACAGTTTGCAGTTCCTTTTCTTTTTTTCTTCAAGTTGACAGCACTTAAAGAATGTGTTATTTGTTTCTGGACTTCATGATTTCAAACATGAAACCTGGTGTCATCAAATTGGTGTTCCCCTGGATGTAATGGAAACATTTCTGTCTGCTGCTGTTAATAGTTGTTTTATCTTTAGTTTGCAGCATTTTAATTATGATGTGTCTTGGTAGGAATTTATTTGACTTTATTTGGGGTTTGTTCAGCTTCTTGAATCTGTAAGTATATGTCTTTCATAATTTGGAACATAAACCAGATTTGGGAAATTATTTTCTGCTTTTTCTTTAAATATTCTCAGTCCTACTCTTTTTTTTCTCTCCTGGGACTCTGATGTTAAGATTCCTGGATCTTGTGTCATTGTCCCAAAGAAAGGTCCAGAGGCTGTGTTCATTTATTTTTAGTCCATTTTCTTTTTGTTGTTCAGATTGGGTAAATTACAGTGATCTCTCCTCAAGTTCCCTGGTTCTATTATTTGTCATCTCCACTCTACTATCAAGCCCATCCAGTGAGTTTTAAATATTTTAGTAATTGTATATTTTTAATTTCATAATTTTATTTTGGTTCTTTTTTTATAACATATTTCTTTGCTAAGATTTTTTATTTTTTCATCAGTTTTAAGAAAATTTGTAATTTCTTACTGAAACTGTTTTTTATGATGGCTGCTTTAAACCCTCATGACAAGATGATTCCAGAATCTGATTCTTCTCACTATAAGCATTAGTTGATTGTCTTTTGTCTTTCAAGTTGTGATATTCCTATTTCTTGGGATGATGGGTAATTTTGGATTGATTTCTGGATATTAAGACACTTTGGGTTCTATTTAAATCTTTCATTTTTTAGAAGATTTATTTAGGTTTAGTATATAGTATACAGGCCTTGGTCTACTTTTTGTGGTGGGCTGTGCTTCCAGTGACTATTTAGTCTTCAGAACCTTTGTGTCACTATTTTGGTCCGCTCTGGGTTATCTACTGATCCCTGTTGGTGTTGCCTGAATGAGTGGAAAGAGGTTGCCCAGTCTAGGCCAAGGTGGGGAAAGGGATTCTTCAGTCCATATGGAAGTAGAGTGCTTCCTGTGTGGAGTCCTCTATCTCTATATGGTGGGATTTCCACCTGCCTGTACTAACCAACCACCTGGTGTCTCTAGGGGTGTATGTGTGTGTGTGTGTGTGTGTGTGAGAGAGAGAGTGTGTCTGTGTGTTTGGGGTGGGAGAATAGGAATTCCCAGGTCTGATTGGGCTTGTGATTGCTGTGGCAGGTCCCCTGTGATGGTACTGCCCATCCACCTGTTGCTCTAGATGGGAGAGGAGAGTCTCAGGCCTGATGGGATCCCCTCTGGCTGCTTATGGTTAGTGGGGTTTCCAATCAATCCCTCCAGGCCTACCTGGTGTTGTTAGTGGGGCCCTTGTTCCACAGGGGGAGGAATAAGTCTACGTGGGCCATCTTCTATTGCTAGGCTTGGGGTTATAAGATGCCCCACTAACATGATGTTCCTCCAGTCCTGGGGTCCCTGTCTACCCAGTCCAATTTCCTTTTCCTACCTGTCAAGAGTTCTTGTTTGTTATTTCTAGTGTTCATAGTAATCAGCAGGAAGGAACGAGGAAAAATAAATCTACAACACCTTGTCTGGACACATTATAAACTTATAAAAGGAATGTGAAATCAAGAAGGTATAACGACTGAAAGAAAAATCAATAACTATAGTAGGAAAATTTTACATAATCCTCTGAAAAACCAATATATCAAGAAGATAAAAGGAAGGAGAGCTTTAGGAGTTTCAATAACAGGATTATGAATCTCAAGATAATAGGTCTACATGCAACTTTACATGCAACAAACAGAGAATATACATTCTTTTCTAGCACGCATGCATTATTCAGGGAAGTTGACCATATGCTAAAATACAGATGATTCTTCAGTGAGATTTAAAATAATTCACATGCATCAATACCACTATATATAGAGAGAAATATAATGTAAGCCACATATGTAATTTTAATTTTTAGTCGCTCTATTTTTTTTTTTTTTTTTTTTGAGACGGAGTCTCGCTCTGTCACCCAGGCTGGAGTGCAGTGGCACAATCTCGGCTCACTGCAAGCTCCGCCTCCCAGGTTCTTGCCATTCTCCTGCCTCAGCCTCCCGAGTAGCTGGGACTACAGGCACCCGCCACCACGCCTGGCTAATTTTTTTTATTTTTTGGTAGAGACGGGGTTTCGCTGTGTTAGCCAGGATGGTCTCGATCTCCTGCCCTCATGATCCGCCCGTCTCGGCCTCCCAAAGTGCTGGGATTACAGGCGTGAGCCACCGCGCCCGGCCTAGTTACTCTATTTTAAAAACTTTTAAAAGAGGTGAAATTAATTACATAAACATATTTGTTTAACCCAACATGTCCAATATATTTTATTTTAGCTTGTAATCAATATCAAACTTATCAATAAGATACTTTATATTGTTTGCACTGTCTTCATAATTTGGAGGTGTTTTTTACACTTACAATGCTTCTCAATTCAGACTAGGCGCACTTCAAGTGCTTGGTACACACATGGCTATATTGGCTGCCATTTTGGACAGCACAGATCTATTGCTCTTTGAAGATATGCAATAAAATTAGAAATCAAAAAGAAAAGAGAGCTAAAACTTTTTCTGAATATTAAAAACAAAAATAAAGAAAACCCCACAATACTAAGTAAATTTGGGGTTAAAGAGAAAATAGTGTAAGAAGTTACAAAATACTTAAACCTGAATCACAAGTTATTCAGAAATGTTAGAGTACGTCTAGAAGAGTATTTAGAAAATATTTATAATTTAAATTCATTTAAGAAAAATTGGAAACAAGTGAGCTAAGAAGTTTATTCAAGGAGCAGGTTAAGCCAAAGGAATACGAAATACAGAAATAATAAATGCTCAAAAATCAAGGAAGTCATGTACACAAAAACCAATAAAAAGACTATTGAAACCAAAAGCTGGGCTGGACATGGTGTCTCACACCTGTAATCCCAGCACTTTGGGAGGCTGAAGTGGGTGGATCACCTGAGGTCAGGAGTTCAAGACCAGCCTGACCAACATGGTGAAACCCCATCTCTACTAAAAATACAAAAATTAGCCGGGCATGGTGGCACATGCCTGTAATCCCAGTTACACAGGAGGCTGAAGCAGGAGAATCGCTTGGACCTGGGAGGCAGAGGTTGCAGTGAACTGAGATCACGCAACTGCACTCCAGCCTGGATGACAGAGCAAGACTCCATCTTCAGAGCGAGACTCCATCTTAAAACAAACAAAGATAAAAGTTGGTTTAATGAATAGATTAATAAGATGCACAAACTTCAAATGAGAATGATGAATTTAAGAGAGCAGATGAAGTTATACAACTGTAGATTGAATAAACAGAAAGAGAGGCACAACGGACATTATTAAGCACCAATACATTTGAAAGCGTAGATGAAGTAGATAAGTTTAGGAAAATATGAAAGAAATAAAAAGGTACAAAATGAAATTGGAAACTTCAATAGCTCAATTACCATAAAAGAAATTAAAATATGGGGCCACACTCCAAATTCTACCAAACTTTCAATGAACTGATCTTCTCTATCTTATATAAAAGGTGTTCTAAAACAACTCAGAGGAATAAAAAGAGATAAAGCGGCCAGATTTATTTTAGTAATTTAATATAAACTTGGTTCTTAAAATGGATAAAGATAATACAAGGAATAAAAATGAAAATTATAAGCCAATTTTACTTATGGACATAAGTACAAAACCTAAATAAAATATTAGCCAACTGACAACTGAATTTTTCTTTCTTTTTTTTTTTTGAGACGGAGTCTCTCGGCTCACTGCAGACTCTGCCCCCCAGGTTCATGCCATTCTCCTGCCTCAGCCTCCCGAGTAGCTGGGACTACAGGCGCCCGCCACCTCGCCCGGCTAATTTTTTGTATTTTTAGTAGAGACGGGGTTTCACCGTGTTAGCCAGGATGGTCTCAATCTCCTGACCTCCTGATCCGCCTGCCTCGGCCTCCCAAAGTGGTGGGATTACAGGCGTGAGCCACCGTGCCCGGCCTCTTTTTTTTTTTTCTTTTGAAACGGAGTCTCATACTGTTGCCCAGGCTGGAGTGCAGTGCCACGATCTCCGCTCACTGCAAGCTCTGCCTCCCCGGTTCATGCCATTCTCCTGCCTCAGCCTCCTGAGTAGCTGGGACTACAGGCGCCTGCCACTATGCCCAGCTAATTTTTTTTTTTTTTTGTATTTTTAGTAGAGATGGGGTTTCACTGTGTTAGCCACGATGGTCTTGATCTCCTGACCTTGTGATCCACCCGCCTTGGCCTCTCAAAGTGCTGGGATTACATGTGTGAGCCACTGCGCCTGGCCAGCCAACTGAATTTTTTTTTTTTTTTTTTTTTTTTGAGACGGAGTCTCACTCTGTCACCCAGGCTGGAGTGCAATGGCATGATCTCGACTCACTGCAACCGCTGCTTCCCGGATTCAAGCAATTCTCCTGCCTCAGCCTTCCGAGTAGCTGGGATTACAGGCGCCAGCCACTATTCCCAGCTAATTTTTCTATTTTTAGTAGAGATGGGTTTTACCACGTTAGTCAGGCTGGTCTTGAACCCTGACCTCAGGTGATCCACCTGCCTTGGCCTCCCAAAGTGCTGGGATTATAGGCGTGAGCCACTGCACCCGGCCAGCCAACTGAATTTAACCTATATCATGATCAAGTTGATTTTAACATCAGAAAATCTAGATATGAAATTTGCTACATTAATGGATTCTTAAGGAAAAGTAAAACCAAATAACTAACTCAATAGAAATCATTGATAACATTCAATATCTGTTCATAATTAGGTTAAAAGTTAATTTCTTAATTTAGATTAAGGAAAGTTTATAACAAAGGAAGAGCTGGAAATAGAGCAAGATGGCTGACTAGAGATGTATGGATCTTGCTCCCGCTCCTCCTATCCAGGAAGGACCAAGGCGATGAATAAACAGGTAAAACAGCTAAAATTTTACTGAAATGTTGAAGGGAAAGCACTGGAGTGCAGTGAGGGAGTGGAGAGGCAGCTGAGGTGATTGGAAATCCAGGAGAGCAGTGCAGAGTTACCCAGCCTCTGCAGCCCCATCTGCTCCACCCAGCTTCAATCAGCCTGGAGACAGGAGGGACTTCCCCTTACAGGAAAAGGGTAAGCAGAACAACTCCACCAGCCCCCATTGCCTTACCCACAGTCCTTACTACAGGAGAATGCCACAGTCCTTGAAAGCCCTGAGCCTAGTTTTGAGAGCTGTCTGAAATTCTTGCTACCACACTGCTCTGGATTAGGAACAGAAAGTGTGTGCTCCCAACCTCCACTCACCCACTGTGAGTCAAGCTGTGGCATCAGCAGCACTGTGCCATCTTGAGACTATAGCCACCTCTGGAGTGCACCATCCTATGGGGTCAGTAGCCACTGCACCTCTGCGGCATCAGGGCTCCATCTTCTTTCTACAAATCTCACAAGGATGGCTAAACTCCATAATCCCACTATGCATAGATTGGGCTTAGGATCAACTGTGATTCTGGTCCTGTGCAACAGAGAAGACGACCCCAACCATCTGCACTTTGAGACAGAGGAACTATGTGGCAAGCCCACCCAGGGCAAATATGCTCTTGAGCCAGCCAAACTGCTGACCACCCTCTACAAAGCAGGAGATGTCCTTGAGCCACTAAGCAGCTGACATGCTGCCCTATCAGCACAATGTCTATACTCCTGTGCCCACAGCCTGAGAAACAACCCTGTGGTACCCACTCCCATTGTTGACATGCCCCTGTCCTACCCAAAGCCCCCACACCCGTGATCAGGGCCTATGATGCAGCATTGTGGCTCACTTCCTGCAGACATGCCCTTCAGGCTGGCTGACCAGCTGTCCAACCACGTCCCAGGCCTGAGAAACAATCCCACAGGGTGCCCCTGGAAGGCACACTCTAAGGCTGATCCAGTAGCTGTACCCCCACATTGCCAGCCTGAAAAACCCTTTCAGGCCACTCCTGGCCAACCAAGAAGCTATGAGCCCACATCCTGAACCTGAGAAAAACCCTGTGGGCCATGCTTAGCAGACATGCACCCAGGCCAGCTGAGAAGCCATGTGTCCATGTTCAGGGCCTGAGAAACAGCTTCACAGGCTGCCCCAGGCAGACACCCCGACCAGGTCAGCTGAGCAGTGTGCCTACATCCCAGGCCTGAGAAACAGTCCCATGGGCCACTCCAGGACACACATCTCCCGGCCAGCCAAGCAGCTTTGTGCCTTTGTTGCAAGCCTAAATAACAGCTCCACAGGCTTCGCCTAGAAGACATGTTCCCAGGACAGCCAAGCAGCTGTGCTCCTGTGTCCAGGGTCTGAGAAACAGTGCCACAGGCCATCACTGGCAGGCACCCTGTAGGCTAGCCAAGCAACAATGCATTCGTGTCCCCACCCAGAGTTAACAGTCCCATAGCCCCAACCCCAGTGAGCCAAACCTCAAGTTGGCTGACCCACCATGTACACAAATGAGCCCCTGACTTGAGAAATAGCCCTGTGCAAAAGCCACACGACCGCCATCACCACCTCTTAGCCTAGGCCACTGAGACATTCACAAATGTCACTAGCATTTTTTTTTTGAGACCGAGTCTTTCTCTGTCACCTAGGCTAGAGTGCAGTGGCATGATCTCGGCTCACTGCAACCTCTGCCTCCTGGGTTCCAGCGATTCTCCTGCTTCAGCCTCCCAAGTAGCTGGGATTACAGGTGCCTGCCACCGCTCCTGGCTAATTTTTGTATTTTTAATAGAGATGGGGTTTCACCATCTTGGCCAGGCTTATCTAGAACTTCTGACTTCATGATCCACCTGCCTCAGCCTCCCAAAGGATTGGGATTACAGGAGTGAGCCACCACGCCCGGCCCATCACTAGCATGTATTACTGCTGAAGAAACTTACATAGATAATACACTACTGTATCCACCTAGAACAAAAGCCAACACACTCCATTGAAGCAACACCCCAAGACCCATATGAATAAATCTTTCCCTACAGAACCTACTCCATGAAATTGGAAGAAGTGATTGTTTCATCATATGTGTATAAATCAGTGTAGAGCTGGGTGCGGTGGCTCACGCCTGTAATCCCAGCACTTTGGGAGGCTGAGATGGGCAGATAGCTTGAGTTCATTCAGGAGTTCCAGACCAGCCTGGCCAAAATGGTGAAACCCTGTCTCTACTAAAAATACAAAAATTAGCCTGGCATGGCAGCACATGCCTGTAATCTCAGCTATTCCGGAGGCTGTGGCAGGAGAATCCCTTGAACGCGGGAGGCAGAGGTTGCCATGAGCCAAGATCTCACCACTGCACTCCAGCTGACAGAGCAAGACTCTGTCAAAAAAAAGAAAGAAAAGAAAGAAAAAGAAAGAAAGAAAGAAAGAAAGAAAGAAAGAAAGAAAGAAAGAAAGAAAGATGTAGAAACACATGAAACATGAAAAAGCAAGGAGCACAACACCTCCAGAAGAACACAATAATTTCCAGTAACAGATGCCAATCATAAGAAAAAATACAAAGTTCTGGCTGGGCGCGGTGGCTCACGCCTGTAATCCTGGCACTTTGGGAGGCTGAGGCGGGCAGATCATGAGGTCAGGAGATCAAGACCATCCTGGCTAACACGGTGAAATGCTGTCTCTACTAAAAATACAAAAAAAAAAAAAAAAAATTAGCTGGGTGTGGTGGTGGGCGCCTGTAGTCCCAGCTACTCAGGAGGCTGAGGCAGGAGAATGGCGTGAACCCGGGAGGCAGAGCTTGCAGTAAGCCTAGAGATGATTGCGCCACTGCACTCCAGCCTGGGCGACAGAACGAGACTCTGTCTCAAAAAAAAAAAGAAAATATACAAAGTTCCAGAAAAAGAATTTAAAATAATAATCTTAAGGAAACAGTGGAATTCAAGAGCATACAGTTACACAATTCAATGAAATCAAGAAAATTCATAATTTGAATGAGGAATTTAACAGAGATATAAAAAAGAACCACACAGAAAACTTAGAACTGAAGAATCCAATGAATTAAATGAAAAATACAATCAAGACTCTAACAACAGACTAGATCAAGCATAAGAAACAATTTTTGGGCCAGGCGTGGTGGCTGACGCCTGTAATCCCAGCACTTTGGGAGGCCAAGGTGAGTGGATCACCTGAGGTCAGGAGTTCGAGGTCAGCCTAGCCAATATGGTGAAACCCTGGTCTCTACTAAAATTATTAAAAAAATTAGTTGGGCATGGTGGCGGGCGCCTGTAATCCCAGCTACTCGGGAGTCTGAGGAGGAGAATCGCTTGAACCCGGGAGGCGGAGGTTGCAGTGAGCCGAGATCGCGCCACTGCACTCCAGTCTGACGACAGAGCGAGACTCGGTCTCAAAGAAAAAAAAATTTCCGCTCTATAACTTCACTTTTAACATTGTTTAGTTTTTCTGTTTTGTTTTTGTTTTGAGAGAGAATCTCGCTCTGTCGCCCGGGCCGCTCCGGACTACATTTCCCAGGAGCCTCGGCGCGCACTTCCGTTTCCGGCCCCTTTCTCTGGAGGATCTCCGCGCGTGGCGAGTCTGTGTCCTCCCTGTCCCCCAGAGCAGACACCCTCTCTGTGTCTGGACCGGGGAGGAGCAGACGCTGGACAGGGTGTGTGTGTTCAGCAGTGGATTGTCAGACTTGGGGTCCCGGCTGCTCCCTTTTGGGTCTCTCCCCGGGCCCGCTGATCTGACTGTAATTCCTTCTGCTGGAGCTAGGGTTCGGCCACCTTGACGCGCCCCCTCTGCCCCTGGAGCGTGTCTTTGGGTTTTGTGTGTGTGGGAGTGGGGTGTATGTGTGTTTCTTATCCGAGACACCTCTGGGTCGTTTGCTTGGAAACCGGCTGAGGGCCCGCATACCCTGGAGCATTTGGTTGCAAAGTGAGGCAGGTAGCGCCCAAGGCTCCTGTACCAGGGCCAGGTTAGGCACCAACGCGTCCCTTATGTCTCTGCAGCCTGCAGTGTGGTGGAACCGTTTCATAGACTGAAGTGTGAACGTAGGAGGGGATGGATATCAGAGATCTGTTTATCCACATTTTCAGAGAGTGGTATTGCTCTGATGTGAGCGTAGGCAGGTTACTCTCTGTGTCTCGTGTTCTTTACCTGTAATTTGAGGTTTGTTGTACCTACTATTAAGTGGTGGTTGTGAGGATTAAATGGAATTTTGACATGCAACAGTTGACACAGGGCCAGACACCAAGTAAGGGATCAATCAGTTGTTGCTTTTATTAATAGTAGGCATCCATCTGCCCATTTGCACGTAAGAAGGAAACACCCAAGAATGAAAAGTAGCTTGTTGTAGGTCACCCAGCCAACTAGCACATAGTGGAAATTAGAATCCAGGCACTCCCAGCAGGGCACTTTCCACCACCCTGCACTTTTGTATTCATCAGGCACAGTATCCTTACTGTTGTCTGTAACTGTCTATGTTCCCAGTGTCTGACTCTGCAGGGCCCTAGTGGTATAAAGGTACTGAGACTTGCCTGTGTTCAGGGCTTCCTGAAGATTAAATGGCTGCCGAAGTTCTTGAGTTTAGCTTTAGCTCAAAAGATACTGCGTCAGACTCTGCGTTCTGAGTAGAGTCTCAGAGAATGAAAAAAGAAATACAATGAAAAAGGGGAAAACTTCAATCCAGAACCTCTTACCACAGTTTCTGGTAGAATGCTGGCAATTTCCAGGAAGATACGTGGAGAACGGAAAGGTTGCTACACCCAAATAGTGAAGCAAAGGCTATGATTATGGAGGATTGGACCTGCAAACTCCAGAACAGAGGTAAGAAATAGAAATAAAGGGTCCTGCCATTAGCCAAGAATCTGCAGTATGCACACACAACCTCATTTTAGTTTTTCTTTACAGCAACCTTGTAAAATGTGTGTGGGCAGCACAGAGAACTTGGGCAAGTTAACAGTTTCCTCATCTGTGAATACTGATTTATGGAAAGCACCTGGTGCGTGGTGAGTGTGCGAAGAATGGTGGTGATTTTACTAATATTCCCTTTTAATTTGAAACTCTGAAAAAAGAAGATACCTTACTTCCGTACTCTTTCCATTATACCACCTGCCTTTCTGAAGGATAAGGGGGGATAAGTCGGACTCCTTGGAAGAGAAGAAAGAAATAGGTATGGAGAGGCTGATGATTTGATTTGGCATTATAGCACATGGGAGAGCCCTAGTCCCTTGAACCTCTATGAGCTCAGGGCTAGAGCTGGGGCCTGCGTCCCCAGGGTCCATGGCCCTGCTGCTCATTTCTGGCAGAATTAGAGACTGCTCCTTGGTTCTCTTTCAGTTTTCTCTTAAAAAGCGCTTTGTCTTAAGGAGATACAAAGGGATCCCCCAAATTAGAAGGGACTTCCATAGTCTATCTCTAGTCTGTTTGACTTTCCTATAATATCCTGCCCTCAGGCCCTCTGATTTCTGGAAGTCCTGGAACTTAGGAGTTCCTAACTCTACCTTAGCCCCGACTGATTGTCAGTGTCCAGTACAGGGAGGGGACAGGCATCTTGTGGGGAAGTTGGGATTTGGGAGTATGACCAAACATATTGATCATACCTTTTTTTCCTCGTAAAACAAAGTATAGAAAGAAAGCGCCATAAAGTCTTGGTTAATGTTGATATGCAGAAAATATTGAGAATAATAATTAACTGATGATTAAATGACCTTTCCTGAGTGCTTATTCTGTACCAGGTACTGGTTTGGGCCGTTTATGTGCATTAACACACATTGTAGCAACGTAGGTACCATTATTATTCTCTTTTGTAAAATTAGGAAATGAAGCCCAGAAGAAACTTGGCTATGGTTACACAGTGCCAGGATGTAAAGGCAGTAGGCAGGCAGACTCCAGAGCCAGAGTTCCAATGACAAAGGATTACAGGAGGCATGAATTCTACAAAATTGTGAAACCCTGTACTTGGTAATAACTGAGGCCTAAAAGAACTACTTCTTCCCCCAAACAAATCCACAAGGAGGTTTAAGTACTGCTTTTTGGAGATGGGTGGAGAGAGGATTGAAGAAATAATAAACTGTAAAATATTAGGAAAATATAGAATGATATGTAGAATAAGATAAATAGCATGTAACCCTACTACCTAGAGATAAGCGCAAAGAAATGCTCAAAGGTAATAGCATCAGCAGTTCTCTCCCTACAGGCAAAAAAATCAAAATGGAGAAGTAAATTATGAGCAGAAGGTTGCTTGTTGGGCATAGAATTCAGACCAAGGGAATTTAGGGCTCATTCATTAATTCATTCACAATACTTAGGGACTGCTGTCTGCCAAGTACACCGTGCTCAGTGCTTAGGATGCAGTGGTGAATGATACGACACATACAATTTAGTGGAGCGTGTGTGGTGTTAACAGGCCTGAGATGGCCACAGACTCACCGTGGGCCTGGAATACTCACGATGGGGTGGCTAAAGGTGTCTGTGACCATGACTGCTGGGGTGGGCACTGCTGTCTTTTGCTGCTGTGACTCCCTTTTTCTTGTTCTACAAAATTGGTCACTTTCTCCATTTGCGAATAAAGGAGTTGAGCCTGGAGGTCTTTAAGCACCTCTCCAACTGTAACATTGCACTTCTTGTTTTGTTTTAGGGTTTTTTGGTCCCAGGGAACCTCGTTTTCAGAGCAGTGGCTCACGCAGATCCTGAGCCCAGTTAATGGTCATACCTTTCCCTGAGTTTATGTTCATTCTATCCTCTGAGATTATCTTTGAAGTCTCATTACATAGATGTCTGTAAAATCCTTCAAGCTATGGACAGCCAAGGTCAGAGGCACATTTTCTCATAAGTGGCTGTTTCTAAATTCATAGGTTTGAGATACATAAAGATAAACCAGGTTCCTTTATGTCAATTTCCTTCCAGTTCTGCCCTCTGAGGACCCTGCCCTTTCCCAAAAGGGGTATCTTAAGAAGGAAAATATGGCTGCTCTTTGCCGGACAGCAGAGTCCCAGGTGAGTTGGGGATTTTCCTCTCTTCTTGGAAATTTTATTTTAATTGAGTTGGGGATTTTCCTCTCTTCTCAGAAATCTTATTTTAATTCCTGAAGCAAATTTTTTTTCTCTTAGCATGAAGCTTGTCAACCACATTAGCCACAGCAGTTTGAAAGGAAAGGATCAAGCAGGTGGGATGGACTGCCAATGAGATGGTGTTTGCGTGTTCCTCAGTTGTATGGCAGTAGCAGTGAAGGTCAGGAGGCTTGGTAGCCTCGCCCATCAGTTGGCAGTGTAGAGAAAGGATGGTAGGGGCAGGATGGGAATGAGGCCTCTTTAGCAGATAATTGAGGAGCGTGACTCCTAGAACATGGTTGGGTAAGAATCAAGCTTCTTTTTGTTCACTTGAGACATTTGGCATAGATATGCAAAGGCACGTGAGGCATTTCTTGCTTGCATCTGCTTAGAATATTTTGGGGAGAAAAGATGTACACAAATCTGTGTGGCACAAACCAGCAGATTTATTATTATTAAATAGGGCCTTATTATTAAGGGCCTACTCAATATAAAGTGTCTTAGGGAAAATGCTGTATGGACTTGGAGGAGCAGGAGCAAATGTGTCTGGCTGAGAGAGATTTAGGAAGGTTTTATTCATTCAACTAGCATTTTAAAGTCCTTTTAAGCAGCTCCTAGGCTAATGAAAGTAGTGAGATTTGATGTGGGCCCTGAAAGCTGAGTAAATTCTTGAAAGATTTATAGAAAGTTAGTGACATAAATGACTTAGAATCAAAGCAAGATACTGATTCCTCTGGCACAGGAAAAAAGTCAGTACATTGAAATCACAGAGGTGTTGTTCCACAAAAACTTAAAGGCTTCTTATACTCAAAGTTCTTTCCTAGATATAATTCTCAAGCTTGGCTTATTTCTTTTTTTCTTTTTTTTTTTTTTTGAGACATAGTCTCGCTCTCTCGCCCAGGCTGGAGTGCAGTGGCGCGATCTCAGCTCACTGCAAGCTCCGCCTCCCAGGTTCACTCCATTCTCCTGCCTCAGCCTCCCGAGTAGCTGGGACTACAGGCACCCGCCACCGCGCCCGGCTAATTTTTTGTATTTTTAGTAGAGACAGGGTTTCACCGTGTTAGCCAGGATGGTCTCGATCTCCTGACCTTGTGATCTGCCCGCCTCGGCCTCCCAAAGTGCTGGGATTACAGGCGTGAGCCACCACGCCCGGCCAGCTTGGCCTATTTCTTAGTTTCTTACTTACCATGTGTCTCTCTCAACTTAACTGAAGATAACCTTAAGGCCGGCTAAACAATAGGCTTGGGTGGGAAGGCCACATCCTTAATCTGACATTTTTTTTACAGGGCTAAATCACTTTGTTTAGTTAACAGGTGTAATGGGCCTTTATTGCTCAAAGCTCTTGTTAGACTTACTTCCCACTGTATGAGATCTAGAAACAGTTTGCTTTTCCAACCACGTGAGGCCTCAGATTTCTGCACTCTATTCTCTTTTGTTTTGGCTTGAAAATTGACACATTGTTTCCTGAACTTAACTCATTCTTTGTTCGCCAGACATATCCAGGAGCATTCTACACAAAGAGCGTTCTGGTGCTTTCCAACCTGTTCTAGAGCCACAGGCCCAGTGAGCATTTGCCCTGGCCTCATAGTTGCTAATTAGTTTGCCAGTGTATATTAAGAGTCTGCATCTGTTGGCTGGATGCGGTGGCTCATGCCTGTAATCCCAGCACTTTGGGAGGCCGAGGTGGGCGGATCACCTGAGGTCAGGAGTCTGTGACCAGCCTGGACAACATGGTGAGATCCCGTTTCTACTAAAAATACAAAAAAAAGTAGCTGGGCGTGGTGGCTCACACCTGTAGTCCCAGCTACTCAAGAGGCTGAGGCAGGAGAATCGCTTAAACATGGGAGATGGAGGTTGCGGTAAGCCGAGAGCATCGTGGCCACTGCACTCCAGCAACAGAGTGAGACTCCGTCTCAAAAAAAAAAAAAAAAAGGAGAGTCTGCATTTCTCCAGTCGTAAATATTCTTTTCTTTGAAGCTTGCCACCTGACTGTCAATCCAATGCCACCTGTGTATTTGAACTTTTTATTATGATATCTCCCACTTGAAGGTGCTGATTTCTGAATTAGTTTGGGTTGGCTTACTAATAACTGTTGTAACCAATAGACCCAAAATATATATGGCCTTAATACAATAGAAGTGTATTGTTTGCTGTCATAGCCATGTGAGTGGGTATATAGATTGATAGGATGGCCATTCAGGGACCTGAGCTACCTGAAGCTCTAGCCTCTTTACCATATGGCTTCCAAACTCACTCTGGGGCTCATGGCCCTACCAGCCAGTCAGAAGGGGAAAACAGCATGGAGGAACATACGTGAGTCAGGCCTGGAAAGGGCGCACATCACTCCTGCTTGCATTCCATTGGTTAGGATCTCATGGCCAGGTCTAACTACAGGAGGTTGGGAAATGTTTGTATACCTAGAAAGGAGAGGAGGAGGCATATTTTCATGGACAGTTAGCAGCTCGTAGCACTGTTCTCAAACATTTAGGTTATTTAGAACGATTTTGCTATTTTTCTATTGTAAGGTATAAATAGATGTGATTCTTTGTTTATAACTCTCCATATTTCTGATAGTTTTCTTTTTTTTTTTTTGAGACACAGTCTCGTTCTGTTGCCCAGGCTGGAGTGCAATGGCGTGATCTCGGCTCACTGCAAGCTTCGCCTCCCGGGTTCACGCCATTCTCCTGCTTCAGCCTCCCGAATAGCTGGGACTACAGGCGCCCACCACCATGCCTGGCTAATTTTTTTTGTATTTATAGTAGAGATGGGGTTTCACCATGTTAGCCAGGATGGTCTCGATCTCCTGACCTCGTGATCTGCCCACCTCGGCCTCCCAAAGTGCTGGGATTACAGGCGTGAGCCACTGCACCCAGCCGATAGTTTTCTTATAATTGAGTTCTGTATATAAAATTACTGTAAAACAAAACTATCAAATTATGTCAGAGGGGTATACACATTTTAAGATTTTAAGATTCTTTAATATACGAGTCAATAAAATCTTGTCTTTGACACTGTGAACATAGTTTAATCTATTTCCTCTCCATCCCATCAGTCTCCCCTAAGTATGCCTCATGTAACTTTTTCTTCAGAACCCCATGCAGGTGTTTCAGGGCTTTATGTCATTCAAGGATGTGGCTGTGAACTTCACTAGGAAGAATGGAGAGAACTGGACCTTGCTCAGAGAGTCTTGTACAGGGATGTAATGCTGGAGAACTATAGGAACCTGGTCTCCTTGGGTGAGCTTGGGTCCTTCCACCCCAGATTGACCTTTCAGGATACCTTTGCCTTCTAAAGATTCCCTTGCTTCTATTAGGGAATGGTAACAAATGAGGCTTTGGTTATTTTCCCCCACAGAATCCAGATCAGATCCTTAAACTGTTTCTCACCCTACTTGGGTAGAAATTATTTAATTGCTTTTGACAATTAGTTATTTCGTTTTCTCCTCTCTAAAATGCAACAGAGTGGGACTGAGAATAGAGTGGTCCTTTCTCTTTTGAACTTAAAATTACATTCTGTTTGTATCTCTTCAGTAGGATTTCCATTTTCCAAACCTGGTATCATCTCCTAGTTGGAAGAAGTGGTAAGCCCACGAACACAAATGCAGGAGGGAGAGGTGCCAAGAAGCAGCGGTACACGTAAGTGAGAACAAGGCAGATTGCATCTTTAGAAATAAGAGTTAGGGGTTCTTCCCAAATCCTCCGGGCCTGTAGAAAATGTTGAATCCCCCTGCAGTCTCATCTTCACTTGACCACATCAGAATCCTAATAGCTTACCTCTTTATTTCTTCCCAGACTCAAGGAAGAGATACTTCCTCCTTAAAGTTATAAGCCCAACACATGATCCAGAGATCAGCTTTGTGCCTCATCCTGAGGCATTTTATGAGGCTATTCCCATTTCCTCTTTAGTAGCTGGAATCACTTCTTCATTTACTCTGTCCTTATCCTACCTAGTTTTCTGCTATATAAGAAATATGAAGAGAAGGAAAGAATTTGAATAATTTTAAGGATATAAAATTGACATAATTTGTTGTGTAGATTTGAGAGGTGAGGGAGTAACAAAGAAAATTCTCAGGTTTCGGCCAGGCGCAGTGGCTCACGCCTATAATCCCAGCACTTTGGGAGGCCGAGGCGGGCGGATCACGAGGTCAGGAGATGGAGACCATCCTGGCTAACATGGTGAAACCCCATCTGTACTAAAAATACAAAAAATTAGCCGGGCGTGGTGGCGGGCACCTGTAGTCCCAGCTACTTGGGAGGTTGAGGCAGGAGAATGGCGTGAACCCCAGGAGGTGGGGCTTGCAGCGAGCCGAGATCATGCCATTGCACTCCAGCCTGGGTGACAGAGCGAGACTCCATCTCAAGAAAAAAAAAAAAAAAAAAGAAAAAATTCTCAGGTTTCTGGTCTGGATGTGTAGGTGAATGGAAGTTCTCTTCCCTGAGATGGAAAACACAGGAGAAGTAGCAAATTTAGGGAGTGGAAGATGAGTTCAGTTTCTCTTAAGTTGTTTGAAGTGTCTATAATAAGTCTAAACCAGTGGTTCTTAACCAGGGGCAAGTTTGCCCCCCGGGGGACATTTGGCAACGTCTGAAGTGTGCTATGGGCATCTCGTGAGTGGAGTCCAGGAATGCTGCTAAACATCCTACAATGCACAGGACGGGGCCCCACACAAAGACTTGTCTGTCTAAAACGGCAACAGTGCTGCAGTTGAGAAAACCTGCTCTAAGTGGTAATGTCTGGAGGCTAGATGAATATAAGGACGACATGCCAAATGTATCTTAGTAAAGGAAAGAGATCTTAACTGGGGGTACAGATTTGGGAGTTGCCTGAGAATGGATGAAATTGAAGCCATGGGAGTGGATAATATCACCCAAAGAGCACAAAAAGAGTTACAAGAGAGCCTAGAACTCTAACGAACACAAACATTCAAGTATCTGCAAAAAAAAGTATATATATATGTATAGTATATAATATATATATTTTTATATTATATATGCAAATATATATGTATATACACATGTATATATACGTATGTGTATATACACATACGTATGTATACATACACATACGTATGTGTATATACACAGGGCTTCTCTCCAGTGTGGATCCTCTGATGTTGGGTAACATGGGCGCTTCTACTGAAGGCTTTCCCACACTCCTGACAATCAAATGGTTTCTTTCCAGTATGAACCCTCTGATGCTGGGTAAGAGATGAACTCTGGCTGAAGGCTTTCCTACAGTCTTTACAGGTGTAGGGTTTCTCTCCAGTGTAGACCTTTATATGTTTTGTAAGAGTTGAGCTCTGACTGAAGGCTTCACCACATTCTTTACACTTGTAGGGTTTTTCTCCGGTATGAGTTCTGTCACATAAATGTGGCAGAGCTTTCGTGTAGTTCAGCCCTCATTAGACACCAGAGACTTCACAGTGGAGAATCTCCCTGAATGTCTGGACAAATCCACTCAGACTCTTCATTTGGTTAAATACCAAAGAATTATACTTTTATAGGTTGTTACAGTGGCGATGCTTTATTATATTTTAAGGGATGAAAATCCCTCCTCTCCTACCCTGGTTATTTTCTCTTGCAAAGCTATCAGAATATCACAAATCCAAGTGAAGAAACACTGAACTGAAATCTGGACTAGCCTAATAGACTCTAAAGCTCAATTTTTATATGTATATGTGTGTATTTTTGTCTGTACCTGAAATGACTGCTGTCACCATGCAGTGATTTTACCCCCCTTCCCTGGCCTCAGGAATAAGCCAAGAAATTCTAGTTGTGCAGAACTGAGCTTGTTGCCCCTTCTTGTACTGATGGAAATAGTGCCATGTCCAAACAAAATAAAGAAGCTCATAGCTAATTACATATCCTAATACCACCTTCCTATAAAACTTTGCCTTAATCTGTAGTCATTCCTGCCCCCAGCTCATACCCTCCTGTGGGCAGCTTTTGTTTGCTTTACCTCATCCCACTGTTTTGTGATCACCCCCCGGGAGATGAGGGACTCAGTTAATAGGCCAGATGTCAAGACTGATGACATTTCACACACTAAGAGAACTTGAAAGTTTACTATTCATACACAGGGTTTCTGGGGAGAGCAGGATAGATGAAAGCTGGTCCAAAATGGCAAGAACAGAGAGGAGGCTGGGCCTTTAAAGTAGCTAGGGAATGGGGCTGGAGAGCATTCGATCTGTGGGCTTGAGGGATTCAAGCTTCCTGCCAGTGCTGGGAGCTCAGGAGATGCCCATGGATTTCTTTATCTAAAGCACCAGGTGTGCGGTGGGGCAGTGTGGGGGAGGGGAGAATAGAAAATGGTGGAAACTTAAATGCTGTCAATGGCCAGACATCAAAAATGGGGCCAAACTCTGTTACATCTACCTTTTCAGAAATCTTTTTTCACTTATCTCAAAATAGCTCTTTAATGTTATTGTGTCTTTTTTTTTTTTGAGACGGAGTCTTGCTCTGTCACCAGGCTGGAGTGCAATGGCATGATCTCAGCTCACTGTGACCTCCGCCTCCCAGGTTCAAGTGATTCTCCTGCCTCAGCCTCCCAAGTAGCTGGGACTACAGGTGCCCGTCACCATGCCCGGCTAATTTTTGTATTTTTTGTAGAGACAGGGTTTCACCATGTTGGCCAGGATGGTCTCAATCTCTTGACCTCATGATCCGCCCGTCTCAGCCTCCCAAAGTGCTGGGATTACAGGCGTGAGCCACCGCGCCCGGCCTATTGTGTCTTCTGTTGATGAGGAATCTATTTTGCTTTTTCCATCTCCCCTTTCTTAGAATTTTCTTTTTTTTCCCCTTCCTTAAGGCTGAAATTATAACTATCAGTTCTCAGAAAGTAAGAACCGTTTACCTTGGAAACTGTCAGCCTTACATAGTAACTATTATGCAATCCCAACAGAAGAGTTAGGGAAGATTGAGTCAACACTTTTAGAAAACATTTTTAAAAAAATGGTCATATGAATTTGTATCAGACTATCACCAGATTAAGTTACTTGAGGCTGCCTGATGAAAATTTCTGTATATGGCTCTAAGAAATTTTATGTGTACCTAATAAAGCCAGGCATTATTTTTTGGTTATGCTGTGACTCAACACTTACATGCAAACTTTTTTTTTTCTTTCAAATCTTCCTAAGCTTAAATTGATGTTAGAGTAACTTTTTTGGTTTCCATGAATTATTTTCCCTGCCTTTTTTTTTTCTTCCTGTTTTAGATGCATTTCAGTTACCTGAGAGTAATCCAATTGTATAGGATTGGAGTCCCTTGACTTTCCCATATCATTCCCAGTGTACTAGCCAGAACCTGAGATTTCCCTGCTTTCTATTTTTCTCACTAAAAGGGCTATTCTGAACTCTCTCTCCTCACCTGCTTTCCTATCCTTCTCTTCTGTTTAAAGAAGTCGGTGTTAGTACAGCTTGAAATTTAACAGGGCTTGAATTACAGAAGGCACAACTGAAGTTAGAGAAGAAAGGATTTTTGTTCTGAAAATTAGCGGTGAGACAGACCACTCTGAATAAACGGTGATATCTGGAAATAATTTTTGAAATGCCCAAAATCCTTCGTAACTTTAAGAAATTGAAAAGGGGTGGGGAGGGTCGTCTATAAGAGTGTCTGTCATTAGAATAAGACTTCTTAAAGTAATGTTTGTTAACAATTGGTAACAAGGTCATTTCCAAACATAGTTCCTGGAGCCAGTTGGCTTTGGATTGGTAGAAACCATTGTTGTTCCTTCAGAGTCCTCATCTTTGGTAATTTATTTTAGAACTAAAGACTGAAGACAGATGTCCTTGAACAAAAGGTCTGTCCTAGAATGGGTGGATTGCATGAATTCGTGGATTGTACTATAGTGAATTGGTATAATTCTCTTGTAGCCTAAATATAATTTGGATCCAGAAATATTAAAATTTTGAGGACATTATAGTGATGAAATATTTGAAATCAGAACAGTTCTAGAAATATTATGACTCTGGGACTTACAGAGCCTTTTTTGTTTTGTTTCAGTTTACTCTGACTGTACTGTTAGTAGTATGGTCTATGCTTGTGCTCTCCTCTCAGATTAGTTTGTTTGTTTGTTTGTTTGAGACAGGGTTTTGCTCTATTGCCTGGGCTGGAGTGCAGTGACGCCATCACAGCTCACTGCAGCCTTGAACTCTCAGGATCCTTGATCCTCCCACCTCAGCCTCCCGAGTAGCTGGGACCACAGGCAAGCGTCACCACACCCGGCTAATTTGTTTGTATTTTTTGTAGATGGTGTTTTGCCATATAGCCCAGACTGGTCTTGAACTCTTGAGCTCAAGCAGTCTGCCCACCTTAGCTTCCTGAAGTGCTGGCATTACTGGCATGAGCCGCCACGCCCAGCATTTGGATATTTCTATAACAGGGTTCTCTTTCGTGGGCTGTAGTGTAGACCACACTTACCCTTCATGATGGAGAATATAATTCCTCTCCTTTTACAACCTAAGCTAAAGCTCAGTGTGTTTGTTTGGTTGTGGTAAAGTCTGGGGTGGGGGTTTGATTTGGGGCTTTAGATAGTAAATGTTCTGATATTTTGATCTCTTTTTGGTAGGTAATCTGGATTCTTTAGTTTTTAAATCATGAGTGTCTAATTTTCTAACTTATATGTTAAAATTGCCTGTATGCTTGGCTGATATGTGTCCAATGAAGGGAAAATTAATTTATATGTTAAATTAATTCCTCCAAGCAAATTATCCTGAATAATTTGCACTGTTGTGATAAACTAACTAGGGTGACCCCAGGCTTGATTTGAGGATTGCAGGAAGAGATATTTAGTGATTAAAGTAGGGCTTTCTGTCTTTTCGGAGGAGGCATTAATACTTTTTAGGTTTTCTTTAAGTTAAGAGGCAGTTGTCACGTTATCACTCTTTTCATTTTGCAAGTTAGTCTCCTTTAGGACCCAGCTTAAGGTATTACCTCCACCCTCACCTCTTGGCCACTGTAACTGAAAATAATCTCCTCCTCTGAATACCAGTGCTGCTTACTTACTATTTATATCACTCACATATGCCTATGAAACATGACAATTTTGGTTTGATACTAATATCCGGCCTTATTCTCAATCTTAACATCATCAGGGATCATGATTTTAACATCATTATCATCATGATGAGGGAAACCTATCTTTGTTTAGGGCTTTCGTTGCTGATTTTACACAAAATAATACTTGCATACGGTTAAAAAAATCACGTGAAATAGAGTTTTTCAATGAAAAGTCATTCTTCTAGGAACTTTGACCTGTTAGATATATATCGTATATTTGATGACTGCTGGGTATGTTTTGCCAAGAGTCATCTATGCAAAATACAGTGGCTTGAGATAAACATCTCAGGAAAAATCATCTCATACTTATATTTTACTTAACAAGAATTCACCCATATGCACCAAGATATCCCCCCAAACCAAAAGATAAATTAGTGTAATTAAGAATACTATAAAATTATGTTTTGCACACCTATATAAAATTCTATATTTATCTATTCATGAGTTATTATCAGAGCTATACACAAAACTAGGTGTATTTTATGGGCAAATTCAAGGATTTATAAAGACAATATTGGTATTGCCCTGTTTTCATCTTACATGCTGACTACAGAAGTAACCTTGTGTAAGAGCACGACTTCAGTGAATCTAGAGGCCCAGTCAGTTCATTCGTGTGCTAGTTTATTCCTCTTCCTGAGTGTTTTTCCTTGGTTTGCCAAAGTTGACTGTATCAGAAGATATGCCAATTTATCCTAGTAGGAAGATTGCTAGGATACAGCAACACGGTGAATAAAGAAGCACTTCAGATTAATCCAAGTCCAAAAAAACTCCACGTAACCTTAATCAGCTTCATATATTAGTCCTGGAATAAATGTGACTATAGTGAAAGTGGGAAGACATTAGACAATATTCATTTGTATATTATTGATATCAGATGATGCACACTGACAAAAACAAAACCCTAGAAATACAGTAACTGTATAGTGAAGTCATGGCTTAGGATTCTTTGCTTATTCAGTATCACGGTTTTTATAGGACCCCAACACTAGAAATTAAAAAGATTCCAGTAACACCAACCTAATTGTATGTAGAATAATCTTCAGTGGAGAAAATACTTACAATTGTATAGAAAGCCTACAGTGGATCATTTGTCATCATCCCTGTTCATAGATTTTAGAACCAAAGGGAACTTTGAATATATAATATGGGCCTTTTATTTTGCAAGTGAGGAGATGGAGATCTGGAAAGGTTAAATGATATGCCCGTGCTATTTGGGGTGAGGGCAGTGGATAGTGGAGCTGAGCTTCCACAGACCTCCCAACCCTGCATAAAAAAAAGACCTTTCTGTGACATGTAGACCATAGAGAGCATCTGGGAGAGCAATGGGCATAGGGACGCTTCGACGTGGGGGAAATTAGCGGCTGATTGAGGGACAGGAGGGAGCTGGTTTACATTTAGTGGTAGTTATTGACTGGAGCACTGTGATGAGGCCATGGTACAGAGTGCTTTGAAGTCCTGCCCTGGGCCTGGGAATAGAGTCTGGATACATGTGACAGGCTTTGCATCCTTGTTGCTTCTGCCCTGTGGCAATTGGGGATTTACTGGATGAAAATGGGTTTTCTTCTTACTGAATTTAAACTGCAGAATATCTTCAAGCTATGAAAATAATTCTGTGTGCATGCACCTGTGGGTTAGAACACTCATTCTAACTGACATGAGGGAATTATCTCATGAAGACTTTACCTGGTGTGATATTCTTATGAGTGAATGAGTGAACACCTTTTGTTTCTCTACTTTGCACTCACAAGACTCATTCTTTCACGTTAGTGGTTCTCAACCAGGGGAGATTTTCCCCCTCCAGGAGACAACTGCCAGTGTCTGGAGAGAGTTTTGGTTGTCACAATTGGGGGAGGGGGTGTTACTGGCACCTAGAGGATAGAGGCAAGGGATACTGCTAATCATCCTACAATGCACGGGACAGCCCCTACAAAAAAGGATTGTCCCACCCAAAACGGCAGTAGCACTGAGATTCAGGAATTTTTAGATAACCAATTTACTGTGGCAGTATATCCCCACGAGGTGGTGGTACAGCCTCCTGCTGCAATGTTAAACTACAGTAGTTCACCGTGAGCAGTTGATTGTAATAGCGAATCTATTCTCTTTTTCAAAAAGTACACTTAAACATTTTTTACATTACAAAAGTGAAATATTCTTTGTGACAGAATCAAATAGTATACTGTAGAAGTGTATAAGTAAAAGAAAGGGCTTCCTGAGTTCCCCCTTGAAATCCTACCCTTTAGAATTGATGTGTATCTTTTTAGATTCTTTGCTTGTGCGTGTATATGTATGCATGCATAACTAGTAGTGTACTGTTTGTTTTTCAACTCACTTATAACTTTCAACATTATACTTTAGACATCTTTAAAAATAATTTAGAGGTATCTCATTTTTTTAAATGGATGCATTGTGTTCTGACGTATGGATGTCCTATAATTTCTATATATTCTTATTAATGGGCATTTGGGTTCTTTCCAGTTTTTTTTACTGATAGAGGCAATTCAGTGGTCATGCTGCTATTTCTGTAGGATAGATTCCTGGAAATGTGAGAGCTGGGTCAGAGTACATTTAAAATATTGATGAATTGGCTGTACTAGTTTATACTCTAACAGTGTAGCAGAGTGCCTTTTTCTCTCCCAAACATTGGATACTATCAAGATTTTATTTTTAATATATATTTTATTATATTTCATTCTTAATAATGTTGAATGTCTTTTCCTATGTTTATTTTTCTATGTTTATCAGTTATTTGTAGTTCTTCCATGAATTGCCTTTTCATTTCCTTTTTCCACTTTTTATTGGGTTGCTTTCTTTTTATCAATTTGGAGTAGTTCCTTATACATTTTGCTTATTAATGCTTTGTCTGAAGTTTCTTTTTGAATATGGGATAAGTTAAGGATAACATAGCTAGCCAATTGAACTAATTGTCCTTATTGAATAATTCCTCCCTTTCTCACTGAGTTGAAATATATACGTATATGAATCTGTTTTTGGACTGTGTTCCATCTAATGCTGTGCTAGTTTCACAGTGTTTTATTTATTGTGGCTTGTAGCTGGTTGGTGAAGAAGGATGGGAAGAATGTTTGGTGGTGTGTTTTCATGTGCAAAAGTGTGTTTTCATGTGCAAAAGCCTAGAGACAGGAGAAAACGGCAAGGGACTGAAGGAAGGCCAGAGGCTAAGGAAGGAACGAGGGCCTGAGGAAGAGGGGGAATGACGCTGGAGCACAGGTTTGGCTCAGATCATACAAGACCCCACGGGCCATTTTCAAATTTGGATCTTTATTCTTAGAGCCATGGAAAGATTTTAACCAGAGAAGTGACATGATCAGACTTATATTTTTTGAAGCTTTCTTTGGATTTCTGCTTCTGGCTATGATGGAGTAACTGGTACTAGGCTAGCCCTCCCACCATAAACTGCTATACAACATGACAAAATAGATGAGACAACTATTTTCAGGCAGTGAACAATAGGTAGCACAGAACTACTGATCCCAGACAGAGGGAAACTCATGAGGTGAACCCCATGATCACCCAACTTTCTGTCTTAGAACTACTTCCAACCATGGCACAGATAGCTGGAGTCCATGTAGAGCACAGTGGTCCCACGGAGTGGAGGATGTGGAAATCAGGGTTCAGAGCAGCGGAAGCAGATAGATCGTGCGGGGTGAGATACAGAGAGGAGGGAGTTGTATAAGAGCGTACACGAGTACATGGATAGGTCCCTTGTAAGCCGAAGGTTGAGAGGCAAGCTGAACATGAGCTAGGTGAGATCACTCAAGGGTTATAAGATAGTGGCTACTGTGGGGTTGAGAGTGGAACAGTGTCCCGGCGGGATCCTGGGACATACAAAGGACACTAGAAAAAAAAAAAAGAAAATCTGAGTAAGTATGGACGTCAGTTAATAATGTATCAATATTAGTTCATTAATTGTGACAAACTATCATAGAGTAACGTAAGATGTTAACAGTAGAGGTGTTGTGTACCCCTGTGGTAGAAAGATTGAAGGGTCTTATGTACCCCTATTGGGTGTGGGGTATATAGGAACTCTTTAAAAAAGAGTTTGATCTACCATGGTAGAGAATTTATTCTTTCCATAGAAATGATGGAATTCTTAGATGAAGAAGCATTCGAAGAGAAGTCAACCAAAACATATAGGAAGAAGAAAGTATCATAGATGTGTATCAGGAAGTTAATTGATAAATATTCTCTCTGGGGGAAAAAAAAAGCTACTTCTGCTTGCATCTTACACAATTGCACGTGTACATTTTTGCTGGAAAACAATCAGAAGTCCTATTTTGTTACTTAGAATGTTATAAAGTCATGTACTCGAGAGTTGAGATATAATGAAATTAATAATTTTTACTGTTGTTATCAAGTACATTCTTAAATGAAACTGGCTTTTTTTAAAATTTATTTTCAATTTTTGAGTGTGTGGAAAAGTACAATGACTGCTAGCACAGTTTGGTGCCACTGCTTTGATATGTGCTGAGGCCTCAGCAATTTTACTCACTATTGCTCCTGCATCATTGCGCAAATGACAATATGGTGAAAATAGCAAAGAATACTCAAGTGTTATCATGAAAATAGTTTTGACCTCACACATCCCTGAAAGGGTCTCAGTGAAGCATCAAGGGTCCATAGATCTTGCTTTTAGAACCACTGGGTAACAGCAGGTATCTGGAGTTTATGTAAGATGAAGGAAGGCAAGACTCTACAAATACTTTATGCTTTTAGACTTATCCCATTCATAAGCCTATTAGTTCTGCTCCATCCACCGCCCCCCCAAGGCAGAGATTATTAGACTGAATAAAAAACAAGACTTTCTTACACGATGCCCGTAAGAGATGCATTTTAAATATCAAGAGCCAGGTAGGCTGGTAAAAGGATGGGGTAAAGATAATACCAAATAGCCCAAATGTAGAACAAACCCAAATGCTCATCAGCAGGGTAATGGATGAACACGCTTGGTTACAGACATAGCATGGAATGCTACTCAGCAGTGAAAACAACAGGCTACTGATACGCACCATGACATGGATGAATCTCATAGATGTTTTATTGAGTGAAATAAGCCAGACACAATAGTGCCTACTATATATTTCCATTTATATGAAGTTCCAGCACAAGCAAAACTAATTTATAATGATAAAACTCAGATTCTTCGTTGCCTGGAACCAGGCATGGTAGAAAGATTGAATAAAAGGGCATGAGGGAGCTTCCTGGGTGCTGCCAATATTCTCTATCTTGATTGGGTGGTGGTTACCAGAATGGAGTTATTTGTCAAAACTCATTCACCTGGATGCTTAAAATAGGTGAATTTTATTGCATGTAAAGTATACCTCAGTAAAGTTGATTTTTTTAAAAAGCTTTCTCTGAGGGTGGGTGCAGTGGCTCACGCTTATAATCCCAACACTTTGGGAGGCCAAGGCAAAAGGATCACTTGAGAGCAGGAGTTCGAGTCTAACTTGGGCAATACAGTGAGACCCTATCTCTAAAAAATAAAAATAAATAAATACATAAATGAAAAGCTTTCTCTGGATGCAGAATGGAGAATGGATTGGCAAAAGCAATGAGTAGATGTAGGAATTCTAGTGTGGAGCCTATTGCCATAATCCAGGCGAGAGACAATGATGGCTTGGACTCTAGTAATAGCAGTGGAAATATAAAGGGTAAAGGGTTTGGAGATGTGTGAGATGTAAAATGGTGATGGTATGGACATGGGTTGTGACGGAAAGAGAGGAGGTAGGGATGCTCCCTGGGTTTCTGATTTGTAATCTAGTTGGGTGCTGGTGGCAATCTCTGAGAAAAGAACATGAGGAGGGTTAAATTTGTTGTGTTGGGATCTAGGGAGGCCTTACATTTAATTTTGGATGCATTAGATTCAAGGTGCCTGTGAGAAAGTCAAGTCTTTATACTTAGAAAGTAGTTGGATATACAGGTCTGAAAGTTGAGCTGAGACATCAGTTTGTGAGCCATAAACAGGTGGTAACTGAAGGCGTAGGAATGGATGAGCTCATCTAGGAAGAGAGACTAAGTTGGGAAGAAGTGATCTTGAGTTGAGCTTCAAAGAGCCTCTCACCTTTTCAGGCAGAGGAAGAGGAATAAGAAAATTGGACTGAAAAGTAATGGCCACTGAGATGTGGGCAGCCAGGAGAATGTGTTATCACTTGAATGTTACCCATTCATTATCTGGTTTCCCGATACATTATGTTGTTTTCTTTCTTTATTTTTTTTATTCTTTTTATTTTTTAGATAGAGTCTTGCACTCTCGCCTAGGCTGGAGTGCAGTGGCACCATTTCGGCTCATGGCAAGCTCTGCCTTCCGGGTTCACGCCATTCTCCTGCCTCAGCCTCCTGAGTAGCTGGGACTACAGGCACCCACCACCATGCCCGGCTAATTTTTTGTGTTTTTAGTAGAGATGGGGTTTCACTGGGTTAGCCAGGATGGTCTCGATCTGACCTCGTGATCTGCCCGCCGCAGCCTCCCAAAGTGCTGGGATTACAGGCATGAGCCACTGCGCCCGGCCTCTACAGCCTCTTTAAAACTACTTAATGTGATCCTTTTCTCATGCCATTAAATAATGAAAAGTTGGTTTTCAGTGAGTTGTATAGCAGCAGCTTAAAAAAGCAAATAATAAAACTTTCCAGAAGCAAACACACCCTGTTGAGCAGGTGGTTTACAGTACCACCCAACTGCCTATGCCTTTTTTTTTTTTTTTTTTTTTTGAGACGGAGTCTCACTCTGTTGCCCAGGCTGGAGTGCAATGGTGCCATCTCTGCTCACTGCAACCTCCACCTCCCGGGTTCAAGCAATCCTCCCACCTCACCCTCCCAAGTAGCTGGGATTATAGGCACATGCCACCACACCTGGCTAATTTTTGTATTTTTAGTAGAGTCGGGGTTTCACCATGTTGGCCAGGCTGATCTCGAACTGATCTCAAGTGATCCACCCACCTTGGCCTTCCAGAGCGCTGGGATGACAGGAGTGAGCCACCGCGCCCGGCCTGTTTCCTGGTTCTTGGTCGGGGCAGCAGATATAAGACACATCATGACGTTGATACTGTGACAGGAGCCACTTCACTCAGGAAGCCTCCCCGAGGCGCATTTTCCTAGGACGTAGTCTGTCTAGCTCTGAGACGCTAGAGTTGATGGATCCTGCTGGGAAGAGAGCGCAGATCTAAACAGAACAGGGCGCTTGTGGCCACAGGTCGTCTCTGTCTGGATCACATCAGTGTTTTGCCCACCTTTGTTGTCACTCAAACTCCTGACCTCAAGTGATCCGCCCACCTCGGCCTCCTAGAATGCTGGGATTACAGGTGTGAGCCACCATGCCCACTGGCTTTCATTACTTTCACTCTCCTCCAGCTCTCATATTTACTGTCCCCGTCTTCTGTGCTTTACAAATTCTCTAACCAGTTGTGGCCAAACCTGGTGCTGAATAGATTCATACTTTTTCAGCTTAACCCAAGCCTAGGTTCCCTAAGGCTACGTCCAGTCCTGCTACGTGCTCTGTTTTGAGTTTCACCTGTGCCTGCTTCTCTGCCCTAGAAGAGAAGATGGGATCATCTGTGCTGCTTCTTCAACCTTAAAATGGATTTCTTGCCCTTTTCTCCCTTTTTAAGTATCAATGTATGAAATCCACCTGTACCACCCTTTCTGCCATACAACCGCTGCCACATCTGGCTCCTAGAACCTGTTTTGCTTTCATAGATGGATCTCGGAACCAAGTGTTAACTTCATTTTTAAACCCCATTTTAGCAGATGGTTTGCTGTGGTCTGTCTGTATTCACCATGGGGCCTGTACACACCACGTGTGGTTTTAGTCAAACACAGTGCCCTCCATTGTGGCCACATGGGAGACCCATAACCCAATACTGCATCCTGGGCTGATGACAGCACTGCATCTGACCAGACATGGGATTGACCCGGGGTGGGCAAGCGGAGTGAACAGGATCAGCCAGAGTTCTCTCATGGCATTCATTGTATGGAGACTGGTAGGGACAAGGTCCTTTCCAGTTTTGGACCCCAAGCTGTAAGGAGACAGTTTGGGCCTGCTATTTGGCATCTTTCCTGGCACCTGGAGAGAGTGTACCATTTAGGATGCTTCCGGCTGCAGCAATAAGGACACGTTATCTTACATGATTTAAAGCCTGAAAACAAGCAGTTTAGATAGTTTAACAGCTCAACAGTGTCACTGGGGCTCTTTCCATTTTTCTGTTTCTTTATCCTCGGCTTACTGACCTAGTCCTCACGTTGGTTCTCATGGTTGCCAGAAGGCTGCTGCTGCCTGAGAAGCAGAAATATCAGTCAAATTAGAAGGGAAGGTGGAATTCCAGAGATATTGTAAATATAGAACTGGCAGCTGTGCTCTTCATGGGCAGGGCGTGTGTCATATTCTGTACTTATTTTGTGACCTCCACAAATAAGTATCTAGTGTTCAGCATCTAATGGCTGCAGAATAAATAATGAATGAATGAAGCGATCCTGAGTGGAGAGGAGAGTGGCACGTGCAAATATTTTCCAAGTTACCTGCCAGGCCAGGCCAGACTGGGACAAATGGACGTATCCAGAGGGCACTTGGGTGGTTGGGAAAGAGTTAAAATGAGGAAAGATGTTTCAGGAGAAAGAAGAAATGCCAGTTCCTGAGGGGGTATTGTGCCCTTGTCCTCCTCTCTTGGGGAGGAGAAGGCTCCCGAGAAGACAGAGCTGACAGTCAATTAGGAACTGAGGGTTCACAGCCCAGCTTCTTCACCACCAGCCCAAGTCTAAAGAAACTCACAAATCTGCTAGTGAGTCACCACCTCCCTCTCCTCTGAGCAACTGTAAGATACCTAGTAGTAGCCCTGCCCTATCCTGGAATTAGCCAGAACGTCCTCATGTAGCCTACCAAGACCGCTTCTGGCCCTGTAATCACCAGTGTGCATTTGAATTCTGACTCCACTATATATCAGATGTATGGGTTTGGGTCAGTTACCCAATCTCATTAAGTTACTGTTTTCTTATCTGTAAAACCCTGTATCTCATGTAGATAATGTATTCCCTGCTTAGCACAGTCCCTGCACAGAATGTGTAGTCAGCTATGATGGTGCTGGTGGTGGCAGCAGCAGTGGCAGCTTTCAAAGGCTGATCTGCTCTCAAGCTCGAGACAACACATGAATGAAAATAATAGCTTTGTGCTAGAAATGCTCTTTGGGAGTTGAGGCTGGCATGTTCTGCGGGTCCAACTACAGGAAAGATGAAATTTAAGAATGGAAAACCAGGAGATTCAAAATAGAATGTGTGCATTGTGTGTAAATAGTAGAAGAAATGGGTGAGTATCAACTAAGAAGTTTAAAGAAAGCCCAGTGAAGTTGTGTTAAGGAATCTGGGACTCAAGAAAACTGGAGGGACTCAGGAGCAGCCACTTCCTATCCCAGGATCCACAAGAAGGTCCCCCACAGTAGCTTTTTAAGCTTTGGAGTCACAAGTGTGCATTTAAATTCTGACTCCATCATTGGGAGTCCCCATTTCTGACTCCTCATGGGGAAAGAGGCCGGTTTTACAAATATCTCTTTTAAGAGCCAAGGAAACGCCATCAGTGTTCTTTCCATATATCATCAACTTAAATTTGCAAAGACTTCTTTATCCCTGAAGCAGTCACCACTGGCCGACAGGCTGCAGTAACCAAGTCTGGTGCAGATAAACAGAGCCCATCCTGGGAGCTGGAGTGCATGGATGTCGGAGGGTCATGTTTTCCAAACTGTGGAAGAAAAAACAAAAAGCTATGTTCTTCCAGGAGGTATTTAGAACGGAGCTTGAGTTTGGGATTCAGATGCCTGGGCCTGTGTAGTTCACTTGTGGGGCACCCCAGCAGGGGCCTCCTAATGGAAAATGCATCCTGAGAGAAGGAGTTAATTATAAGCTTAGCTACACCTCAGAATTTCAGGGTCAGAGTGGGAAAGTGGGTCTAAATAGGCCAGAATCTGTCACTAGGAGCTGCTCTCAAGCCAGCTTCCATGGCGTCATGGAGCTTAAGGGAGAAAAGGCGCTCTGAGTAAAGAGAATGAGCAGTTTCAGTAACATTAGAGGGACACATTGTACTAAGCATCCTTGCTCTGGGCTTCATCTAACAAACAATATATTATACTTCATTACCAGGCAACCTGGGCACCATTTGGACTGCAGGGCATCAGAGGCAGCAATGATAGGAAAAGAAGGTGCCCAGTGGAAGACAGTGCCCCAGGGACTCCAAGAAACACTGAGAGGAGGGGTTGGGCAGATCCGAGACCCTTGCTTAGTACACAGGGAAAGGAGCTGCGAAATATGAATGTTGCCTATAAATGTGACAGGCTTCTGGGGAAGTTGGGGTTTCTTACATTTTAGAGAGAGGAGGGTGATCCTTGGCCAGCTCCTTGTCTCACAGCTTAAGAGAACTCGCTGGAAGGAGCCTTCACCTCCTCAAATCCTGCTGTGTTTGTACCCATAAGATTAGCATACAAGTTCCTTTGCATTTGCATGATGTGTTCACTTTCATTTTCTCACAAACTGTAAGGTTTTTGTAAGGTTGTTGTAAGTTTATTGGAGCAGATACTACATCCCCATTTTAGAGGAGGAAACAGATTCAGAGAGGTAAGCTACTTACAAAGGTCACACAGCTAAAAGGTGCTGGGATCAGGACTCTGACCACTTGACACTTCTAACTCCAGATTTTCTTTCTGACCATATTGGGAGCCCTCCATAACATCTACCATTTACCAGGTCTTCTGATTAATATGCCTGTTTCCTTCCTACTAAAATACTCTTGACAAGGCAGTGGTTATTTTGCTCTCACGGAGGCAATAGCCCCCTCTGTGTTCTTTTTTTTTTTTTTTTTTTTTTTTTGAGATGGAGTCTCGCTCTGTCGCCCAGGCTGGAGTGCAGTGGCACGATCTTGGCTCACTGCAAGCTCTGCCTCCCAGGTTCACACCATTCTCCTGCCTCAGCCTCCCAAGTAGCTGGGACTACAGGCGCCTGCCACCACGCCCGGCTAATTTTTTGTATTTTTAGTAGAGATGGGGTTTCACCGTGTTAGCCAGGTTGTTCTCAATCTCCTGACCTCGTGATCCACCCACCTCGGCCTCCCAAAGTGCTGGGATTACAGGTGTGAGCCACCGCGCCCGGCCCCTCTGTATTCTTTCGAGCATTCTTGTTGCTTTGTTTGCTTCCTGAGTCTATGCACCATGATTGGAGGAGGGCTGCCTCTCATCCCAGGAAACCCACGTACAGATGTTAGGCTTCCTCCATGCAGACAATCAGGGGTATAGAAATATGGAGTGTTTAACCATCTGGTTTTCAGCAGTGAGGTGGAAATCAAAACCATTTGAGCAAATGAGTGTCCTAGGGGAAGTGGAATGAAGAATTGAGCTTCAGTGGCTGCTGAGACATAAGCCATCCCTAGCGGACTTGGCTGAGGCAGACTATGTTGTTTATAGAGGAACCGGCTCATTGTCCTCTGGCCCTGGCCACAGCAATCGAGGGAGGGGCACATTTTTTGGCCCTTGAATGAACAATGCTTTTTCCTTCCTTTGTTGAGGGGTCTAGGTCTGTGGTCCTTACTTATTGTTTAAAAAAAGAAAAAACAAACCTCTGAGTAAATATTGGGAAGGTGAAGGGTGGAGGGGATGGTTTTCTGAGATTCTTTCCAACACTGAAGGGCTATATCTCACTAGTAAAAACAAGAGGACCCTCACCCTCACCCTGTAACTTGTTGCTACCTGAAGGTGTCTGTTCGCTTACCTACCTGTGTGCTCCTGCCCAGCAAGCCCGGCCTGCCCTGCCCTGGCCATTGGCCTTGCTGAGCTGCTTCTCAGTGCCCTGGAGGCATTCACACCTGGCCTGAGATAAGTCTGCCCTTTTTGAAGGTGAGTGCGGCTCCCTGGAATGTGTGGTATCCCAGCAAATAGCAAGATTAGAGGTGCCCATTTTGACTGGGAGCTGGACAGCTGCCCAAGTTCTAGAAAACCAGCAGTGCTGAAACAACAATTGGCTCAGGGCCTCAGGGGAGCCGGCCTGGGAAACCATCTCCTGTCCCAGGGCAAGAGAACATTTGTTACAGATTTTTTAAAGATTTACTTCATTTATTATGTGTAGGTTGTTTTGACATTTTTAGGCATAAGCCATAAAGGTAACTAGAGTTAGATTTGTGTGATTATTTGGGTTTCATACCAATGTTAGAGTTATTACAGAGGTTGATATGGAGATTCAACAAAGCATAGTTCAAATGTGCTATGTGCCGCATAAAATGTCACGCCCTTGTGTCTGGAATTTACTGAGAGTCATTTGAGATGTGGTCAAATTCTTGAGCTCTCCATTTCCAGGGCATTGCAGACTCCCCCAAGTAGGTTTCTAGGTGGTCTAGCTGCTAATTCTGGCCCCGTAAGCTTGGGTGGTCTGAGAAGTGATCAAAGCGGTGCCCGTGCACCACAGCCACACCTCACTGGAAGACAAAAGAGAACCCTAGAACAGCCCAGGACTAGACCTTCGGAGACTTAGGGAAGAAATGACCGTGGTGCACCTCCTTAGCTGGCAGATGTCCGTCGCTAAGGGCATAGTTGAAGCTGACTTCGGTGTTTTCTTCATCCAGTAGTGGGGTCCTTCAGGCTGTGTGCCAGGTACTGAGCTGGCAATCTCGTCTCTGTACCAACTGGTGTGTCCTCCTGTCTTTGTGAAGGGAAGGTACACGCAGTGCCCTGGGACAGCCCCTCCTTCTTGCGGAGGAGCCGTCATTACAACAATCGTGTTCTGAGACTAGGAGCAACGGCCCTTAGTGTCTGTAATCTGCTGTTTGTCTCACCTTTATTTCGTTCCTTTGTTAGTGGTAATTAATTACCAAAGTGATCCAAGAGGCCATCTTCTTCTTTTAGGAGAAAGACAGGGCTGGAGACCAGTTTGCTGATAGTGACCCCAAACCAGAAAGTTCATTGGGCCTGCACCTCCAGGTAAGCCAGTAAAATTCTGGGCTGGTTTCTAGAGGAGTGATGCGACTTCCAGCTCAGTGGTTCTCAGACTTTGAGATTTTACGAGAAAAATTGCAAAGTGAATTTGGAGGACTGACTTAGATGTCACTCTTCCGGACATTCCCAATCCTACACTCATTACTATTATTTCAGAAAAGATAAGACCTTTAATTCCAGAAAAGGAGGAAGGACACAATCTCAATAAAGTACAGTCCCATAAATCAATCAAATTCAGGGTTACGATCAGTTTATGATATTATTTTTATTTTTCTCAGTCTGATGGGCTGATTTGTCTTGAAGTCTGGTGGACAAATATTACCTGTGTTTGTGAATCATAGCTCTGTGTGACTCAGCAGAGACACAAATGAGGAAAAAAATCCAGTGAGATTTTTGAAGAGACAAATGAAAGGCTGTTTTGGCTTAGCAAAAACGCTTGGATAGCTTCTTTAGCCAGAAACTGCTAGAGAGAGTCTTTGGGTTAAGAAAGCTCTTCTTACTTGAGTTAACCTAGAGTCCTGAGAATGATGGCCTTAAACCCCTAAACCAGGAGGGAACCTGTTGGCAGGCATTGCTTATATCCTTTCAGAGGACATAACTTTCAGAGTTTGTCCATTGGTGGGATTATTTGTCAAGACTCAACAGGATGAAAGATGAATACTTACCTACCTACTGCCAATTGCCTACCACATATCTTGGTAGCATTTGAGTCATCAGAATTCTGGGTGGGGATTCCTCCCTCAATTCTGGAAAGGAATCCTGAACCACACCTTGACCTCACATTCCTGGTGGTAGGTTTGGTTTAGGAAAAAAGAATATCTAGGTGAAGTTACATTTGTTTTGTGAAGGCAAGAGAGACACTTCATTTTATGCAAGAGATACTTCATTTTAGCCCCTGAATGCTTGGGGTTAAGAGGAAGCCAATGATGTCCAATCAACACCTGATGAACCTGAGGCATTTTTTCCACGGGGCATTTAAGCAAGCTGTAGGCATAGTCAGTAGGATTCTCAATTCTTAAGTTTGGAGGTTGGGATTTCTGTTGAATGCAGACTCCAGGTGTGAGGAAGGAAATTCAGATGCATGCTACGATATGAATGAACCTTGAAGACATTATGCCAAGTGAAATAAGCCAGTCACAAAAAGACAAACACTGTATGATTTCACTCCTATGAAGTGCCTAGAGTAGTCACAATTATAGACAGAAAGTAGAACGGTAGCTTCCAAAGGCTGGAGGGGGAGAGGGAATGAGGAGTTATTGGTTAATGGCTACAGTTTCAGTTTTGCAAGATGAAAAGAGTTGTGGAGATAGATGGTGGTGACAACTGCACAACAGTGTGAATGTACTTAAAGCCACTGAACTGTACACTTACCAATGGTTATAATGAGCCAGGCACAGTAGTGTGCACCTGTAATCCCAGCTACTTGGGAGGTGGAGATGGGAGGATCACTTGAGCCCAGGAGTTCAAGGCTGCCGTGAGCTGTGATCACACCACTACAATCTAGCCTGGGCAACAGAGGGAGACCCTGTCTCAAAGACAAACAAACAAACAACCCAGCCTGGGCAACATAACAAGATCCTGTCTTTTAATAAAAGCAGTTAAGATGGTAAATTTTATGTTATTTGTATTTTATGTGTATTTATCTGTATTTTATCACAATTAAAAATAAAAATAAATCCAGATGTGGGTGGTGACCATAGGGTAGGTGGCAAGCATTCAGAGGCTGGATGCAGTGGCTCACACTTGTAATCCCAGCAGTTTGGGAGGTTGTGAAGGGAGGATTGCATGAGCCCAGGAGTTTGAAACTCACCTGGGCAACATAGTGAGACCCCATCTCTACAAAAAATTTAAAAACTTACAAATTAGCCAAGTGTGGTGGAGCACTTGTAGTCCCAGCTACTTGGGAGGCTGAGGGCTGAGGTGGGAGGATCACTTGAGCCTGGGAGGTTGAGGCTGCAGTGAGCTGTGATTGCACCACTACGTTACAGCCTGGGCGACAAAGTTTTGAGACCCTGTTTCAAAAAACAAAAACCAAACCAACCAAATAAAAAACAAAGAAGGCATTCAGAGGTAGAACGTTCTGAGAATAACAGAGCTGGGGTAGAGGGGGAGGCTGGGAGCCAGAAGCGTTAAATCTTCTGTCACTAAGGGGAATGACTGGGAGGCTGTAGAAGACAGCCAGGAGGAGAGGAGGCGTGGTATTTTGGGGCACATAAGGGGAGCAGGGTTTGCAAAGGGGCTGGGGAGGGGCGATGGTCTAGATGTTGTGATGGGGGCTGAGGAGGACTCCCATCCACCTAGGCATAGGAAATGAGAGAAGGAGCTACACGGGTTGAGAGGTGGCAGGAGAAATTGTCTTTGGGGGACATTCAAGTTTTGGTTAAGACAAGGAGCAAAGCAGAATCCGAGGAGAGACAGAGTATCAAGATGCCCCAGGGCTCAGTGGGAGCAAAGTGGGGTGGTGACTGTAGAGCCTTTGAAGCAATAGGGAATTTGAGTTCAAAAGAATCATGTGACTTTCTAGCCTCAATATTTGGGTGCTGGGGGTTTGAGCATGGGCATTTGAGACTTGATGGGATGTGTCACTGTCCCTGGAAGCAGGATCAGAGCTTGGGCCTAGTGGTGTTCTGCTTTGAGGGTTGGCATTAGAGGGGACTTAGAAGTTGTGGTGAATTTTGTGGTCCCAGAGGGCTGAAGATGAGCCTCCAGAGGGGCCACCACTCCTAATCCCATGCCCCTGCCAAATATCCCAACCTGAGCATGATGCCGTCTCCCATTGAGCTCGGACATGCACTTAGACCCCACCGCAACATAATTCCTCAGAGGGCCAAACTAGAAATTGATTTACCGGCCCTGACTTAGGACAACATACTCATTTCATGGACAAGGAAACTAAGGTTAAGTGGGGACACGCGTTGGGCGCGGTGGCTCACACCTGTACTCCCAGCACTTTGGGAGGCCGAGGCGGGCAGATCACGAGGTCAGGAGATTGAGACCATCCTGGCTAACACGGTGAAACCCCGTCTCTACTAAAAATACAAAAAATTAACCAGGCATGGTGGTGGGTGCGTGTAGTCCCAGCTACTCGGGAGGCTGAGGCAGGAGAATGGCATGAACCCGGGAGGCAGAGCTTGCAGTGAGCCGAGATCATGCCACTGAACTCCAGCCTGGGCGACAGAGCGATACTCCGTCTCAAAAAAAAAAAAAGAGAGAGATCAAATGATTGGCACAGGCCAGGCTAGGGCCCACATTCCCATTTCCTGTTTTCCACACCACTGTGGAATGTCTGCTAGCTCAGGACTTCAGTGGGGCATTGATGAAGGGCTGAGCACTCCCATGAACTGCTCTAAAAGGGTTAGCCATAGAGAAGCAGGTATGAAACAATTCATGAGAGAAGAAAGGGTGGGAATGAGATAGGGAGGGAAGGAATGAGGAAGAAGTGAGCCACGTGGAAACCCAAGCAGGATGTATGCCTTCTGATTTCTACTGAAGCTGTAGAAAGGGCCAGGCAGGGCAACTACCTTTTCTTCCCCATTCTCAGAGAGATCAGAGGCCCTATGGTATGCGGGTGGACCAGTTCAGCCTCCAGTACCAGGTCACTCTGAAAAAGGGATTAAAAGGAAAGCCACCTGTCCATTAATACTGGAGAAAACACTGACAATGGTCTGGACTGGGAGAAGCCAGTCCTCCTGGCTGGAGACATGAAAACCATGAAATTAAATTCCAGAGCTCTGACAGAAGCCTGTATGGCTTTGTGTGGTCTCTGACAAGCTACATTTTTTTTTTTCAATTTTTAAAAAGGACTCAAAATATAAGGACTTCAATGACGGGACAGCTATTCATCTTTCCCCATCTCATAGTGCTGTGGGATAATTAAGGAATCAAAGAGACCAAGGGATTGAGGAGGATACTTATTATTTATTATTTAGGTGCACTGGCCCAGTCAGATTAACATCCAAAAAGACTGAGCCCGAACAAATAGTCTGGTTACCTTTTAAGCATTTTATGGGGCAGGGGGAGATCTGTGCAGGGGGAAGCATATTACAGAAGCGAGAAACAAAGACAGTTATTCAATTAAGACATGCATTACATCATTTCTTACTTTTCAAGGAAAAAACATGTTTTACAACTTGAGTTTATCTGCCTAGTGACCTTGCAGCTGCAGAGCTAGAGAAACAGCGTCTTCACAATGCCTGGGAAAGGGAGAGAAAAGGCTCACTGGCCACAGAAAAACAAGCAGTTAATTTTTAAAGGACTTCAGCTCTTTCTCTTCCTCAGGGGGAATTGGGTTTTCTTACATACAATGAATTTTTGCTTACACGTTCTTTAATTTCTTTTAATTCCTTTTCCAGTAGAACTGGACCTGAGGCAGCTAGGAATAGGATGCATGTTTCTGACCCTGGCCAGGATCAGAAAGAAGGAAACCTCTCCTGAGGGTCTTCAGCAGTGGAAGAGGGCAGTCAGGACAGGGACAGTGAGGAAACGTTACATCGCTAAAAAGGGCTACTTATGCGTATTCTATGCGTGGTTGAAAATAAACAGCACTGTGTCTGGAATGAATTTGTAAAGTCTTCGGTGCCTTCTAACTCTGAGTAGTCACTAGGTCTCTCGGATTTCTGAAAAGTACTAGTCAGTGACAAGAAACATCCCTGTGTTTATTTAGTTTAATCCAAATCCTATAGAACTCACCGCAGGGATGCAGAGCCATAGGGAGTGTAATATCTTGGAACCATCCTAATGCCTGATCCCTGGGGCTAGGTGGATCTGACCCCTCCCCCTCCACCCAATCTCTCTCTCTTCCATTCGCCTTCCAAATTCATTTGAGTTCAAATGTATCTGATTAAATAATCCCAGGGAAAACTGTAGAAAGCTCTAGAATTTGGGGTTCAGGTACCCTGGAATAATCCTGGATTCCTTTGTATCCATCTGCAAACGCTGGGTACACTGTGTACCCCCGTCCAGGGGTCATGCCTCGCAGCCTCTTTCTTCTAAGGAGCTAGAGGCTTCCAAGCTCATGCCCTGACCGTGTGTTACGGGCTGAATTGTGTCTCCTTCCCCTACAAATGTGTATGTTGAAATCTTTGCCCTTAATACCTCAGATGTGACTGTATTTGGGGAGAAAGTCTTTAAACAGGTAATTGAGGGTGGGCCCTAATCTAGTCTTACTGGTGTTCTTATAAGAAGAGGAGATTAGGACACAGATACGTACAAAGGGAAGACCATGTGAAGACATAGGAGAAGCCATCTGCAAGCCAAGGAGAGAGGCCTCAGAAGAAAGCATCCCTGCCAGTGACTTGATCCAGCTTCTAGAACTGTGAGGAAATGAGTTTCTGTTGTTGAAGCCAACCAGTGTATGGTTCTTTGCTATGGCAGCCCTGGCAAGCTCACACACCATGCGTCTTACTGTGTTTGTGTTGCTGTAAAGGAATACCTGAGGGGGTGGGGGTAACGTATAAAGAAAACAGATCTTTTGGCTCACGGTTTTGCAGGCTGTACAAGAAGCATGGTGCTGGCATCTGCTTCTGGTGAGGGCCTCAGGCCGCTTCCATCCACAGTGGAAGGGGTAGGGGAGCTGGAGTGGGCAGGTCACATGGAGAGAGAGGAATTAAGAGAGGGGGTGGTGCCAGGCTCTTTTTTAACAATCAGATCTTGTGGCAGCTAATATTGATAGAACGAGAACTCACTCATCACTGTGGGGATGGCACCGAGCCGTTCATGAGGGATCCACCCCTATGACCCAAACACCTCCCACCAGGCCCCACCTCCAGTATTGGGGATCAAATCTCAGCATGAGGTTTGTGGGAACAAGTGTCTCAACTATAACACCATGTCTAGGAATGTTTCGTTAAGTGGGCAAAAGGGCTGTTAACCTGAAGGGAGCATTCTGTGGAAGGAGACAAGTCTTCCCTGACCCTCCTGATCTCCACTGAGTACCCACGTGATGTTCATCTCCACGAGTGTGACGGACATTACTGGAATGTTCAGGAAGATGATATGGAAAAGTCAGCATCAGAAGTATGCATCCTGGCTGGGCACAGTGGCTCATGCCTGTAATCCCAGCACATTGGGAAGCCCAGGCAGGCAGATCACCTGAGGTCAAGGGTTCGAGACCAGCCTGGCCAACATGGTGAAACACTGTCTCTACTAATAATACAAAAATGAGCCAGGCGTGGTGGTGGGTGCCTGTAATCCCAGCTACTCAGGAGGCTGAGGCAGAAGAATCACAAACCCAGGAGGCGGAGGTTGCAGTGAGCCAAGATCCCACACTGCACTCCAGCCTGGGCGACAGAGTGAGACTGTGTCTCAAAAAAAAAAAAAAAAAAAAAAAAAAGGTGGGCACCGTGGCTCACCTGTAATCCTAGCACTTTGGGAGGCCGAGGCGGGTGGATCACGAGATCAGGGGTTCAAGACCAGCCTGGCCAAGATGGTGAAACCCCGTCTCTACTAAAAATACAAAAAAAAAAAAAAGAAATTAGCCGGGCACGGTGGCAGGTGCCTGTAATCCCAGCTACTCGGGAGGCTGAGGCAGGAGAATCACTTGAACTCGGAGGGCGGAGGTTGCAGTGAGCCGAGATCACACCACTGCACTCCAGCCTGGGTGACAGAGTGAGACTCTGTCTCAAAAAAAAAAAAAAAGAAAAGAAAAGAAACATGCATCCTATTCCTAGCTGCCTCATGTCCAGTTCTATGAGATGGGAGTAGATGAATGGCTGTCCTGGTGTTGAAGTCCTTACATTTTACTTCTCTTTAAAAATGAAAACAAAAAAAAATGTCGCTTGTCAGACCACACAAAGCCACACAGGCTTATAACAGAGCTCAGGAATCTTCTGTCCTTTCCAGAGCAGGCACAGAGACACGTGGTCTTCAGCAGAGCCTATGGGGTTCAGATGATTCACATAAGAATAGAAGTTTCAGGGCTGGACCTGGGGAGGCAGCCTGAGCCTGAGCCGGCTGTCCTGAGCCTGAGTACTCTAGCTGCCTTGTCGTCATCGCATCTGGCTGCCATCCAGCGCCAGCACACAGTAATGAGTGGCCGAGCTTCCTCTGGGAGGGAGGAAACAGTTAAAATCTTGCAGCAGCTGCAATCATCTAGGCGTGGTTCTCTTGTCTGACTTGGGCTGCACAGATCCTGGGCCAAGGGACAGAAGAAAGACAGCCTAGGAGCAGAGCCTCCCAGATGGCTGAGTTGGATCTAATGGCTCCAGGGCCACTGCCCAGGGCCACTGCTCAGCCCCCAGCCCCTCTCAGCCCAGACTCTGGGTCACCCAGCCCAGATTCTGGGTCAGCCAGCCCAGTGGAAGAAGAGGACGTGGGCTCCTCGGAGAAGCTTGGCAGGGAGACGGAGGAACAGGACAGCGACTCTGCAGAGCAGGGGGATCCTGCTGGTGAGGGGAAAGAGGTCCTGTGTGACTTCTGCCTTGATGACACCAGAAGAGTGAAGGCAGTGAAGTCCTGTCTAACCTGCATGGTGAATTACTGTGAAGAGCACTTGCAGCCGCATCAGGTGAACATCAAACTGCAAAGCCACCTGCTGACCGAGCCAGTGAAGGACCACAACTGGCGATACTGCCCTGCCCACCACAGCCCACTGTCTGCCTTCTGCTGCCCTGATCAGCAGTGCATCTGCCAGGACTGTTGCCAGGAGCACAGTGGCCACACCATAGTCTCCCTGGATGCAGCCCGCAGGGACAAGGAGGTGAGTGCTTGGGGACCATTCATCCATTTGGGAGAGGGCGGTGGGGGATGGTGTGCCCAGCTGGCTGCAGCTGCTAGGTCCACTGACGCCACTACTATGCTCTGAGCATACCTGAAAAAGACTAGCTTCAGCGTCTGCCTGCTGGGTCAGTGTAAATATACATTGCACTTGGTTTTGGAAACTGTGTGGAGTAGGTTGCTCCGTCCCCATCTCTGTCCCACTGTCTCTGTGCGATCTCTGTCTGTGTCTGTCTCTCCTCCTTCTTGCTAGTTTCCTGCTGTGCCTTATACAGCTTTTGGTGATGTGTGTTTGGGTGGAGGGTGCAGAAGTTGTGGGGGCTTAGGGCGGTGATATGTCCCTGTGGCTGGATCTGCATGGCACATCCATTGTCAATTAATGAAATAAAACCTTGGCAGAAATTCAAGAGAAAAGAACAACTCTTTCTCCCAGTTTCTCTTTTTCTCAAACAAGAGACCAGTAGAATGGGCCCCTCTGGAGATAACAGGAAATCTAAGAGCTTGAAAAGTGCTAAGATAGCAGAGAATTTGAAACTTAGGTCCAGGTATAATGTCACAGGTGGCTTAGGGATAATAAAAGTTCCTCACCAGATGGAGGTATCAGGAGAGACTAAGAAACATCATGCTCATAGCCTGTCATTTTATTTCCATCGGATAAGGAAACTGTTTCTAGAACAAGTCGTTTTTCTTTGCCTAAAGCTAGATCCTGGAGAAGTTCCTGGAAATTGGTTTGGCACCTCATATGCTTTTTTCCTTCTACTTTGACTTTCAGCGAACACTTTTAGTTTTCAGTCGGGAAGTGTAGTTGACGTTTGCCCCACATTTCCTACATTAATCATCAAGGAAGTTCCCTGTTGACACTGAGTGCAGGTGGCAGACCTATGGCCATTTCTTGGCAAATGTTCCCTGGCATCAAAGGAAAGAGGTTTCTAGGAAAGGGGGTCTACTTGCCAGGGCCCCTCCTCTCTGCCAATCCCTAGACATAGATTTTAGCTGGTGCTAGTGGGATTGTTCTGGAAACCTCTGTATTCCAGATGCCAATGAGTCACTGTTTCCGGCCCGGGAAGCCACTTGCCAAACTGTTTCCAGTGTTCCCAGGGTAGGGAGTGTCCCATCAGGAGGACAGGTAGATCAAGAAATAGATCAAAGGAAAAAGCTCCTGTAGTTGAGGAAAATAGCCTTCACTGAGTATTGCCATGTGCTGAATGCTTTTTGTGGATTTTCTCACCCAATCTTCAAATAACTATGAAGTTATCTCATATCCTCATTATCTCCACCACACTTGTCCAAGCTCATAGTCGATTAAGTCACGGAGTGAGGAATGGAAGCCTCTGGAAAGCCATCCTACTGGAGGGACATGAAGAAAGGACACAAAAATCACAATATTATCCTCTTTTTTTGCACCAAAACCTGCCACACATATACAAGAATTTTATTATTTTTAACTGGAAAAGTGATGCATGAAGATGTTAAAAAATAATCTCCACCAGCCGGGCACGGTGACTGACACCTGTAATCCCAGCACTTTGGGAGGCCGAGGCAGGCAGATCATGAGGGCAGGAGATCGAGACCATCCTGGCTAACACGGTGAAACTCTGTCTCTACTAAAAATACAAAAAATTAGCTGGGTGTGGTGGCGGGCGACTGTAGTCCCAGCTGCTAGGGAGGCTGCAGTAGGAGAATCACTTGAACCTGGGAGGCGGAGGTTGCAGTGAGCCGAGATCGTGCCACTTCACTCCAGCCTGGTGACAGAGCGAGACTCCATCTCAAATAATAATAATAATCTCCATCAAACAGTGCAATCAATTTTACTAGGAAAGGAGGGTCTCCAGTCCATCCCAGATCACCAAACCTCCGTTTTCTCCTCGAAGGCTAATACTGTCTACACTTTCTTATTTCCTTGCAGAAATGTTCTATGCCTGTACCAACAGAGATACAATATAAATTTTAAAAACAGGGCACCTAATGTATTAGAGAGATGTGGGGTAATTGCAATTCCAAGCAGGAGGAGTTGTGTAGAGCACGCGCAGAACTCTGAATTCAGACATCCTAGGAGAGAAGTGTATAAGGTAAAATGAGGACAACTGAGGAATGGGCTTGAGGGCAGTTTGGGGCTGAAAAGCAACATGGCTTTAGGTACAGTGCTAAAACCCCATTCCCCAGACCCCTCTGCTTTCTGGTCTGCTTAAAAGAGCTCTTGTCCTTTCTGTGTCCTTGTCCTGTGTCCTTGTTTTCAGCTCGGAGAGCAAGTTTACTCTGTAAGTGTAGCCACACTCTAGGTGGCTTGTCCAAATCTTAGAAGCCAAAAGGTTTCTTGCAGGGAGCCCAGGAGACCAGCCTAGAAGACACAGTACCTTGACGAGGCTAAAGCCTCCACCAGGATGATTTTGAAAGTCATCAGACATAACTAAGGCTCCGGAAGCCCAGTAGTCCCTTCAGCTAGCCCAGGCCTGCTAGAGTTACTCGCTGAAGGTCACTTTGGGTCATGCGAAGGGCTAATTACTCGGACAGGCATGCTGTGTATAGGAAACTGCAAACAGCAGGGTCAGCCATGAAGACACAAAGTGGCTGAGATCCTGCTTAGGATCCACAGAATGACTAATTTCTCAGTTAACCAAGTGAACCCTTTTTGAAGCTCCTATGGTTTCTAGCCATATCAGTGGGCAGACACTGTGTGCTTTGAGAGGTGGGTGTTCTTTGATTATCTTTTCTCTCCTGCTGAGCTTCCAGAGCCCAGCTATTTTTCATGGGGACCTCAGCACTTCCCTTTACCCCAGACCAGCATCTCCAGGCCCCTTTGTGTTTTTTTGTTTGTTTGTTTGTTTGTTTTTTGTTTTTTTTTTTTTTTGAGACGGAGTCTCGCTCTGTCACCCAGGCTGGAGTGCAGCGGTGCAATCTCGGCTCACTGCAAGCTCTGCCTCCCGGGTTCATGCCATTCTCCTGCCTCAGCCTCCCGAGTAGCTGGGACTACAGGTGCTCGCCACCACGCCCGGCTAATTTTTTTGTATATTTAATAGAGATGGGGTTTCACCGTGTTAGCCAGGATGGTCTCGATCTCCTGACCTGGTGATCCCCCTGCCTCGGCCTCCCAAAGTGCTGGGATTACAGGCGTGAGCCACCACGCCCGGCCCCCTTTGGTTTTAAGAGCAGCTGATCTTGCCTGCTGGCTGCCAAGTCTTCTCACCTTCTCTGAATCTCAGGCTTGCTATGTAGAAATGAGACTGTGTGTGTGTGTGTGTGTGTGTGTGTGTGTGTGTATGAAATCTGGACTCCTTCTATGACTGCCTTTCCTGTTTGTTCTGACCCATGAAGCAGGTATGGTTCTTTCATGTTCCTCAAGCGTATCAAATGTTACTGAGTGCTTCCTATCGCTAAGTGCTGGGCTGCACTGTCTAGCCTCCAGGAGCTTGGACTCTAATCAGGAAGCCAAGGCACATACCCTAACTCCACAGAGTGCCAAGAGGCTGGCACGGTGCAATTACTGCACCTTTGGAACCAACCCTGGGAGCGAGGTCAGTGCAGGTTCCTAAGGCAGGAAGACCTGAGCTGAGCCTTGTCCTAGATCTTTGGAGAACATTAATGCCAGGCCACGATGCTGAACCTCAGCATCAGTCCCAGAAAGTTCAGGACTGGATGCTGGCTGCAGACACAGTCTCCATGGTGAGCAAGAGCCAAGTATCTAGAGCCAAAAGTATCCACGCTCATCTGGGGAGCGGTTAACTGGCATCACTCACAGCCTGTTTGCTGGCAGCCGAAAGGTGGATGATAGGTGTATGTGGCCACTTGGGAAAGGAATTACTTGGGCCGGGCGCGGTGGCTCACGCCTGTAATCCCAGCACTTTGGCAGGCCGAGGCGGGTGGATCACCTGAGGTCAGGAGTTTGAGACCAGCCTGACCCATGGTGAAACCTTGTCTCTACTAAAAAAAAAAAATACAAAAATTAGCCTGGCACAGTAGCAGGCGCCTATAATCCCAACTACTCAGGAGGCTGAGGCAGGAGAATCGCTTGAACCTGGGAGGTGGAGGTTGCAGTGAACCGAGATCGCGCCATTGCACTCCAGCCTGGGTGACAGAGCAAGACTCCATCTCAAAAAAAAAAAAAAAGAATTTATTTCAGCCATTTTGGGGAATGCCCAGGACTCAGTATTACGTAACTTGTTTTTCTTATTCTCCCAGGCTGTAAGTATTTTGAGAGGGGGCAGTGTGTGTCCTATGTGACTGAGCTGGCCATATGTACTATGGTGAATTCTGAGCAGCTGACCGAGGCATGCAGTCAGCGTCCAGGTGGACTCTAGTTCTTCCTTCTCTAGAAAGGCTAACCCTGTGTGCTTGGAATACAAAGGAACTGGCACAGTCTGGGATTTTCTTCTCTCTTCCCACTCTCCCTGTTCTTTCTATTTTTCATCTCTAACATGACCTGGCTGCCACTCTTTGTGTGCCACCTTTGCCCTGTAGCAGAAGGAACCCTTCTGTTAGCATATTTAGGTAGTCTTGCACCAGATGAGAAGCTAAATGGCTTGAATGACTTGACAAAGCCTATATGGCCAGCAAGTGGCAGGTCCCAAAATATTTCGGACTCCAAATAGTGTGCCTTTGACACATCTGTCATTGTCTTGCTGAAGCAGGCAGAGCTCTGTGTGCCCTGCCTTCCAGAACTTTCTGTGCTCATGGGCACCACAGTCCCGCTTCTGGGCAGGGCCCACCCTGACCTGAGATGTGTGTGTGGCTGACCTCTTGGGAAACCCTGAAGCCAGTGTCTGAGGCACCCCATCATTTTCAAGGAACAGGAATAACTGGAGAAACAAGTCTTTCAAAGTGGTTCCACCTTTTGAGGTAACTGGGAGTGCCTTTTCTTGGGGTGACTCAGTCAGGAAAGTCCCCGATTATGTACTTAAGGAGTCCTTTTCTCTCCTTTTATGGTAGTCTGCAAATAGCAGAGAGAAGCCCCTCACTCTCGATGCTCCCTGGGTACCTCCCTATGGCCCCGCTGCTGCCGACTGCTTCAACACATTCTTCTGTCCCTGCTGTTTAGATGCCGTGTTGTAGGAGCCTGTTGCTAGGGTGTGTTCTGATGTGTCTTCCACCACCTTTAAACAAGCAGCTCATGTTCCTTTTCTCTCCCCTGGAATGGGTCACTGTGTAAGCCTTTTTCATAGTTCAAGATTCCAGGATTGCCCCCAAATAGGCCAGATCCACCCCCACTCCCCACTCCCAGGCATCACGTCTCAGGTATCAAGGGTGAGAGGTCACTGGGGCCCCCTCAGCTCCACTCTCAGTGACCTGGAGCCTGAGCAAACATTTCCTGCCTTCTGCAGTGTCCTGGAGAGGCGAGTCCTCTGCCTGCAGCTGCTTCCCTCCCCAGGGGGCCTGGAATTCCCCCAGTCTTCAGTGGAGAATGGAGAGACAGTTTATGCTCTCTGAGTTCTATTAGGGCATAATGACTCGCAGCTTTAAATGCAGACAGAAGCTATTAAGCAGTGAAAGCGATTCTTTTTTTTTTTTCTTTTTCTTTTTGTATATTGCCCTTGTGGAAGTAGGAAAGTGACAGGGTCTTTGAGGTTTGCAAAGGCTTAAGTGCGCCTTGGCACACCTCTTGGCAGAAGGTGTTTAGTGCATCCCAGGAGGCAAGATTGAAGCTGGGGCCAAAGCAGGCAAACCTGAGGTTTTTGGGCAGGCACTTGCCTGGGCTGGGAGGGCTGGCTCTGCCTTCGAATACAGAACATGAATGGAAAGCAGCCATGGTAGCAGGAGTAATAATGATGATGATGACGATGCTGGCACCCACTGACATTTATGGAGCTCATTAATAATGTCCCTGGTACTATACAAAGTTCTTATTGACATACGTTATCTCGTTAGTCCATTCTTTCCTAATCCTATGAAGCAAACACTTTACTGAGCCCCATCTCACAGGTGAAGAAATGGAAGTTTAGAGATATTAAGTTGTGAAATAAGAAACAGGCCAGGCACGGTGGCTCATGCCTGTAATCCCAACAGTTTGGGAGGCCAAGGCAGGCGGATCACAAGGTCAGGAGTTCCAGACCAGTCTGGCCAACATAGTGAAACCCTGTCTCTACTAAAAATACAAAAATTAACCGGGTGTGGCGGTGTGTATCTGTAATCCCAGCTACTCAGGAGGCTGAGGCAGGAGAATCGCATGAACCCGGGAGGTGGAGGTTGTAGTGAGCCAAGATTGCACCATTGCACTCCAGCCTGGACGACAGTGTGAGACTCCATCTCAAAAAACAAACAAAGAACAACAACAACAACAACAAAAACTTAGGTTTGGTCTCTGCCCCCATTTCCTGGCACCCGACAGCTCTTAGAACCCCCAGACTCTCTGAAGTGGTAAGTGTCTGAATGCCAGTGAGATGACTGGGTGGCTGAGGGGGCTCCCGAGAGCCTCAGGATGGGGGCTAGTTGCCAAAGGAGCCAACCCTATGATGAAAGGGTTTGACTTTCAGCCCCATCTCCCTGATCTCCTCCAGGGAGGGAAGTGAGGCTGAAGGTTGAGAGGATCACCAATGGCCAGTGATGTAATCAATCATGCCTACATCATGAAGCCTCCATATAAACCCAAAAGGCATCAGGCGCGGTGGTTCACACCTATAATCCCAGCATTTTGGGAGGCCGAGGTGGAGGCAGATCATTTGAGGTCAGGAGTTCAAGACCAGCCTGACCAACATGGTGAAACCCTGTCTCTACTAAAAATACAAAAAAATTAGCCAGGTGTGGTGGCACATACCTGTAGTCCCAGCTCCTCGGGAGGCTGAAGCAGGAGAATTGCTTGAACCCAGGAGACAGAGGTTGCAGTGAGTCGAGATCGCGCCACTGCACTCCAGCCTGGGAGACAGAGCGAGACTCCATCTCAAAATAAACAAAGACACAAACCCAAAGGGCTGGGCTTCCGGGAGCTTCTGGATTGCTGAAGGGGTGGAAGTCCATGGAGGGTGTGCACCCTGCACTGGAGAGGGCACGGAGGTGTCACTTCCCTCCCACATCCCTTGCCCCGTGCATCTCTTCCATCTCCAAGTAGGGAGTGTCAGAATTGAGTTACATCTTAGGACACCCAGCTGTTGTTGGAGAATGGCTTCATGTGGAAAAAAACCCACACGTTTTAGTTATGAAAGTGTTCTGTGTTGTGTGACTATAAGACAAAGAAAGTTTGTTTTTCCTATTCATAAGTAAATTTGGCCAAAGTCTCAACTGCTAAGTAAAAAAATGTAGACTTCCCACTTGGCCATCTGGCTCCAACCCTACACTCCCTGTTTGGCTCTTGTGGGGTCAGCCTAGGCTCAACTCCATTGATGAACTTGGAAACATGATTTTATCACCTGTACCTTTGAAATAATAATCATGTTTACCTATGTTGACAAAAGGAGTCAAACTCTGTAACATATTTGAAGATATTCATCCTGAGCCAAATATGAGTGACCAATGGTCTGTGACACAGCTCTCAGGAGACCCTGAGAACATGTGCCCAAGGTGGTTGGGGTACAGCCTAGTATACATTTTAGGGAGACATGAGACATCAATCAAATACATGTAAGATGTAATTTGGTTTGGTCTGGAAAGGTGGGACAACTGGAAACCAGGGCTTCCGGGTCATAGGTAGATTCAAAGATTTTCTGATTGGCAGTTGGTTGAAAGAGTCAAGTTATTGTCTAAAGACTTAGGAATGTCTGGGTTAAGATAAGAGGTGGTGGAAACCAAGGTTTTATCATGTGGGTAAAGCCTCCAGGGAGGAGGTTTTGGAGAGAACAGATTGTAAATGTTTCTAATCAGACTGAAAGAGTCTGCTGTATCAGTAATTCCAAAAGGGAGGAAGTTATAATGAGCCATGTCTGACCTCCCTTCCCATCATGGCCTGAACTGGTTTTTCAGGTTAACTTTGGAATGCCCTTTGCTGAGAGGAGGGATCCATTCAGATTGTTGGGGGTTTAGGATTTTATTTCTGGTTTACAGCTAGTATGGGTATGGCAAGGATGGTGTGGGGTAATCCACAAAATGCTTGAAATGGTGAGCAGCACGGCATCCGTGCTCACTGTATTTTCGCTGACTCATGCTGACTGCAGCCCCAGGAGGGCACGGGCTCACCGCCAACCCTTCGTGCCTCCCGGCTGGTTTCTGAGATCAGCCACAGAAGTTAAACTTCTTTCCAGGGAAGAAGGGCGGGGATGTCAGGGCTGGAGAGTGCCCGTGTCCTTCTGTGTGCATTGGGCTCCTTCCTCCTTAATTCTCTGCTTTCCACTTTTAGGCTGAACTCCAGTGCACCCAGTTAGACTTGGAGCGGAAACTCAAGTTGAATGAAAATGCCATCTCCAGGCTCCAGGCTAACCAAAAGTCTGTTCTGGTAAGACCAGCCTGGGTCAGCCAGGCCTGTGAGGGTGTGGGACGTGGTACTGCATGCCTAGCCTCCATTCCTGTAGGTTCCTTGGGGTTTCTCC